>NC_000020.11:37526840-37829870 GCF_000001405.40 Homo sapiens | reverse complement strand
GACAGGGCAAGACCCTGTCTCCTAAATAAATACATAAAATTACATTATAGAAAATGACAGCAAATGGGACAGGGGCAGAAACTAATGATGGAGAAAATGCTCTCCCAGCCAGAGGAGCTAAGAATGGTAGGAAAGGTAGCATCAGAGTTAAGACTTGAAGGACAGGTACAGGGAAGAGGGGGGAATGACAGCAAGAATATGCCAAGCGGACAGACCAACATGAAGTAAAGAATTAAATTAGAAAGCACAGGATACGGACAAAGAACTGGAAAGAGATCAATGTCGCAGGAGGGAAGGAAGGATGAAAAGTAATGAGGTTGGAAAGATGGGGTGCAGATCAGAGATAAATATGAACGTTGGACTATGAAAAGCAGACCCTCACCATCATCCCAATGGCCTGGCATTTACCTACTGGCCCAGCCTGGTTGGTCGCTCTGCCCACTCGGCTTCAGAACCTGCACCTGCCTTCCACAGCTCAAATGGTTAAGAAAGACACACATGGGTCAGCCAGAGTTCTATTCTTAGGATGGAGATGGTCCCTGCACTCCAACCATCAGGCCCATATCTTGGCAAGATCTTGCAGGGCCACTTTAAAATTCAAGGCCATGCTACAGAGCTGCCTTTGTTTCCACAGAACATCTAAGGCCATTAGCTCTTTTGTTTTAAGGAAATCAAACAGCAGTGTTCTTCTCTCACTTCCAAAATTACAGCCTGTGGTCTCTTTTATTGCTGAACCTTGCCACCCACCTGCCCCCTGCCCCCCAGATGGACAGACGTCCTGGTTTCTGATAAGACTCTAGATGCAAACAGGATGTTTAAAATACCCTAACTAGATCGATCTTGACTTCAGCAGTGGTGTGTTGGAATACAGATTAATCTGTTCCATGTCTGGCACTGGCAGCTGAAGTAGCAGGAGGCCCTGTCAAATCAAGCCATAACATTACACTCCTCTGCCTTTATTATTATTTTTTTCCCTTCTTACATTTCATTATAATGGACATCTGCCTAGCAGGGGATGTGGCAACCCAAGAAGAGTCACGCATGTGTGCTCAGCCACTCCGGCTGAATATTGATACCCTTCTCAAGACAGATGGATCTGTGTGAGCATCTATATATAGCCCCTTTTACACATACACGGGGTACATACATCCCTATTCTTCACAAACACTGAATAGTGCATAGGTGGCAGGCACTGGGCTAGGGGCCAGGAACTCCAAGAGGCCACATCGATTGCAAACCTACTATGTGCCTGTGTGTGCTTTACACATGTTATCTCATTTAATTCTCACAACAATCCTATGAAACACATTTTATTAGTCTCCCCATTTTACAGACAAGGAACTAGAGACTCAGTTGGCAAAAGAAATTTGCCTTCCAGGGTCTCACAGCTAGGAGGTGACCTAGTTAGTTCCACCATAATACAACTTGATTGTTTTCCTCAAGAGTTAAAATATACCCAATAGGCATATTTTTAAAAAAAAAAGCATTCAACCTCACTAGTAATGCAAGTAAAGTCATGAGATAGTTTCATGTGGTGAAGCTTTCAAACACCTAATGCTTGTAAGGATGTGCGGAGATGAGCTCTCGTTCTCTGCAACACATGTGAGAGCTTACTGTGTTGTACTGAAACTATCCTGTTACAGGAATCTCAATAGATGGTAAACTCAAAGGCCAGGCCCGCGTCTCAGTCGTATCTGTACCTTCAGTGTCTAGTCCTGTGCTGAGTTCAACGAATGCTGAATGTGATATCATAACAAACCACCGTGGTAAGTTAGCTTGAAGAGGTACGTATGTATAAAAAGGTGTAACTGACTCCCTGAGAGGGTCTGGATGAACCAAATCATGAAGAAACAGTATGGAATTTATCAGGGCAACAAAGGGGGAAACGCATTCCAGACCAAACACAAGAGATTTAGAGGCCCAGAGATATGAAGGAACATGGCATGGGGTGGGCTGCAGGGGATGGGCAATAAGGTGGAAGGTGAGGCAAGAGAAGCAAGAGGCCTGCACACTCAACTACAGAGTCTGGACTTTCTCCCACAGGCCCTGCATGATGGTTGATGGAGATAAGCTGCATGACCAGGTCTACGTTCCACAAAGACCATCCTGGAACAGCTGCAGGGATGTACACTGGAGGAGAAGCAGGCTCAGATCCAGATACTACAGAAGCACAGGCATCAAGCACAATCTCCTGCACCCGGGTATATCTAACAGTTAATTCTCCCCAAGCAACAACAGAAAGAGTTAATGATCTTCTGGAAAGAATCCTGATTTCCTTCTTTCTCAGGGGAAAAAGGGAAGTCTGCTGTAGAGAACGCTAGAGTTAGGAGACAAGGGTTTCTAGTCCATACTTTGAGAAAAATCTTCTCTGTAACTTTGAACAGTTCTCTTTTCCACCTATTCTCTGGGTCTCAACATCTTTGTCTATAAAATTAGGTGGCCTGGATGATTTATAAGGTCCTCTCTCAGTTCAATTATAAGATCTTAGTTATCAAAAGAGATGTGAATAGCTACCCAATGACCTGGCAATTCCATTCCTAGATATTTACCCAAGAGATCATGAAAACATATTACCACAATAAAACTTGTACAAAAAATGTTTATAGCAGCCCTGTTCATAATGGCCTGTCAATAGGAAGAATGGAAAAATAAATCCACACACTGGAATACTACCCAGCAGTAAAAAGGAACAAATTACCAATGGATGTAACAACCTATGGTGAATCTCAAAAACAGTATGCTGAGTGAAAGCCTAACCCAAAAAGAATATACACTGAATGAGTCCATTGATAGGAGGTTCTACATGAGGTTAACCTAATCTATGGTAAAAACTCAGAATAGTGGTTACCTCTGTGAGGCACAGGGAGGGATCTGCCCAGGAAGGGGCATGAGAGAATGCTCTGGGGTGGTGGGAACGTTCTGTATCTTAACATGGTTTGTATTTATCATCACTCAAATGGTGCACTCAAGAGCCATGCATTTTACTTTTATTTAAAAATACGTATTATACATACGACACTCAGTTAATTTATATTCATGCTAAAGTGTCTAAGGATGAAATGTAATGCTGTCTGCAACTTACTTTCTGCATCAAAAATAACATGGATGGATGACTGACACAGACATGGATAAACATGTGGTGAGGGAAATACAGAAAAATGTTAATTGTAGAATCTGGGTGGCAGGTACATGAGTATTTGCCATACAGCTCATCCAACTTTTCTGTATGTTTGAAAATTATCTTAAGAAAATGTTGAGAAGGAGGCAAGAAAAAGTGTGCACTTGGAATATGAATGATGAGATACCCAAAGGCTATTTTTCCAGAAAGCAGTTTTTATGTCTGTTGTTTGAAATTTTGAATGCCTTTTCCATTGAAATAGGTCCACTGAAACCCATTTAATGTGAAATATTGCCAAAATTAACTCAGTAGTCTCATCTTTCAGTTGTGATGAGGCTCCACAAGCATTGTCTAAGCACCTACTGGGTGCAAAGCAACATGATAGCTGTTGCCTTTGGTTAACTCACTTGTTTTCACTGTTCCCATGGTATTCCATTCTCTTCTTTCAGAATATTCCAGCGCATTATGGATTTTAAAAGTGTTTAAGTGTTACCTTAACTAATTTACAGCACTGTATCTGTGGGAAAATGTGCCTTGCAGCAAGAAGTGAGTATGTATGCTTAGGAAATGCTTTTCTGTGCTACATTACTTCTCTCTATGAATGCAGAGGGAACAGACCGGAATGATGTGGCATCTGACATCACCTTTCAGAGCTTGGGCAGAAGGCATGAAGTTTCCTAGGTCAAGTGTTTGTATATTAGGGAAGGCCCATATCTCAGATGGGTTGAAGGAGAGGTCCACGAAGCCTTCAGTGCTTGCGATGTGTGTACACCGCCGCCTCCTGTGGAAAAGGAGACTCCAGCCTGTAGTTTCCTATCTCATTTTCTATGGCTCCTACAACAGGCTTTGTCAGTGAAACCAACCCCATCGCTACAATGGCAGCAGTGTGGACTGAGGAAAAATGCTAATTCTGGGGAGCACCATGAAGTATGAGCTGGGCACCAGCGACTTGAGGAACTCAGAGAAGGCCTGGCTAAACTCTGCCCAAGAGGGATGCTCTATACACCAAGGGGCAGCAATCAGACTGGCTGAGACTGCCAGTTGCCTAATATCCATTCTCTTACTACTTTTTTTTTTGAGATGGGGTTTTGCTCTTGTTGCCCAGACTGGAGTGCAATGGCACGATCTCGGCTCCCTGCAATCTCCACTTCTTGGGTTCAAGCAATTCTCCTGCCTCAGCCTCCCGAGCAACTGAGATTACAGGCGCCCACCACCACGCCCAGCTAATTTTTGTATTTTTAGTAGGGATGGGGTTTCACCACGTTGGGCAGGCTTGTCTTGAACTCCTGACTTCAAGTGATTCACCTACCTCGGTCTCCCAAAGTGCTGGGATTACAGGCGTGAGCCGTCACGCCCGGCCTCAGTTTCTCTTTTTATTTTATTTCTTATTTTTATTTTTTGAGACGGAGTCTCATTCTGCCGCCCAGGCTGGAGTACAGCGATGCAATCTCAGCTCACTACAACTTCCACCTCCCAGGTTCAAGCGATTATCCTGTCTCAGCCTCCCTAGTAGCTGGGATTACAGGTGCCTGCCACCATGCCCGACTAATTTTTGTATTTTTAGTAGGGATGGGGTTTCACCATGTTGACCAGGCTGGTCTCAAACTCCCGACCTCAGGTGATCTGCCCGCCTTGGTCTCTAAAAGTGCTGGGATTATAGGCATGAGCCACCACGCCCAGTCCATTCTCTTATTTCTTAGTCATAGAACCCATTTTATTTGGAGGGATACTGTGACCAGCTTAAAAAGCACATACACAACAACCTCCCTTATAGTTAGGTATGATCATGTGATTAATGTCAGGTCAGAGATTCGGGTTGAACTGGTATTTGGGACTTCCCGGAGGGGACACGTGTCCTTCTGCCCTTCCTTCTCCCCATTTTGCTTTCCTGCTGTTTGGAATATAGACGTAATAACTGGAGCTCTAGTAGCCATCTGGGACCATGAGGCAATCTTGAAAATAGAAGCCAGGCACTTTTATAGGTGCTTGGGGCACATTAAAAAGCAAACAAACATCCCTGGCCCTGTGATAAAAATGGCAGAATAGAATGACAGAAGGAACCTGGGCTCCCAATGACACCACGAAGCTGCCATTCCAGTCCTGCTGACCTCTGGACTTGTTTTTACCTGAGAGAGAAATAAACCTTTATGTGATCTATTTTGTTTAAATCATTGTTATTTCTAGTCTCTGTTACTAACAATCAATTGCAATTCCTGATACACTAATCCAGTAGGTTCTTTTCTAGGAAGTCCTAAGTAGGGCCAAAAGAGAGCCTGAGAGTCCTGAGAATTCAGGCGTTTACCCCAAGCAAAGCTGAGTGCACGATCACACTCATTTTTGGAAGCAGCCACACAATCCAGTGAGGAAGGTCCTAGTGCCAAATGCAAGCATTGGTGAAAAGGTGCATTCCCTTCTTTTCGCCTCACTGTCAAGGGTCTCCTCAGAACACTTTCCCATTATTACACATGGACTCCGAAGAACCTTGCTGGAAGCAGCGACACAGTTTTTTCTTATTAACTCACATCCTTGTAATGGCAGTATGCTGAAGAAGTGCTATGAGGCTGGCTTCTGAGCTTCAGCCCGAGTCCTCTAATGAAGATAGCTATACGTCAGCGCAGCTGGTTCCCTTTGGTTTCCTGCAGCGCATCACTTTTAGCAATAGCTCATCTAAAGTAATTTAAACTGACTTTGTGCCCTGGAAGCTCTTTCAGGATTTGAAAAGTATATTATATAGTTACCACTCCTCTCCCTACCCCCACCCAACTAAACACATAAAAAAATCTTTAGATCCTAAAATGAGACTTTGGTCTTTTGTAAGGAGTCCTTTTCAGTGGTTTGCTCACTGTCTTCTCACTAGCCCTGGATAGCATGCAAGGGCCTGGAGCCACACACCCAAGGCTGAGCACGAAGGCTCAGCTGGGAATTTCCCTACATTCTCCCTCATCAGCAATGTCTTTGTTCTTCCATTTCCCCACTGTCCAAGCATCAACCTACCCTGGTGCAGGAGAGCCGAACACCACAGTCCCAATGCAAAGAAGGTGTTCACACTCCTCTGAAAATCCTCCCTGGATGCCTGCTTTAGACAGAAATTCAGTTGGTGGGGGAGGGGGCCTGTTTCCAGGGCCTTCCAGCAATGATCTAAACCTACCTCTTCACTGCTTTCATCTTACTCGACAGTCCTGCCTTTCTGCTCTTCAAACAGCCGCTCCCTCCTCCTCCTATTCTTCCCACATTAAGCAGCAAAGTCCTCCTTGAAGCTACTGCAGCCTCACCAACTGTTGAGCTCCACACACACTCACACTCCCTCCAGGCTCCAGGGCTTCAGCTGATTTCCACAGAAACCAGAAAAACTTGCTGCAGACCCAAGGCGGCCTTATGTTCACTTTCTTGAAATCTGATTTCTTGACCCTTCTTCCTTCAGCCAGTCAGGCGGCAGTTAGAGGACAGGAGGAATTTCAGCGCTGCACTGACATAGCTCTTTCTTTTCTAGTCTCAGACTAACAAATGAAACCATCCTATAATCTTTCATGCTCAGAGACTACTGGAAAAACAGGCAGTCATCTCTGTAGTGAAAATGCTTCAGGACCACATTCTAACAGGGATCAGACTCATCACAGAGAGGAGATAAAATAACCCAGTTAATCCTAAAGAACATATGGCATTTGTGAAGAATGAGTCCATGCTGTTTTATTAACCGGGTACAATCAACAATATATATTGGCAAATATATTAAGTACTTTGTTGCCATCGTCATTTTCTCCAAAGTTAATCTTTCTATACACCCAGTGCAACCATTTTAGAATTGTACAAATAAAGAACTAAGGGCCTGCAAAATCTGCGTGCCTTTCCAGACAGGTCTTTCTGAGGAGCGAAAAACCATTTATTAGCACTGTGTGCTGGATTCACATGCTGGGTGCTTCATATACTCTTTCTCACTTAATATTCATGACCACCCCTGGAGTGAATTATTCTCCCCATTGTACAGATGTGAAAAAATAAGGCCCAGAGAGGTTATGAGCCTTACCCAAGTTTTCAGAGCTACTGAGAGCCAGAGAGTCTTTGATCTCACTTCATGAGCCAGCTTTCTCCCTACCATCCTAAATCTGCCTTCCTAGTGGTAAACTAAATTTACTAGCACCCAACTTTCCAGGGCGCTGCTTAGCAGAATGAGTTGTGAGAAATAAGCAGAGAGTCCATTTTGAACAAAGCTATAAACTGAAACTCCAATGTCCCTTTGCTTTATATAAAACAGATGGTTTCTGGCAAAAACTAACTTCAAAGTTATTTCTGTGAAACAAATTCTACTTGTCTGCCACTATGGAATCCAAGATGCATTCCCAAGGAAAGAGCTCTCCAGCCCGCTTCATCATAAATATTTGGTAAAAGGGAATGACGGGCAGCCAAGGCAGATGCTGGGCATGGCTGCAAATCAGCAGCAGTGTGTCCTTGCTGGCAGCAGTATTCCATAACTCCCCTCAGCCTGGCCATGTCATCTTCTCTGTTCAGGGAAGACACCCACACCACGGCCACAGGAATTCTTCCTGCTCCTAGGCAGCCTCTGACATCACCCTGGTAGCCTCTAGAAACTACGTGTGGTAGAGTTAGACACACGCTGGCACAGGAAGCAGAAAATACAGATTTATTCTCTAGCATGATACTAATAAGCACAGTAATAATCAGAAAGGCACACTTCCTTTCTGGGACTTAGTTTCCCCAACTGTCTATTGAACAGTCCTGAGATCTGGAAGATCTCAACAGCTATAAAATTCTTCCCTTTCTCTATGACAGTGGTTCTCAGTTGGGGGTTGTGCAGGGGGAGGGGTGGGAGGATTCCACTGTTTGAGATATTCTGCAATTTTTATGTGTGTGTTTGTGATGACTGACTGGGGGTTGCTACTGGCATCCAGCTGTGGCAAGAGGCCAAGGATGCTGCTGAACACTCTACAATATGAAGGGGAGCCCTCCACAACAAAAAATTATCTGGTTCTAAGTGTCAATAGTGCCAAGGGTGAGAAAATCTGATCTAAGTTACTTCTGGCATCTAACAGTATACAGCTGAACTATCAATAGATTCTATTGCTAACATACATATTCCAGCTAGGAAAATGCCTAAATCCAAGGCTCTTGCTCATATCAGTCATTGATTTTATAAATTAAAAATTCCACATGAGGTAAAATTACATGATGTCTAAGGTTGCCTTAAAATATTACAAGAAAAAAAGAGAGGAGGGGAACAAACAAGACTGGCAAAACGTTATTCACTGAAGCTGAGTGATGGGTACATAAGGATTCAATATATAATTTTCTCCACCTTTGTATATTTCTGAAATTTTCCCTAATAAAAAGATTTATTTTTTCCTTTTGATTAAGTCTGTTTAAAGGGATATAAAGGACAAAAGGGATTCCTATCCACCCCCACGCGTAAGGCATAGTTCTTGCCTAGCGGAGCTCACAGCTGAGTGGAAACAAGCAAGCCAACCACCACTGTACAAAACGGATGCTGTCGGGAGCATAAGAAAGGAAGCAGTCTCAGAACAGAAATGGAAAATCAGGAGAGGCTTCAAGGAGGAAGTAGGATGAGGGAGATTTCTAAGAGTAAGTAATCAGTCTTACAGAGATGTGGGTAAAAGAGCATCTCAGTCAGGGGATGCATCCAATGTCAAGATGTGGAGGAGAGAAAAGAGTAACACCAGGAGGGGCTTCCCTAGTTTAGGCTAGGTGGAAACAGGGCAGGGGATGAGCAAGGTGGTACCGGCAAGAGAAGGCCAAAGGGGCAGGTCTTCTGTCATGCAAAAGTCTAGATTTTACCCTAGATCTGTATTAAGAAGACCTGAAAGGATTATGCAGCAAAATCACGTGATCTTATTCATACTTTACAGCCACCAGAGGCAGTTCATTTGTGTATTAGTTCACATTCACGCTACTATAAAGATACTACCTGAGACTGGGCAATTTACAAAGAAAGGAGGTTTAACTGATGGACAGTTCTGCCTGGCTGGGGAGGCCTCAGGAAACTTACAATCATGGCAGGAGGTGAAGGGGAAGCAAGCACCTTCTTCACAAGGTGGCAGGAGAGACAGAGAGAGCGCGTGGGGGAAGCCGCCACTTTTAAACCATTGGATTTCGTGGGAACTCCCTCATTATCACGAGAAGAGATTGGGGGAAACTGGCCCCAAGATCCAATCACCTTCCACCAAGTCCCTTTCTGGATATGTGAGAATTACAATTTAAGATGAGATTTGGGTTGAGACACGGAGCCAAACCATATCAATCTGTGTCTTCTGGAACACTGGAAGGAGCATAGGATAGACTGTAGAGTGGCAAGAATTCCAATAGTAAGGAGAAGAAGGTTGTCGTTATCTGAGAGAGGAACTAAGGGGAGCAGAGTTCCTACTGGAGATGGTATGAATTGCAAGGAGATTAAATTCAAGAGGTACTTATGTACCTTACTTATGTTATTATGTTATTTCTAACTGATGTCATTAAATGAACTCCAAAGCAGACAGAAGGAAATATTTGCCTTAAGGAGACCGAAACCAGTATCAACACAGAAGAATCTACAAAAGATCTTAAAAGGGCAGGGTGCGGTGGCTCATGCCTGTAATCCCAGCACTTTGGGAGGCCGAGACGGGTGAATCACCTGAGGTCAAGAGTTCAAGACCAGCCTGGCCAATATGCTGAAACCCTGACTCTACTAAAAATAAAAAAAAATTAACTGGCTGTGATGGTGCGTGCTTATAGTCCCAGCTACTCAGGAAGCTGAAGCAGGAGAATCGCTTGAACCCGGGATGCGGAGGTTGCAGTGAGCCGAGATCATGCCAGTGCACTCCAGCCTGGGCGACAGAGCGAAACTGTGTCTCAAAAAAAAAAAAAAAAAAAAGATATTAAAAGATAAAATGAATTTAGTAGATTTTAAAGATGACACTCAAGGAAGACAATAATATGTGGGCTATGGCTCCTTCTTGACTCTCCATTTCTGAAGATTTTAGGCTTATACAAAAGCTATGACACTGTGGCTAGAAGTGTCTGCTCAGGCTGGTGTAGGAGGGAAGCCAATCATAATTCTGAATGTTAAAATCCCAAAAATGTAATTCTGGAAAAAATACTTTAAAAAATTCTTAAAAGATACTTACTTACATTTTAAAAAGGGGTTTATTTGAGAAACATATAAAAACATGACAGAATACTTCATAGACCACTTTCCACAATAAAATAGGCAATAATTACATATGTATTTTTGCAAGCATAAACACTCAGGTATACCAATGACAGTGGTACAGGTATGACAGTTATGAGCAGACAAACCCTATTCATAATGAGGCAGGTAAGTAAAAAGGAAAATGTACAGGTGAATATCACTAGGGTTGGTGATGGTGTGCACCCAACTTTATAATTTCAGTCATCTGAAATATTGTGATGAATAACCTAAGTCTTGATAAGATCAATCAAAAATAATGATGGGTCACCACTGTACATATGCAGTCACCCAAAGAGCCTAGATCTTGAGAAATTTTACATTGAACAAATGCAGATACACAAAAAGACATCTCTTCATTTACGGGGGAAGTTTCAACATTTTTACATACACACACAATGCTTATACACAAAGGCGATTTGACAATGCACTTTTGTCAAGTCAAATTGCAAAAAATGCATAAAATGAAGTAGAAATCTCTAAAAGCCCCTACACAATTTATACCTGCAGTATTGGAAATGACGCAAAGATGAAATATACAGCAAAGTGAATTGTAAGAAATAATGCTAACAATTTAAAATAGTGGTGAGGGGAGCCTAAAAAAGGAAAAGAACAACAGAAAGAAAACTTGACATATGAAAAGTATATTACAGAGACAGATTATGGGCAGTTACACAAAGCTAGTCCATAAGAGGTGGTCGACTTTCACAATCATTAACTATATTTTCAAGTCTTGTGTCACAATAAATTGCTACTTTTTTCTTTTGGGACATAGCTCTCCTTGGAGAATATATTCACATTCATTTTCTCTGGTGCTGCTCTTTTTGAAGTTATTCTGATTCCTGTGATTCTGATTTTGAGGATTTTAGAGTTCAAGGATTTCAACATTCAGGATTATGGCATTTGGGACTGTATCTTTCGGGATTATGATCCAACCCATTTAGGAGAAGGCTGTCCTGGTCCAGGTCCTCTGCCTGCCTGTTTACATCTATTAAGTCTTGACAAAGACAGTAGTCTGGCTCACTGAGCTTTTAGGTCAAACCCCAAGACCACAAGGCTGGAATACTTGCCTTTCCCAGAGTCCCAACACATTCTCTGTGCCTTTGTATACGCTATTCCCTGGCCTAAAAGCTCTTCTGTTTCTTGTCCACTTGGGAAATTTCTACCTACTTTCAATCTTTCTAATCTCAGGGAGACTGGAGGATCTCCCAAAGTTGACTGGAAGTCTATTTCCTCCTTCAGTGCTTCCAATGACAACTTCATAAATCATTATTTGCATGCTGTCTCCCCACAGAAAGGTAAGTGCCTCTAGGGTGGGTCTGAGGTGGGTCACTGTCTCCCAGGATCTAAACCTTGCCTGGAATCATTAAGTGTTCAACAGGTATTGTCTGAAGAACTGAAGAATGATGAACTCATGGAAGAAGTCAGTTGAGGTTTCCTTTGAGCCACCTTACAAAGGTTTGCACAGAGACTTCCTAAATGACTCCAGTTCTGGGCTAACTCCTTAAGATGAGCCTCTGAATCAGATGTGGGCTTCTTTCATCTTAAAGCTTAATCCTGAGCTCATTACTTTCCAAATGCTTTCTGTCATCTGGGACTTTTGACAGAGATAAGACATGCTAGGAATAGATATTTCCAGACCCACTTCTTAAATAAAGGCCATCCCCAAGAGACTCCCAGGTATGTGAGAAGGGAAGAGGACTTACATTTGTTAAGCATCTACTACATGCCACAATAAACTTGTGAGGCAGATATCAATATCCCATTTTATAGATTCTTGCTACTTAAAGTGTGGTCAGAGAAGCAGCAGCCTCAGCGTTACCTGGGGGCTGGTTAGAAATACACAATGTTAGGCCTCACCCCAGACCTACTGAAGCACAATCTGCATTTTAACAAGATCTCCAGGTGATTCGTCTGTGATATAAACGTTAAGAAGCACTGTTATAGATGAGGAATCTGGGATCAGTGAAGGTAATTAACATGCCAAAAGTTATACAGCTGGTGTGAGCTGGGATTTGAACTCAAGTCTGCATTTTCTAAAAGGCTGTGTATTTCCCACCACCCTGCTACTGAAACTCATGCCAAGCTTGTAGCTTAGAAAAACACATCTAACTTTGTATGAAATATATTTTAAAAACTTTATTATAGCATGGTTCATTATTTCAAAATTGAAGAATAAAGTTATTTTAAAAAGTTCACATCCCACATTACCAAATACAAAAAATCCTGGTCATAGAGGTTTCCTGCTTTGGCATGTCAGAATTAAAAATCTTTCTAGTTTATTTCTAAAACAGCTAAAGGTACTGGATTGTTGCCTTGGTGATTAAAATTCATGTAACTTCTTAGTTCTCCGACGTCTCCTTAAGAGACTGAAGTCCGGGATCAAGAATACAGGCTTTGGGGGGCCCTAGCAGACATAAAACTGTCTGCACAATTTGAAAAAGTACTTAACTTATTTGGGGCTGTTCTCTCAGTAATAAAGCAGGCTAACGATAACCCACATGGAGTTGATGTTAGGGATAATGACATCATGTATACCCTGGAACACAGCAAATACTCAGTAATGTGAGACACTATCACACTATCGCCATCATCAATATCTACAGTAGCCTCAGACCAGATGACACATCATCAGGAAAATCACCCAGTTAACTAGGCTAGCAAACATTGTTATTCCAGAAGTTTGTGAGCCAGCAGGCATACTTAACATAGACATGATTTATTAGTAATCAATACATTTAAGAAAGTTGTAGGCTTTTTTTTTTTTGTGATTATCAAAATGACATGCTTAATGTATTTTATGATAACCCTGCAGCAAACAGGGACCAAATTACCATACTTTTCTTTCTGCTTTGGAGCCAGGGACAAGGAAGGAAAGTGTTACTTAGAAAAAGTATAAGAAATGTAGAAGAGACGGGAAAAACAATGAATGTAATACACACCACAACACTACCATGTCATATATGTGCATAATTTTATAGTATATAAATCACTTTCTCGTATATTATCTTATCCAGTTCTCACATGCTGTGAAACATTGTCTCCATTTTAAAGGTGAGGAAACTGAGGTTCAGAGAACAAACGACACTCAAGTCACAGAACCTAAGCACAACAATTATGGCAGAAACACAAACCCAAGTCTTCTGAACCCAGCCCAGGGCTACTTTCTACTAGACTACCCAAGTGATTTAAATTTACTACTCTCACAAAGGGAGATGTTCAGCGTCAGAAAATCACCCCCAGGACCAGCTCCCAGCAAGTTTCTACAGCCCCATCCGTAGTGGTGACCTACCCAGCCTAACACACACATCCTTTAATAGACTGCTCCTAAAAGAGAAAAGGGCTGCTTCTCTTGAACCTGATACTTGAGAATAATTTCTGTTTGGGGATCCTTTGTTTGGCTACCTGGAAACAATGTTCAACATCTTTTCAACCTCCTTCTTATGCTAATTACAGCTCATCAGCATCTGGACACCCACAAGCAAAATCAATCTGGCTACAAAAGCAAGCCAACAACATTTTCTTACCATAAAAAAAACAAACAAGTAAGACTGCAAGATGATTAAATACACAGAGCATTTCCCCAGCAACCTGCAGGCTGCTGCGTATAAAAATCACATCCAATATTACAAGAGTCCAGGAAGGTAGACACTAACAAACACCTCACACACGTAATTGTATTCTTTATGAGCAGTGAAATGTATACAAGTTTATTTTCAGTTTACTCCCTTTCACATTATATCTTCTGTTAGATGCCAACATGTCTAACACATTCAAGTATTCACACATTTTAAAAAAATACCATTTGAAAGGCATCTTCACTTCCCCTTCTTATGCTATAACCCAAATGAACCTAGATGCATTAGTCTTCAGTCTACAACTCACTGTCTTACTACCCTGAAGTCCCAACACATTCACAACACTTAGAAGAGCCAATGTGGGCCAGGCATGGTGGCTCATGCCTGTAATCCCAGCACTTTGGGAGGCCGAGGGGGGCAGATCACCTGAAGTCAGGAGTTCGAGAGCAGCCTGACCAACATGGTGAAACCCCGTCTCTACCAAAAATACAAAAATTAGCAGGGCATGGTGGCGCATGCCTGTAATCCCAGCTACTTGGGAGGCTGAGGCAGGAGAATCGCTTGAACCCAGGAGGCGGAGGTTGCAGTGAGCTGAGATGGCGCCATCGTACTCCAGCCTGGGCAACAACTGTGCAACTCCATCTCAGAAAAAAAAAAAAAAAAAGGAGGAGCCAATGTCACCATCTAAGCCCAGCTCACCTCTCCAAACTGCTATTACCTCCACATCCTAATCATTTCACCTGAAATTTACCCTGCCTTCTAAAAATATAGTCTAGCTCCTAACTGTATTAAAATGCCCACCCTTGCTAAAAAATGCCCAAGATGCAGTGAGTAAAAACAGTATATCCATCATGATTCCCTTTATACAAAATTACACACACACACACACACACACACACACACTCACAGAGTCCCTAACATAGTGTTTGAATGGATGGTGTCCATGATGTTTTCAGTAATTAACTCTGGCTAGTAGGATTGGGGGTGATTTTTACTTTCCTTTCATCTTTTTTCACAATTTAAAAATTTTCTGCATGAGTTTATTTTATTCATACTCAGATAAAGCAATAAAGCTGTGTTGAACAAGTCTTCCCCCAAAGACCCACCATTCAAAAATCTTCTAGTGGCACAGAGAGAAAGTAAAAGGGCTGCTTACCAAGGCTTGTACTGTGAGAATTCTGGCCAGTAGCTCTCAACACTAGCTGGGCAACAGAATCCAGAGCCCCTACTCCGTTTTTTTTCTTTCATTATTGTCTTTTTATAGAAGGATCTGGAGCTTTTTAAAAATATAGATGCTTGGAGCCCCAGTCCTCAGAATTGCTGGAGGAGGGACATGTATTTTGTCAAAGCTGTTTAGCTGATATTGATCAGTCAAGGTAGAAACTACATATTTATGTCTCATTCTCAAGAGGGGGACAACAGAGAGAAAGGCCAGAATGCTAAGGGAAGTGTTTACCTAAAGGCACGTAACTTTGCAAGGTAACCATGTAGGGAATGGTTAGGAATAGAAACTGAAGGTTGAGCAGTGCTGGGCATCAGGTATGGAAAACCATGAGAAGAGTGGATACAGTGGGTAGATAGATAGGTCTGAAGGCCAACAAGAGGCACACAAAGTGAGCCAGGGAGAAATGTTTGGGATTGAGAGATGAAAGTTATTTATGCAGTACTGGGGCCAGGACTACTGACACCTTAAGGGACTGAAGAGAAAAGACACCAAACAGTTTAAATTAGTCCCACTACAGGTTAGCAACCTTAATTTATGATCTAAAAAAACCAAAACAAACCAAAAGCAGAAGTGCACTGCTTGTGATTCAGTTTTTGGAAGCTGCAGGAAAATCCTAGGTTCAGTTCCTAGGAAGGCCAGGTACTAGCTGTGTGACCTTCAGAAAATGACAAGTTATCTGGGCCTCAGTGTTCTCATCTATAAACTATGGGTAATAATACACAGCTCACAGGGTTATTGTGAGGATTAGGTGAAATGAGCTAATATATTTAAAAGCCTATTAGCGGACAAAGAACAAAAAAGGCCCCCAAATGGCAACATTAGGAAGCATATCTCAGTAAAGATTAAGTGTTCAATTTTAATAAACCAGATCCCACAGTTAATTATTGCCTAGTTCCTAAGTTATTTCCCCATTTTGGCACCACCTACAAATGCTGGAGAAATAACTAAAGGAGTCTGGCTATTTCTCTACTTTTGTTTCTACATTGCTGGCATTTGTTTTATCTATAAAAGAGATATACTACACCCTAAACTATTTCTATACAACTTAATCAAGATTATAAATGAAAACTAACAGAGTCCTACTGACACAATAACAGAGCATCAATGGAAAATTCTATTTCTAAAATAAGAATTCTGGTAATGCTGCCCCTAAAGAGCCAAGTTTCTACCTGGCAAAATGAAAAACACAAAAGAAAAACAGGAGTGATAAGTGTTTCTCCTTCATCCTCCCCAACCAAGCCCTCAATATCAAAACTGAATTTGGGCTAATTAGCGGAAACTATCAAAATAACTGAAATTAGTACTATACCTATGACCTGTAAAACTTTGGAAGAGTCCTCTGGCAGCAGAGCATAGTTAAAACAACTAGCCTAACAGCAATGGCTACTAACACCTAATGAATACTTACTAGGTACCAGGGCACCAGTACCGTCCTCAACACTGTCCAGAGATTAACTAAGTCAATCCTTGCAACAGCTCTACAGGTCCTTCCAGGTCTGGCTTCTGCTTAACTATCTAATCTCCATACTCTCCTCAGCAAGGACTGGTACCAGACTGGTCTCAGAGGACACTCCTGTGGAACTTGGTAAAAATACAGATCCATTGACTTTATGCAGACTGCTGGAATCAGAAACTCTGAGAACACGTCCCCAACATTTTCAATGAGATTCCAGATGATTCTGATGGTCAGCTAGGTTTAAGGCTCACTGCAGTTTGTCCCTCCCAACTTTTTTTTTTTAATACATGCTGCTTTTTCCATTGACTTTCCTTTACCTGGCTAACTTTTACCAAAGGTTTGGCTTGGGGGCCACATTCCTGGGGGGGGCTGTTTCTAATCACCAGTTCTCTCACTACCCAGGTTGGACAGGGAGCCCCTCCTGTGCTCCCACAGCGCCTCATACTTCCTTCTACATCTTTACCTTGTAACATAAATGCAGGTTTCTGTGTCTGTCTCCCTAGCTGAGCTGTCAGTTCATTCACCTTACATTTTTACCTCATAATAGAAATGCAGGTTTCTATGTCTCCCTGGCTGGGCTGTGTGAACCTGTTCAGCTTCCAGCTACAGCACCAAGCCTGACACAAAGCAGGGACTGGTGGTTTGTTTAATATAAGAATGAATGAAGCCTCACTGACCTACCTTTGGGACATCTACCCATAGAAATAGACCCTCTGCAAGGGCAGTCTAGAATGGGAGCTTCAAACTGAAACAGAAGAGTCTGGTACCTATTTGAAGACGTAATGAATTTGAAAAGTGCTAGTATAACCAGGATCGTAACTGAGGGTCCAGGGTAATATGCCATCATGAAAAACAGTGGCTGTCCCATTTCCCAGGAAGCTCCTGTTATGACCCAGCCTATCCACATATAAAGTCCTGGGTCACAGCTGGGCTTCACAACCACAAAAGGCAAGAGGTTTATATCCTATATGTAAACATGAAAACTGGAAGAGGTAGGGACCCATTCTTTTTTGAAAGAAGGCAAATGTGCAATAACTATATTACCATATTGAATGCTACCTGCTAGAGACTACGTCAGACACTCATGATCATTATTTGTCACAAAACATTCTAAGAAAGGTTTTATCAGGCTTATTTGACTGAGGAGGAATTCAAGGTCCAGAGAGAAGAAATAACTTGCCCAAGGCCACTAGCTAGCTTGCAGATACTGCTGGGTTTGAAATCAGGCCTATCTGCCTACAAAAGCAATCTGCCTTCTATGACTCTGTGCTGCCTCTGGATTACCAACCAGAAGACCACTGGAGCCACCCTGGTGTTGGAAGAAGCTTTAGAAGTAGACTTAGGCTCAAATTTTGCTTTGTCACTAATGTGCTAAACGGTATTTTGGTAACTGACAAACTCTCTGAAACTCACCTGTGAAAAGACGACAGAAATGCCTAATTCATAAAGGTACTTTATGTGCACCTGTAAAGCCCTGAGGCTTAGTAGACAGATGCCCGATAAATGTGAGGTGACCATTCATCAGTTTTCCCCACTCCCTCGAAAGAGAACAGTTGCTTCCAGAATGGCAAATTCATCCTGTCTCACTGTCTTCTTCAATGGCAAACAGCTATGCTGTGATCTACTTGGGAGCTGGGTAAATCCTTAATATGACTTGAACCAGTTAACAAACCAGATGTGCACCACTCAAAATCATCCCCTCAAGCCTGATGAAAGGAACCCCATATCCAAGCACATTGTTTATTTCAGCATCCCTACATTTTGTCATCCGAGGTCAGGAATGAGACAAGCAGCTGGAGGGAAAGAAAAGGAATTGATCCAGAAACTATTCAATTATAAGATTTTCAAATAGCAACAAAAAACAACAGCAAGACATTTTCATCCTTATTTAACATAAACTGCTGCTAGTACATGGCTTAATGCCATTCTTAAATACTGTTCACTCTTTACTGGCTTATTGTTCTGACCACTATAACCAACTCTGTGATTGTCAAGCTTGGAGAATACAAATATGGGCACAGGGGTGGTGGCAACAGCCTCTGAATCCTCTGTTTATAGCTTAGACAGAGGAGAAATAGGGACCTGAGGTTCCTTGGTATATCCTCTCGGGGAAGGTTTTTATCTTGTATTCCACATAGAACTGGCATATTTACAGCCCGCCTCTAGGACTGGTAGATTCAGGAAGGAAAAGAAGTTCTTCTGGCAAGTACCTCTAAAATTACCAACATAGAAGGAGGAGGAATACAAACTGGAAACTCATCCTCATTCCAGCCACTAATACTAATGAAACAGGGTCTGTGCTAAGCACTTGATTTCTGTATTATTTCATTTAATCTTCACTTGTTACCCTTATGAGATAGATTCTAAGAGTATCTCAATTTTACAACAGAAGAAATTACAGGCTCAAAAAGGCTAAGCAACTTTTCCAAAGTCACAAAGCTGGTAAATGACAGAACCAGGAGACCAACCTAAGTCCTGTCTTAATCCAAAACTCATGTTCTTCATCATCCATATCACAATAACTAGCTATACATGCCTAGTGCCCACTGTCCCCTCTGCCATTTCCTTCACTGGCATAATAATTAAATACTATGTATCCTTCGAAGAGTACTCAAATGTTATCTCATCTCTTAAGCCTTCCCAGAATCCCTAAGGATACTCCTTTCTCTGGGCTTCTTCAACCACTAATGAACATTTATTATAGTGTGAAGTCTGGAGTCAGTATTAAAATGATCTAAACCAACATTTATCAACCCACCTATTATGGTCTAGATGTGGTTTATCCCCACCAAAACTCATGTTGAAATTTAACTGACAATGTTATGGTGTTGAGAGGTGGTGAGACCTTTACAAGGCACCTGGGCTATGCGAGATCCACCCTCACAAAGGGATTAATGTAGTCTGGTGGGAATGAAGCAAGTCTTGCTCTTGCTGGACTAGATTAGTTACTGCGAGAAGGTTGTTATAAAGCAAGGCTGTCTCTTGTGTTTTCTCTCTGCACACGATCTCTTCCCTTTTTGCCTTCCACCGTGAGTTGACACAGCATGAGTCCCTCACCAGATGGGCTGCCTGATCTTGGACTTCTCAGCCTCCAGAATTGTGAGCCAAATGAACTACTTTTCTTTATACATTATGTAGTCTCAGGTATTCTGTTATAGCAACACAAAATGGACTAAGATACCCCCGACACTGTGTTAGATTTGCATGAGTTACTTCAATTAATTCTTACCCAAGAAGGTAAGTATTAATTTTGATCTTAAAGATAAAAAAAAAACCATGTATTGAAAACTACTACAGGACAGATGCTGAGCAGCCTTATGGTACAACCATAAATTGGTTAACTCATTAACAACACTCTTTCATAATGCTCTTAATGACCAGCATGTGTCTCATGTTGATTATAGCCAGTACATGATATAAAGATGTTAAATAAATTCATTTATTCATTCACTCAATATTTACTGAGCACCTACCATGCACCAAGCACTATGATAGGCAGTACAAATGCCAAACAACAATTTCATCAAGTTGTTTTGCCATCTGTCCCTAATAACTTCTATAATTTGAAATGGTAAGAGTCCCTACCACTATGATGACCTGTCAAAGCACCAAGGTCTTCTGATCAAGAACTCTTGACTATCAGCAATTCAGAGAAGAGCAGGCTAGTCTGGACCCAGGACAACAAATAACAATGGCAATGACTTTGTGAAATGAGTGTGACACGTGTGATCAGGAGCTGAGGAAGGGTCTGACTCTCAGTTTAGCCAATTACCCACTGTATGACCTAAAGCCATGATTTCAATGAGCCTCACAATGACCCCATCTTCAGAATGAGAAATAACACCAAGCTTGAGGGGCTGTTGTAAGGCTCAAACATGATTGGATGTGTAAAGACTCTCCTACAGATGCTGAATATAGGGAGTAACAAATGAACATATTGGCTGAAATTCTAATGCCTTTTGTTTCAGTCTGTACCATAATCTCCCTCCCACCAGAAGTGTCTTCCTCTGTAAGCATTTCTGTTCTTGTGTTCCCTTTAACAATGAAATATTCTTGTCTAGTATGTCTTTGTAATTGTAATATAGTTTTGTGGTAAATATCTATAAAATTGCTTTTTCCCCCATGTCTATTTTCCTACTTCTTCAAACTGTAAATTTGCTGAGGGCTGGGAGTCTCTCCTACCTTGGTGGTAACTTTGAGAGGACATGAGAATTGGGAGACTAAAGCAGAGACTTATTAAGGTTGCAGTGAAGTTCAGGAGAGATGATGAGGGCAGAGACAGTGGCAATGAAAAGGACTGGTTCAAGAGATTTTCTAAGGTGAATTCATAGGGCTGATGATCAATTACACGTGGGGAATATTAGAGTTAAGCATGGCATGTTGATTTCCACAGTGGGTGGTGGGGAGGAGGCTGGTGCCATTTACCAAGCAGAAAAGATGACAGCAGTGAAGGAATGGATATGGTTTTGAACAAGCTGAGTTTGAATATCTGGTGCTGTCTGCTGATTATTAGCTGTGTCAACCAGAGGTAGGGAGTGAGAACTAGACTGAAGATCTGGGAGTCAACCACAGATAGATGAAGGTTAAAGCTGCAGGAGTAGATGAGATCACCCAAGGAGAATGCATGGAAGGAAAAAAGGGGAACTAGGGGAAGACACTGCCAATCTATTCAAAAACGAATGCCTGAGGGCCAGGCAGAGGAAAAGTATCTGGAGATGGAATACTAGGAAGAGCAGTCTCCCCCAGGACAAGCATTGTATTCTGTTCCTTGTCTCCACTGGATCTGTCACATACTAGGTCTTTGTTATATTTTGAACATAGCAGGAGCCCCAGTAAAAGCTGGCCTCAAACAATGCCATGTCATTACAGCCCAGCACGAAGACTTTTAAAAATGTTTCTTTTTGTCTGTGTTGGCTAAGCTCCCTTCTTTTCTGACTGCAGGAAAGGTTCTGCCATTTCCTTCTTCTAATCCTAGGAGGCGGCGTGGGAGCTCTGACCCGATTTCCTCACTGTTAGGAAGATACACAAGGCAGCCGTATGCTTCCTGATATGTGGAGTCCACTGGAATCACTTACAATTCTTTGCTGATGACAGAAAAGTATTCTTTAAAGCACTGACCTATTACCAACTGCTGTCACTGCTGAAAAGGTAAAAATGCGTGTATATACCTAGTGTGCACACCACACACCTACATGCTGCTCGGTGGCTCACCCTCTTAAAGCTCTTAACAGCCTCCAGGGGAACTGTGTTAAAACAGCGCAATTAACTAGAACTGCTACAAACTCAATAACTCACATACCTAATGAAGCAATACGAGGAAAACTGGACCTATATTAATGAGAATTTTTAAAAGAGACAAGAAGTAAAGGTCGGATGCCATTTCTGGATCCCACCTCTTTTCTTCTTCCCTCCTATTCTGAAGCAGTTAATACCAAGGAGACAATATATACTGTGCTATTCTTTTAAAACCAAGGAGGCAGCCAATCATGCTAGTGCACCCAAGGGCAAATCATTTCTTTCCAACCCATCCCACAAGCTTAGTGCCTCCCCTGATCTATTTCTGAAGGTTTTATTATGCAAACCTAAATGGATTTCAATTATAATAATTCTTTTCCTTCCCCACCCCAAGTCACAAAAGAGGAACTAAATTACCAGCATTCTAGGTTGTAAGGGCAGTTTTGCTTTTACTCCCCTCTTTAGAGTCACCTTAATCTAGAAACTCCCATCTCTCAAGCCCTTCTGTTGACTTGGGAACACAGCTGTTTTTATGTCACTCACTACTTAGCATAGCTTGACTCCTGACATTCCCATCAAGAATGGATTTGCCCATTTGCCCACAGTTATCATGGAGCAATTAGACCACAGGCCAGTAAAACCAACCTACCCTCTCCTGGCCCTCCCACAGTAGAGGTGTGGGCATTTTCTCTGCCTGGCCATCCCCATGGGTATGTGTGACTAAAGCCAGGGTGGGCAGAGGTGGAGACAGTTTAAGGTCTCTTATGGTGCCTGCTTTATTCTGGGGTCTATGCTAAGCATCTACATGTCATCTCATCTGACTCTTGCAAACACCCTTCATGGTAGATTCTAGCCTCATTATTTTACAGATAGGACAAGTGCGGCCCAGGGAGCTTAGGAACTTGCCCAAAATGGCACAACTGATAAGCAGCAGATCCATCTGTACCACCTCAGGCTGCACTGCGACTTTGGGAGTCAGGGGAAGGCCCTAAGAGGTGACAGGGGCTATGACGGGACCAGGATGGACTTAAAGAGGCAAACCAGGATGTGTGATATCATCTGAGGGACCAAAATAGATGCCCCTTTATCAAATAAGATGGACCCTAAGGTTAAGGAAATAAATGTCACCTACAGGTGGAGGGTTCAGGGCTCAGCTGGCATAGCAACTCCCTGAATTCCCATGGCTACAAGAAAAAAACACACTCTTGTGAAACTCCCTAACAATATCAGGCAAATTATCAGACCCCTCCTAACTCTGATTGGACAGATGATTGGCCTTGCAAACATTATTTTCTGATAAGCAACTGCAGACTTCCAGACAGTTTCAACAAGCTCAGAGAGACTATACACAAACTTTGTGTCTTACAGTTCACCTTTTGATATAAAGAGCCAAATCCTACCTCATTTTAATGCTAAAACCCTGCCCCAGAGTGAACATGGAATGTGTTACATATGTTTACCCATTGCGCATGCACTTGACTCCCCTCATAAATATGTGTAGCTTTCCCCCAAAACCTGCTGAATGTGTATGACTCTTTTGTCTAATACAGACCTTGTGAGGCCTAAAACCCAACCTGCCCTTTCGTTTTTTGAAGACAGATCACCTTTAGTACACGCCACAGACTGTCTCTTTCTAGTTTACAAACTTGTATCATCAACAAACCTCTCCTTTCTACTAGTTAGCCATCCTGGTGCTCTTGTGGACAACAGTGACAAGCGCTGAAGCTTCACAAGAAAGAAAGGGAAGAGTGTGGGGTAGCTCTCTAGAGCTTCTGGACTGGCGAGCTGATTCCCAGGCCTCAGTGTTCCACCTAGGAGCTGGGCTACCCCTAGGTGCTTGTCACAGGGTGGCCTTGCCTATAGGGAAGGTCAGTGTACAGCAAAGCTCTTAAGGGTGTGGCTCTAAAGTGGGGGTTCTGCCATAATCTCCAAGCCAATGTGACAGAGTTAAAACTTAGGGCTAGCAACCCACTCATTTTAGCATCCAAACAAGCTGGATGAAAGACCCTTCACTCTAGGTGTATGACTGACTGACAACCATCAATCTGAACTGAAATCAACTGTATTGACTTCAACCTTGTAGGTTTCTGAGGAAAGCCCCAAACCCATGTTTGTCCTCAATGAGCCTTTCAGGGAAATGGTTGTTCATTCACACAGTCAAGAAACATTTACTGTGCATCTATCACATGCCAAGCACCACGGGACCAGGCAATGGGATCTAGAGGGGACAAGGCCATTGGTTCCATAATTTCAAGGGCTATGAAGGCAGAGTCCTGAGACCAAGAGTCCACTGAACAGAAGATTCTATCCTAGTCTACGGGTTCATGACATGCTTCCCTGAGAAAGAGACATCAAAACTAAGGACCAGGCCGGACACAGTGGTTCCTGTCTATAATCTCAGCATTTTGGGAGGCCAAGGTGGGCGGATCACTTGAGGTCAGGAGTTCGAGACCAGCCTGGCCAACATGGTGAAACCCCATCTCTACTAAAAATACAAAAAGTAGCTGGGTGTGGTGGTGGGCGCCTGTAGTCCCAGCTACTCATGAGGCTGAGGCAGGAGAATCGGTTGAACCTGGGAGGCAGAGGCTGCAGTGAGCCGAGATCGCATCACTGCACTCTAGCCTGGGCAACAGGCCAGGGAAAAAAAAAAAAAAGGAAAAAAAAAAACAAAAAACAAAACTAAGGACTAAGGACAACTAAAAGATAGCCAGGCAGACAGGGTGGAGAAAAATCACTGCACATGGAGGGAAGAGCATGCTGGAAGCCCGGGGGCAGGAATGAGCTGGGCATGCCCACCAGTATTCCTGATGGTCTGAGGCCACTGTGCTCTAGCTTAGCACACAAATCTGGCCCACTTACGTGAGAAGGGCTGGCACTCGGAGGCCAACAAAGAGCACAGTCTTACCCAGAGGACAGGACAAAGAAACCCTGCACAGTGCGCACTGCTCTGCTCTGCCTCCATTCTCACTCTGCCATTCATGGCCGAAGGCCGGTTTGTAGGAGTGGCAGCAGCTGGCAGGGGTGGCAGGAGTGGAGGGCTGTGCTTTCTCCTTGGAGTTCACTTCTGCTCTCTGGGTACTGGTCCGCTCAGGATGCAGAGCTCATCCTCCCCAGCCATTACAGCCTGAACATGCCTTCTAGGAGACGTCTTACCAAGCCATTGCCCTCACTAACATAATGTTATCACATGCCTAATGCGGTTACTCTAAAGCAAATGGACTGTTACCAGCACGCCACCGGGCACATTTTTCAGAAGAAAAGCAGCTGCTCACTGAATCTGTCACTTCCTCCTCTTCTCAGTGCCATGACCGCAGAGCAGGAGCCTGCTAAGGGCTGTTTTCCTTCACACTCTGTTCCAGCACACTCAAGATGCAGCCTCAGGTCTCTCAGTGGAACCCAGCAGGTCAGCCACAGCATCCACCCTGAGGAGCTTCCTGGCTCACAGGCAACCCTGACAACCAGGGCTTGTTCCTGAGAATCTGAAGGTGTGGCTATCAGAGCTTCTAGTTCACTAGTCCACTTCCCTCATCTTACAGACCAGAAAGGAAAATGCAGTGAAGGGAAGTTAAGCCAAGGTTCCAAAGTCGCACACCTAGTTAGCTGTAGAACCCACAGCTCGGCTGCCTTCCCAGTTCATCTCCTCTAAAAAAAAAAATAAGGATGCCACCAATACTTCATAGGTTGTGAGTTTTAAATATGATAGCGAATAGTGCAGCCGGGCCAGGAAAGTGGCAGGCTTTCACTAAATGTTGACTGTCTGAAAAGTTTATCTCCTAGACCTCCAGGACCCCCTCCATTCCCTCTCCCAGGGACTCATTTTGCTGAATTTTCAGTGGGGAAAATCTAGCACGGGGTTAACATATTTATAGCTAGTGTTTGGTCAAAATGAGTTAAACTGAAGTCTCTACTTGTTCTCAGGTCTCTAGGCCACAGTATTTGCAAGGCCAGTTCCTCTTTTGCTCCAGCCAGATTTCCTGTTGTCTCTGGAGAGTTGATTTGATAGAGAAGATATCACTGAAGATAACCACTGAAGGTAGGTCACACCACCTTCCCTTTAGCCACTCCAAGTTGGGAGAGACTAAGCCAAGTCAACTGGAAAAGAGAGAGGCGGGAGTTCTCAAACTTTCGTCTATGAGGATGAGGAATGCAAAAGATCCTGCAGATACCCATGCCAATTCCACCAAGCACTGACAAAAAAAAAAGCCTCCTAAACCATGGGACGAACATTGCTTCTGAGAAAACAGCCAAATGAGCCAGTCAGCTCAGCTTCTGCTCCTCTCTCAACACACTACCTCCCCACTCCTCTCCACCCGCTCCCCACACTTTAAAATAACCATCCAACCATGTAAATTCCCTGGTGCAAGTGTCTGCCAGCCTCCAGCAGAACTGTCAATGCTCATAAATCCCTGGCCTTCCAGATTGCACTGTGGCTATTTACTGGGGAGAGGGCTGCAGCAGGCCACTAGACAACAGCAGGAAGAGACTGGCCTAGCAGTAACTACTCTGGTTACAGCGTCACAATTCATGGCAGCATTTTGCTGGGAGCGTGCACCATCAGGGAGGAGAAACATAAAAGGGGAATCTGGGCTATAAATAGTTTATTTCGGCAATTCCTGATGTTGGCTGAATCATACTTTAGTACAGAAATACATGAAAGCACCACTCTGGAGGTGACATGTGTTGCCACCTCATTACTCTTTTCAAAAGGGTCTTCCATCAGAGAGACACCTCGCTACAAATTATAGTGAAGAAAACAAAACCCTCACACACAGACTTATTAACAGTCCAGAAGGAAATGGAATGACCAGGATTCAAACAAGCAGAGAACTGGTGCAACAAAGGCTATCAGTGACCTGGGGTCTCTTTTTCATTCATGAAAAATAAGAAAATAGTAAGAAAAAGGTAGCACTCTTCCCCTCTATCCCCCAAACACGTCAGAATTTTTCAAAGTAGTTCACATTTCCCTATTTCTCCTAATGCACCTAAATTAGGCTGACTCCTCCAGTGAACCCTACCTTCATGTTCCTTCTCAGTGGTTCCCACTTTCTTGATCTTCCTGGGAGATTTCATAAAGAGGGGAAAGATGGTTCGTAAGCCAAGAATGTCAACAAACTTATGGCAGTTGTCTGTGCCTTCGGGGCCAATCATGGCATGGTCCAGCACTTTCAGGGCACTGCTCCGGGAGATCTTCTTTTCCCTGTGAACAAAAGAGGTTTCAGATAAGGTATTTCATGGGGAAATTATAGAGCTTAAAAAAAAAAAAGGGTATTTGCTGCCGTACACATTATACATCTAAATGGAAATATTACATACTTGTTAACAATTAGGAGAAGACGTCTACAATAGGGTGGACAAATTCTTACAGTCAGAATGATAAACACAAAAGGCAATACTCAAAATTCTTTATGAAGCATTACCACAATTACACATGAAAAATGTACATTAAAAGTGACTGGAAAGAAAGAGACTAAAATTATAAGAGATTATTTCGGGGTGTTGAGATTATAGACATTTCATTATTCATTTTTCTTTCTTTTTAACAGCTTTATTGAGACAATTCGCATACTATACAATTTCTACCAGTTAAAATGTACAACTCAATGGGTTTTAGAATATTCACAGATATGTCAGCTACCACCACAGTCAATTATAAAACATTTTCATTGCCCTGAGAAGAAACTACATACTCTTAACACCCCCTACCCTCTTCATCCCATCCTGGCCCTAAGCAACCACTGATCTATGTTCTTTCTTATAGATTTGCCTATTCTAGACATTTCATGTAAGTAGATACCATATATTATGTGTTCTCTTATGACTGGCTTCTTTCACTTGGCAATGTTTTCAAGGTTCATCCATGTTGTAGCACATATCAGTACTTCATTCCTTTTTATTGCTGAATAACACATGCCACAATTGGTCCATTTATCAGTTGAAGGACATTTGGTTTGTTTCCACCCTTTGGCTATTATGAATAATGCTGCTATCAACATTGTTTCCTTAGTTTCATTTTTGGATTGCTCACTCCAAGCGTATAGAAATACAATTGGTTTTATTTCCTGCAACCTTGCTAAACTCGTTTGCTAGTTCTAATAATCTTTTAGTAGATTCCTTAGGATTTTCTATATAAACTATGTTATCTGCAAACAGATAGTTTTACTTCTTCCTTTCTAATATAGATGCTTCTTATTTCATTTTATTGCCTAATCGCCCTGGCTAGAACCTCTAGGACAATGCCCAATAGCAGTGATGAGAGTGAAAATCCTAGTCCTTGTCTTAGGGGGGAAACATCCACTCTTTCACCATGAAGTATGACATTAGTTATGGGTTTTTTGTAGAAGCTCTTTATCAATGGTTGAAGAAGTTCTCTTCTATTCCTAGTTGAACTATTGGTATGAAAGAATGTTGGGCTGTGTCAGATGCTTTTTCTGCATCTTATTTTTCCTTTTTCTATATCTCAGTTTCTCATTTTTCCATAATGAACATAGAATTAAAAAACATAAACTATTTTCAAGAAAAAAAATAAAGGTGTTTTTCCCTCTTGAAGCAAAAGGTCATAGAATAATAGTGCCACTGGCTGCTATTCTTGCAGATACTTCCCTAGGGAGCATAATTTTTCTACAATCTTAAATTATTCTTTTAAATACTCTGAAGTAGAGAGAAGCAAGTCAGTCATTTCCTATCTTGCTACAGCTGGTAAATAAACCAACCAAACCAATATGCAATATTTACTGGGCAACTACTTAGCACTGTGGTAGACACAAGAGAAAACAGTAAGAAATGGGTTCTGCTTCCAAAAAAAAAAGCTAAATCTGGGGAGACCAAAGTAATATGAAAGGATCAGAGAAAAGTATAAATCAGCATATAATTTTCCCCATGTATTATTCAATCTACAAATATTTACTGGATAACTCTCACATGATTGGGAAAGATTGCGTCCCAGTTCTCAAGCAATTTACATTCTCAAGGCAGGAGACAAAGAGAAATTGAGATACCTGATAATGGTTAGTGTCAAGGAAGTAAAACGAGGACATGTGAAGGAATGACTGGCGTGGATCTCTTAGATTCAGTTATTAAGGAAAGCCTCCTAAGGAGTAACATTGTGTTGAGAACTGAGTGATAAGATGAATCAGTCATGTAAATTTTAGGGGCAAAACAACATTCAAGACAGGAGGAACAGCAAGCACAGAGGTCCTGAAATAGAAATGAACTGTAGACAGGCGACTGGTGTGTTTGAGGTACGCCAAGGAGCAGAGTGTTCCTAGCTTCGATCAGGGAGGGAAACATGGGCTGTATCAAAGGCCACAAGGCATCCAAGTGAAGAAGTGATTCCAGGAGTAAAGTGGATGCAATTCAACATGTTGGTTCTGAGATTGCCATGTGTTACATTAAAGTGAGAGAGACAAATTACATGTATTTGGGAGAGTGTGGGGAAAGAATAATATACATGTAAATATTTAAAATAAATGAACAAAAAACTAGGTAACAAAATAATAAGTACAGTGGGCACACAAGCAGGGAATACTTTAGTTAGAGGAAGGAGACAGTTTCTGAAGAGATTCCAGTCTGTCAAAAAAGCAAAATAAACGGCCACCAGATTTCACCATCAGGAAGCCACTAGCAACCTTCCAGAGAGCAGTGGTAGGGCAGAAGTGGAGTGAAAAGTAAAAGGAGGTGAGAAAGTAAGAAGGGTGAGTGTAGGTTACGCCTTAGTAAAGCCTGGAGGAGGAACCCCAAGAGAGGGAAGCCGGGTCAAGATTTAAACTACTACTTTTAAGAAAAGCTAATGGTGATGTGGAGACCAAAGATAAACAAGGGAGAAATAAACAGCTGGAGAGAGGTGACTGGTCTTGCAAGAGAAGGCAGTATTCATCAAAAACAGGGTAACAACCCAGAGCCTTTCATCCAATTTCTCATGTGAAAGCCAAAGAAAAGGAATCAGAAATAATATCCCCTTTGGACAGTCTTTTGCAGACACAACACTATTAAAACCCTGCACTATTAAAGTGCTACTGGTCACAAAGAGTGCTATCCTGGGTCAGACTAGCCAGCCAGGACTGGGTCCCAATAGTGGAGGAAAGGTGAGTAGGTACAAAGCTTGCTGATAGTGCCCCTTGGAGCTACAGGCCATCCTGGTTTACTTAGGACTGTTCCACTGAAAGTAACACATCCCAGACTTCTCAATCCTGGGCAAAGAGAGAGCGTTGGCCATCCTACTTCATGCTAACCTATTCCTATCTTTATTTCCCTTGTGGATCAATCAAACAATACAAAGATTCACAAATGCCCATCAATCCAACTACTGAGTTTCAAAGAAAAAAAGGCATATACTATTGAGCATATGTCTTTATGCAGCAGACATTATGCTAGCTGCTAGGAGTTATAAGGTCCTTGTCTTTAAGCAATGTAAGAAGAGGTAAATAAAAATGCTTTCAAAAGTCTGAAGCAATGGAAATTAAGTCCAAGATGATGAGAAGAGGAGATAATTTGCCTTGGGAGAAGTCAGTGAAGGTGTCAAATGGCAGGTGACTTCTGCACCGAGTCTAAGGAATGAGTATTTGCCAGGCAGAGAACGAAGAGCAAGGACACTGTTGGGAGTGGTGGCTGTACAGCATGTGCAAAGGTGTGTGCAGCCTGTAGGAGCGTGCCAGCCAGGGAACTAGAGGTAGTTCCGAATGGCCAGTGGTGGAAGATGACTGAGGAGAGGCGGCGAGGAACACGGTCATGACAGGCTCCACACGTGCTGTCAGGGAACCCAGGCTCCATCCTGTAGATGTCGAGAAGGCATGAGAATTTCAAACAAGGGAGGGCCCTGGACAGATACATTTTAGAAGGCTTAATCTGGCAGCAATGTGAAGAAGGGACGGGAATGACACCGCTTGGGGGTAAGGGAGGACAGTTAGGAGACTCTGGCAACAACAAAAATGAGAAATGACCAAAGGTTCTGACTACAGCAATGGTATGAAAAAGGCCTATTTGAGAGAAGCATGAAATCTTAAATATGAGGAGCCAGGTAAACAAGGCTCCAAATTCAGTACGAAGGGATTTTTTGTATTAAGATGAAAATTCTAACAGAGACTTGTTTTCACTGCAGCTGGACTTCAGCATCTTACAAGCTTGAATTTATAAAAGTCATGACTAGGACAGATAACCATGTGAGCAAAATTTAGGACATTGAGATATAATATCTGTATTGTTTAGTCACTCAGGAAAAGGCCTCTTGAAATGAATGGCGGTCATAAAATAGGGCACCTTCAGTTACCATTCAGCATACGCTCAAACCATTTCACAAATAACACAGAACTGTTTGAAATACAATTCAAAAGACTCTGGTGTAGCCAAGCCTCTCTTTTTTTTTCCTGCCTAAGCAAATTCAACAAACAAAAGATTTTAAAAGTAAAATCCTTCTTGAGGTAGGCAGTGTAAGACATGTTTAGAGGGGGCAGTAATTGCATATTGATCACCACTTAGGCAAGCAGCATGGAGGTGAACTTTGGAATATTCACTGGGCTTGAGTTCAGGCTTTTAGAAATCAATAGCTGTTTGGCCTGCCTTTCTTGGGTTGACTTTATTTGAAATATTTATTCTACTGGAGGACAAGTAGTTTATCTTAGTCTTGTCTGGGTTCATCAGGCTGTCGATCACGCCAGAACCAATGTGAATGCTAGCCTCTATAAAACTGGGGGGTTGTGGGAAATGGTGGAGAGTCATCCACTGCTCCCTATTCTGCTAACAGTGAGCCTTCTGATGTGGGAGAAAACGTTTTCTGTTGTAGTTTTAATTAGCTTATTCTTCTTTATTATGCAAAAACACTTTTGCTATAAACACAGATTCTGAGTATGATTTTCTTTGTTCATTTGTTCCCTCATCAAATATTTATGAGGTACCTAGCAGGTGCCAGATATTAAGTCCAGGATGCAGAGACAAGGCACAGCTCATTGCTTCCAAGGAGTCTGGTCCACAGGGGAGACAGACATGCAGAGAATGGGCAGACTGAGAAAAGCTAAGTCCTACGGTGGAGGTATATACAAAGCAGAGTGAACGCAGGAAGGAGGGCTGACCATGTCTGAGTCAGGGAGGACTTAAAAAGGAGATGATGCCTGAACCAAGCTGCAGGGGATGTTTTTCTTGGATACGCAAAGAGGGAGAGGGTATTTCATGCAGAAGGAAACAAGAGCACATGCAAAGACAGGCGTTAAGCATGGGACATTTAGGGAAGTGGAGCATGGTACTGCTAGAATATAAAGAGTAAGAAGAGGGGCAGCAGCAAAACAGAAGACAGGCTGACTTTTGTGTATAAGAAAGATTATGCTTGCCACAGTGTGTTGGACAGTAACAGGGATGGGGGAGCAGAAGGAAGAGAGAAACAATATCAGAGGCAGAAAGACTGGTAAGAAAGGCGGGGGTGCGAAGGGTTGAGTTCTGATTGAACCTGAGATGCCTGTGGAACACGGCGTGATGTCCAGCTTGAACTTTTATGTCTGAAGCCCAATAATGAAGTCACCAATAGGGAAAATTTTGAAAGAGTCATCAAATCTATGTGCAGTAATTAATCCATGGTGTGAGTAAGATTACCCTGGGAGGGTACAGAAAGTATTCAGAACAGAAGACTAGGACCTTGAAGGAAACTTATTTGAAGGACAAATGAAAGAGGTAAAACCCTCTCCTTTCCTGGACAAGGGAGACTGATTAAAAAAAAAAAAAAAAAAGCAACAAGGTGTTCTTTAAAATATTCTGTGAACCATAAACTAATCGTGGCAAGAAATACAGATAATGCCACATGAGATCATATTTTCTTTGCTTTACAACGTGCATGATGAAGTTCACTTACATTAGAGTCTGAAATACAAGATCACTTTACAGGATTCAGGATTTCTATGAATTAGACAGTAAGATCAATAGGACCACAGCCAGAGGGTGGGGTGGGTGGAAAAAGAAAAACAGAAACAAAAAATAAATAAATAATAAATACGACCACAGGCAATTTCAAGTTACTAATATGGTATCACTAAATGCAGTGATAGGAAGAGATGTGCACCATCAGCTCTCATGAACCTACATGAGCCGGCTCCAACACATCACTACCCATATCACCCCCACCGCCCGCCACAGACTTCACACTTGGCCATGTGACTGTGCACAGCCAATAAACCGTGAATGTAAGTAACATGTGCACTTCAGAGGAGAAGTTTTAAGATTTATTGCATTATGCGGTCTCTTCCCTCTACCATGAGACAGGCATGTACCATGAAGCACTGCTCCTTCAGCCTGAGTCCTGAAATAAAGAAGGTGTAGAGCTGAGCTTCTGACGGCCAGTGATGAATGAACCATGAGTGAAAAATAAACACCTGTCATTGAAAGTCCTTGAAATTTTGGGCTTCTTATTCCAACAAATAACCATGTTATGACTGAGGCCTGATATGTGATAGAGCAAAGTTGCTAAATATAAGATCAATATACAAGTTAATTGCATTACTACCCACCAGGAATAAAGAATAAGAAAATGTAGCTTAAAAAGTGTCATATACTGCTGGACTTCCACTCTGGGCCAAAATGGGGTAACAAGGACTGGATTTACACCCTCCCTAACCCTGAAAGTTAAAAAAAAAAAAAAAAAGATGAACAAAACAATGGTTTTTAGACACTTGACATCAGGAGGGTAACACATGCAATGAGCCCAACTGACTGCCTGGAAAGTTTCCAGGCCTCAGAGAAGGGAGGAGACAGAGCTAGGAGTCCGGCAGAGCAATGCAGCTAGAGTTCACAGCAGAGAGCTGCACGGAGATCTGCAGAGGGCCCCTTCCAGTCTCCAGAACTGACAAGCGCAAGCATGTGAGGAAACTAATCACTACTGCAGAGAGAAGCTGCCTAAGAGAAGTAAGAAAAGACAATCCCAGAGCTCACGGAGGGCCAGGAATAGTTTGTATTCCCACCAGTTACAGTAGAAAAGTCTTATTAATTCACAGTGCACCTGGCGGAGTAGTAAGATGAGTAGTGCTTCAGTAGCGAGGCATTATTAGCCATAGACTAATCTGGTCCTGCCTAACAGAGCTTAAAAGTAAGTCTCAAAAGGACCAAACTATTTCCAAGTAACTTTGTATCTTAGAACAAAGCTCCAGAACATTTACAGAAATACCCTTCCAAAAAAAAAAAAAAAAATTCAACATCTAACAAGGTAAAATTCACAATATTTGAATTTCCATAAAAAATTACTAGGGATTCAAAGAAGGAACATGTGACCCACAGAGAGGAGAAAAAAAATCATCAGTAAAAATAACACAGGTGACAGAATTAGAAGACAAAGACAGTAAAAGCATAATTATAACTACAATTGATACGTAAAATGAAGAAAGTCGAGAAAAGCATCAGCATGTTAACTAAAAACATAGAAGAAAAGACCAAACTGAGCAGCTACAGAGGAAAAATACAGTAGATGAGATTAACACTGCAGAAGAAACGAAAGACTGAGCTTGAGGACATAATGACAGAAACTGTCCAAAATAAAACACAAAGGAAAAAGAATACAGGAAAAAATGAACACATCATCAGTGAACTGTGGTTGGAAAATTTCAAATAGCCTAATATACATGGAATCATATTTTATAATACACAATTTATAATTATATCATATACATACCATTATACTCCCTTAAAGGTGGATGGGGGCAGGAAAAATGTTTGAAAACTATAACTGTCCAACTGGGCAACATGGCAAAACTGTATTTCTACTAAAAATATTTTTTTTAAATTAGCTGGGCACAGTGGTGCATGCCTGTGTAGTCCCAGCTACTTGGAAGGCTGAGGTGGGAGGATCATTTGCACCCAAGAGGTAGAGGAGGAGGCAGAGGCTTCAGTGAGCTGAGACTGCATCACTGCATGCCAGCCTGGGCAACAGAGAGGGACCTTGTCTCAAAAAAAAAAAAAAAAATTATAACTGAAAAATTTCCACCTGTGATGAAAACTATAAACCCAGAGACCCAAGTAGCTCAACGAACCTCAAACACCAGAGACGTGAAAAAAACTACATAAACTCAAAACCAATGAAAAAGAGAATATCCTAAAGACAGCCAGAAAAAAGGGACAAATTACAAATAGAGTAACACATATATGAATGATGGGAGACTTCTCATCAAAAACCAAGAAAGCCAGATGCCAGTGGAGCAACTAAGAGTACCGAAAGGAAAAAAACAAAAAAACTCCCAGAAAAACCCTATCAACTTAGAAAGCTATACCTGGTGAAAATATATTTCAAAGATGAAGGCAGTCAGGCACGGTGGCTCACGCCTGTAATCCCAGCACTTTGGGAGACTGAGGCAGGAAGATCACTTGAGGCCAGGAGTTCAAGACCGCCCTGGCCAACATGGTGAGACCCCGTCTCTACTTAAAGTAGAAAAAAAAAAAAAATTAGCCAGGTGTCGTGGTGGGTACCTGTAATCCCAGCTACTCAAGAAGTTGAGGTAGAAGAATCGCTTGAACCTGGGAGGAAGAGGTTGTAGTGAGCCAAGATCGCACCACTGCACTCCAGCTTGAGTGACAGAGCGAGACTATCTCAAAAAAACACAAACAAAAAGCAAAAACAAATAGCCAGGGGTGGTGGTGCATGCCTGTAATCCCAGCTACTCAGGAGGCTGAGGCCCAGGAATCGCTTGAACCCAGGAGGTGGAGGTTGCAGTGAGCTGAGATTGTGCCACTGCACTCCAGCCTGGGTGACAGAGCAAGACTGTGTCTCAAAAGAAAAGAAAAGAAAAAGATGAAGGCAAATATTTTTTTAGTCATATACAGCTCACAGAAGTCATCACCAGTAGACCAGCATTACCAGAGATGTTAAAGGAAGTCATTTAGGCAGAAGGAAACTGACCCCGGATGGAAATCTGGATCTACACAAAGGAATGAAGAGCAAGGAAAATGGCAAATAAGTGGGTGAATATAAAAGACTTTTTCTCTTTATTTTCAAAAATCTCTTTTAAAAAGATAACTGACCACTTGGCCGGGTGCGGTGGCTCATGCCTATAATCCCAGCAGTTTGGGAGGCCAAGGCAGGTGGATCACAAGGTCAGGAGTTCAAGACCAGCCTGGCCAACATGGTGAAACCCCGTCTCTACTAAAAATACAAAAATTAGCTGGGCGTGGTGGCACATGCCTGTAGTCCCAGCTACTCGGGAGGCTGAGGCAGGAGAATTGCTTGAACCCTGAAGGCAGAGGTTGCAGTGCGCTGAGATCACGCCACTGCACTCCAGCCTGGGCAACAGAGTGAGACTCTGTCTCAAAGAAAAAGAAAAAAAAGATAACTGACCACTTGACCACTTAAACAAAAACAACAATGTATAACAGGGCTAATAACATTTTGAAATAAAAATGTATGACAATAGAAGCATAAAAACCTGGAGAGAGAAATAGAAGTTCACTCCTATAAGGTTTTACCCCACAGGTGTGTGCATGCACTTCTGGTGCCTCTTTTTGGATTAGGGTCCCACTCTTACGGCCTCATTTAACCTTAATTACCTTCTTAAAGGCCCTATCTCCAAATTCAACAAATGAATTTTGGTGGGGAGAGGGTCACAGTTTAGTTCATAACAGAAGGTAAAAGATACCATGCGTTAGCACTAATTAAGAGAAAGTTGTAGTGGCTATATTAATATAAAACAAAGTAGATTTCAGATCAAAGAACATTACCAGGGATAAAGAAAGTTATTTTCATAATAATAAAAGGGTCGATTAAACAAAAGAACATATAATTCTATAAGTTTAAGCAGCTAAAAGAACTCAAAATATATGAAGCAAAAGCTGATAGAACTGAAAGGAAAAATAGACATATCCCGAATTACAGTCAGAGGTTTCAATATTCTTCTCTCAATAATCGATAGAATAAGACAGGAAATCTGTACAAATATAGACGATTTGAACAACATGATCAGCAACTTAACCTATTTGACATTTATAAAGCATTCCACCCAACAACAGCAAATACATATTCAAGTATACAATATTTAGCAACATAAGAATGTATTCTGGGCCAAAAACAAGTCTTAATAAATTTTGAAAGGCTGAAATCAAAGTATGTTCTCTGACCACAATGAATGGTATGAAAGTAGAAATCAGTAACAGAAAGATACTCAGAAAATTCCCAAATACTTGGAAACTAAACAACATACTTCTAAATAACTCATTGGTCAAAGATGAATCAGAAAAGAAATTAATATTTTGAATTGAATAAAGATAAAAATACAGCATATCAAAATCTATATGACACAGCTAAAGTAGCAATTAGAGGGAAATTTATAGCAGTAAACACCTACAGGTTGAGTATCCCTTAGGGGTATCCCTTAGGGGTATCCTTTGAGTATCCCTTCGAAATGCTTGGAACAAGTAGTGTTCCAAATTTTGATTTTTTTTCCAGTTTTGCAATATTTGCATTATACTGGTTGAGCATCCCTAATCAGAAAATCTAAAATTCAAAATGCTCCAACGAGCATTTCCTTTGAAGATCATGTTGATGTTCAAAAAGTTTCAGATTTTGGAGCAGTTTGTAGGAAAAAGAATAGCAAATTAAACACTGAGTAATGTAAAGAAAATAAATAATGAAGATTAAAAGCCCAGCATCATGGTGCATTCCTACAGTCCCAGCTACTTAGGAGGCTGAGGCAGGAGGATCTTTTGAGTCCGGGAGTTAGAGGTCAGCCTGGGCAATGTAGCGAGAACTGATCTCAAACACACACACACAAATACACGCACAAACACACAGAGAGAAAGAGAGGGAAAAAAAATACTGACCAGAGCAGAAATCACTGAAATCGGAAACAGAAAAACAATGAAAACAAAAACTGATATTTTGAGATCAATAAAACTGATAAGCCTCTAGCCACACTGATCAGAGAAAAATAGGCACAGATTACTAACATCAAAAATAAGAGCACATCAAATACAGATTCTACTGATTTTAAAAGGATAATAAGAGAATATTTATGAACATCTTTTTGCCAGTAAGTTTGACAACAGACAAAATGAATAAATATCTTCAATGACACCAACAGAAAAAGACTACTGGAACAAATAAAAAATTATACTCCATCAAAACTGAAAAATTTTCAAAAGAGTGTTATGAAAAGCAAGACATGAACTGGGAGAAAATATCTGTAAGATGTGTAGGTCTTACATGATATAAATCAGTGTTCCCCAACCGTTTTGGCACCAGGGACCAGTTTAGTGGAAGATAGTTTTTCCACGGGGCAGGGGATGATTTCAGGATGAAACTGTTCCATCTCAGATCATAAGGCATTAGATTCTCATAAGGGGTGCACAACTTAGATCGCTCGCACGCGCAGTTCACAATGGGATCTGCACTCCTATGAGAATCTAATGCCACTGCTGACCTTATAGGAGGCAGAGCTCAGGCAGTAATGCTCACTCACCTGCCGCTCACCTTCTGCTGTGCATTCTGGGGCTGAGGGGGTAACCTCTGATATAAACCATATAATATATAAAGAACTATTAAAATTCAATAAGACAAATAACCCCTTACCCCCAAAATGGACAAAAGATTTGAAGAGATATCACCAAAAAAGATATATGGATGGCAAATTTGGACATGAAGGACACCTGACATCATTAGTCATGAGGGAAAAGCAAATTAAAACTATGGCTAAGACAAAAAAGACTGACTATACTGCTCCATGTGCAGCAACTGGAACTCTCACACACTGCTGTGGAATTTTAAAATGCTATAACCATTTTGTAAACAGTATGGCAGTGCCTTAAAAAGTTAACTGTATACCTAACATATGACCCAGCAATTTAACTAAGTATTTACCTAAGAGCAATTTACAATGTCTGCCCAAAGATTTGCACATGAAAGCTCACTGCAGAATTATTCATAAGAGCAAAAAACTGAAAACCCAAATATCCTTCAACAAGTGAATAAACAAACTGCAATATATCCATATAATGGAGTGCTACTCAGCAGTGAAAAAGGAACTAATTATTGATACACAACATGGACGAATCTCAAAATAATTACAGTGAGTGAAATAGGTCAGACCAAAAAAAGGAACACACTGTATGACTCCATTTACATAAAATTCTAGAAAATGCAAACTAATACATAATGGACAGAAGGCAAATCAATGGTTGCCTGAAGACACTGAGGTAGGGGGAGAGAATTACAAAGGGGCACAAAGAAACATTTGGGTGTGACAAATATGTTCACTGTCATGCTTGCAGTGGGGGTATGATGGGTCTATACATATTGCAAAATTCGCCAAATTGTATACTTTAAATATGTGCGATTTAAACTACACTGGAATGATGAATAGCTATGAGGTCTGATGGCAGGGCTCAGACAGGCCTTACACCACTTCCTGCCCGGTAATCTTGATTCAGTTTATCTACCTTCTTTGCCACAGCACTTTCCCATTTATTAAAAGGTAACGCCAGCCTGGAGGACTGTTGGAAGGATTACTTTGTGTTTTGGAGTATTTTTCTGGTTCCTAGAGAACAGGTGCAAACTACCACTATCCATCTAAGGGAGAATGGTAATATTAAACTTGAAGAGGAAAGAGAATGCTCCTTGTTAGACAAACAAGCAAGATCTGCATGTGCAGCTTGGAACACAACCTGTATACGGCCCCATCAAGAAGCACAGCTGACTTCTAAAAGATTTCCATTATAATTTTGCTTTTGCACTTGAATCCTGGGAGACTGGAGGTTAGAAGAAAAGACTCTAGTTCTTAAAAAATGTAAAGGATGACAAGAATAAAATGCCATATTGTTTGGACCTTCCGATGTTCATTAGGAACAAAAGCAAAGTAGAGTAAGGAAAAGAACAAGGGAATAAAAATCCAAAGTTCCCCAGGCTGGCCTATCTATATGCTTTGCCACAAGCTCACAGTCCAGAATTGGGCCTGCGAAAACTTACTCTGCACATATTATACCATTGCCATTTTATTTGTTTTCTTTATCAGAGACATTTTTCTTTAGGGTAAGGAAAATCTTATTGAAAACCTTAGAACAACAACAACAACAAAAACTGGTGGTTCCTGGAACAGATGTGGCTGTGTATCCTCCTATTTCTCTTTTTGCCTTTACAGTTAATAACCAAGATGGGTTCACTGTATTTATGCTACATAACCCAAAGCTGCATTTGTACACATCCCCTGGGATCACAGTGGTCTCTTCTCTTTCTAACTGGAACAGGGTTTTACAGCAGAAGTAATAAGCTTCATGTCAACATTTTCAAGGAAACTGACAATATAATTCTTTTGTCTCCCACTGGCTCTGTTGCTCCTTACAGAACATTGAAGTATTCTGATACAAGGACATACTGTTAAAAAGTGCTTTGTGGTGGCAAGAAGCAAATGATTTAGAGTGCAGGCTATAATTAAACCTGATATATTGGAATCTTCTATTTGTAGCAACCATCTTACCAAAGAGAGGTATCTGTAACAAAGAAACGGAAGTGGCAAACCAGTCTCCCTCCAGGGACAATGAGGGCACTGTTACAGTTCCATCCTCATTTCCTGACTAATTCTAAAATGGCCACCCCAGGTAAGTATAATTTTGTCTTATTTTTGTGGATTGGAACCTCTGAATCTGATCACTTTGTTAAACAGCACAATAAATTGTGACTTTTCTGAATTTTATTTTACTCTCAAACATCACAGACTACAAAACTACCACTTCATTCATGTTCATATGTTAATTCTTCTGCTGCTCACCAAAGACCATCCAAACATCCTTACTGTAACCTAACTGTTGACTATCCAACTGAAAGAAGCAGGCTGAGCTGCCCGATGCACAAAGGAGCATTTCCTTCTACATCAGAGACTCTGGTCCTCTCCGCCTTTCAGTACACAGTTGTCCACTGCTTGAGAGGTTCTGCGTCTTCCACCCTTACCTCATCTTTTCTTTTCATTTATCAAGACACTAATGTGAGCAAATGAGAAATTCCTTTTCTTTTTTTTTGGTTCCTGTACTCTAGGATGGCTACCCGCTGCTTTCTTCACAGCACGAGTTCCACTTTTAAACATCACCTCAACAATCTTTTCTTCTTTTCCAAGATGTCTTCATCTGTCCTTTGGCAAAGAGAGAAAAACAAGAAAGCTTTTCTTCTTATTGATTCTGTCAAGCACTGTGAAATCCAGACAGTTTGAACACAGGAATGGAGAAAAGTCACCTGTGTGACAGGGAAAACTAGAGGAGAGAGGGCTGTGAGGTAAGGGCGAGTAGGTAATAGTGCTTCACAAACAGCTCCTGGAAATGAAAGCTCAGAGACTACAAATCTGCATGAAGGACTTCTTAGAACCTTGAGAAGAAAGGTGATAAGAACTGAAAACCTAATATAATCCTAAATACCTGGGAGGATAACGGAAGAAGAGAGTTGAAAGGCAAAGGAGAATAAGCTCATTTGGGGAGCTTATGCAGCTTCTGTTCTGAAGCCCAGCATGGGCACAGGCCAAACAGGGCAGGAGCCCAGGACTCGAGTGGACTCCTAGCCTCCCCTGAGCCTCAAGATCAGGATTACAACACACTATGGCCCCGTTTTGTGCTTTCCATGCACTGAAAAATTTGACAGGGAAAACAGAACTAAATATGTTCAGGCAAGAGACTGAGTTCTCGGCAACAGGCTTTTTAACTCCTCTTCCTTTGGGTCTATGAACACGGTTTGCCAAAAATTCCGTGGGCCAATGATCCTAAACAGCAAAATGTTTCTCATTAATTTAGAAAATTAAGAAACCAAACACAGAAAACCAAAGGTGTATCTTTTGCTAGATACTGGAGATACAGAGGAAGAAGACTCTGTCTCTACTCTGAAAAGTATTACAGTACAATTGAAGACACAGCCGTACAACTTACCATGCATGGTGCAGAAAGTGCTCTGACAGAGGCAGCAAAGGATGCTAGCACCCAACCTTCAAAACTTAGGGGTGGGGATGTGAGGACAGACGTGGGGGAAGAGACATGGAAGAAAATGGCTGCTTAGAGAAGTTTAAGCCTAAACATCAAAAGTGAGTCATCAAAATAATAATAATAACAAAATGTGTCAAGGGATCTAAAATAGTTTGGTTTAGAGAGTGGAATGTAAATGTGCAGAAAGGAAAGAATGAAAGAGATGGCAGTAGGAGGATGAGGCAGAGGCCAGATCTTGAGGGGACTAGAAACAATTTCAAACGTTCATAGACAAAGAAATAAAGCCACATTTCTAAAAAACTAAAGGTAATCACTAATAGAAAGAATAGTATTTTCCAAATCTCCAAAGAAGAAGGAAAATAATGGAAGTGAAAAAAAGATAAGACAAAACAATAAAACAACCAAGGAAACCATAAAACAAACAGGAAAAGGGCTAAACGTAATTACTATAAAATCAAATAGTTAAATTCATCTACTGAAAGACAAACTTTCACGCTGGATTAAAAAACACAGTTATGGGCCGGGCGCGGTGGCTCACGCCTGTAATCCCAGCACTTTGGGAGGCCAAGGCGTGCGGATCACGAGGTCAGGAGATCGAGACCATCCCGGCTAAAACGGTGAAACCCCGTCTCTACTAAAAATACAAAAAATTAGCCGGGCGTAGTGGCGGGCGCCTGTAGTCCCAGCTACTTGGGAGGCTGAGGCAGGAGAATGGCGTGAACCCGGGAGGCGGAGCTTGCAGTGAGCCGAGATCCCGCCACTGCACTCCAGCCTGGGCGACAGAGCGAGACTCCGTCTCAAAAAAAAAAAAAAAAAAACACACAGTTATGTGTCTTTAACAAGAGTTACACGTAACACAAAATGACATAAAAAGTAAAGGTGTGTGGTAGCAGGTGCCTATAATCTCAGCTACTTGGAAGGATCATCATATCCCAAGACTTCAACGCTGCAGTGCACTGTGATTGCCTCCTGTGAACAGCCACTGCACTTCAGCCTGGGCAACATAGTGGAATCCTGTCTCTTAAAAAAAAAAAAAATGCTAAGGATATAGGAAGGATCAGAAGAAACAGAAAAAAAAAAATCCACAACCATAGTTAGAGACTAAACAAATTAGGGGATAAAAAGGACAGAAAAGAACGGAATATGTTTACAAAGTTGATTTATGTTATAATTATAGTACTTTATACCCTAGAAACACAAATTCTATTCAAATGTTCACGGAATATTTATAAAAACTACCCAAGTATAAGGCCACAAACAAAATCTCAAATTCAGAAATGTATTTTATAGCCTCTATTTTCTGTTAATGTAATAGGAAAATAAGACTTAATCACTTGGGAATAGAGAATAAAACTAAGCAATATTAAAAGGAGATTTTTTAACCTGAAATGTTTTTATTTTTAAATAAGAGAATTATTTTTTAAAGCATTAAGCGTTTAACTCACAAACTTGGAAAAAGGGCAACAGAATAAACAAAAAAGTAGAAAAAAAGAATTAAAGGCGGGGGAAAGGTATACAAATATACAAAATGCTACAAGCATTGTAGACCATATATATACAAATACACATATGCATATTTATATCACACATATATGCATATATATATATATGTACACACATACATATGCATATTTATATCAAAACCAAGAGTTGGTTCTCTAAAAAAAGATGCCCTCCAAAAAAAACAAATCCAATTGGTGCCAGCTCAGTCGCAATAGAGTAAAGCATCAGGTAGATTTCTAAGGTTCCCAAGTCCAGGCTCTGGCTCTCAGATGGCATCTGTAGAGCTGCCTGGGGCTGGGGGGAACTTGCTGTCCTGAAGGGAAGGACACAAGCCTGGCTGGACTTGCCACCTGTTGACTGTAGAGCCTTTGGGCCATGAATGAACACAGGCAGCAGCCAGGCAGTGGTCAATGTGAGCCTTGGGTGAAACCAAGTGCTGTGCTGGCTTCAGGAATGACCCAGCACAGTCCCAGTGGTGGCCACAGTGGTGCTTGCTTGTCTCACCCCTCCCCCAGCACCAGGCAGCTCAGCACAGAGAGAGAGAGAGACTCCACGTGTTTGGGGAAAAGTCAGGGAAGAGAACAAGAGTTTCTGCCTAGTAATCCAGGGAATTCTCTTCGATTTTACCCAACACCACCAAGGTGGTACCTCTACAAGTCTACAAGAGCCAGAGTGTTACTGAGCTTGGGATGCCCCCTAATGCAGACACAGCTGCTGTGACCAAAGACTTAAATCACAACACCCAAGACTCTCTAAATACCTGGAAAGCCTTCCCAAGAAGGATGAATACAAACAAGCCCAGACTGCAAAGACTACAATAAATACCTAACTCTTCAATGCCCAGACACCGACAAAGATCCATAAGCATCAAGACCGTCCAAGAAAACATGACCTCAACAAATGAACTAAGTAAGAGACCAGTGACAATGCCAGCAAGACAGAGATATGTGAGCTTTCAGATAAAAAATTCAAAATAGCGTTTTGAGGAAGCTTTATGAAATTTGAGATAACACAGAAGGAACGCAAAATCCTATTACATTTTACGGATATTGAAATAGTTAAAATGAATCAAGCAGAAAAATGCAACATACTGAAGAATGCATCAGAGTCTCTTAACAGCAGAACTGATAAAGGAGAAGAAAGAATTAGTAAGCTTGAAGACAGGCTATTTGAAAATACAGTCAAAGACAAAAGAAAAAAAGAATAAGAAAGAACGAAGCACACCTACAAGATCTAGACAATAGCCTCAAAAGGGCAAATCAAATAGTTACTGGCCTTAAAGAGGAGATAGAGATATTGGGGTAGAAAGTCTTTTCCAAGGGATAATCAGAGAGAACTTCCCAAACTTAGAGAAAGATATCAATATGCAAGAACAAAAGGTTACAAAACCCCATCAAGCAGATTTAACCCAAAGAAGACTACCTCAAGGCATTTAATAACCAAACTCCCAAATGTCAAGGATAAACAAAGGATCCTAAAAGCAGCAAGAGAAAAGAAATAATATATACAATGGAGTTCCAATATGTCTGGCAGCAGACTTCTCAGTGGAAACCTTACAGGCCAGGGAAGAGTGGCATGACATATTTAAAGGGGAAGAGTGGCATGACATATTTAAAGTGCTGAAGGAACTATATTTTACCCTAGAATAGTATATCTAGTGAAAATATCCTCCAAACATGAGGGAGAAATAAAGACTTTCCCAGACAAACAAAAGCTGAGGGATTTCATCAACACCAGACCCATCCTACAAGAAATGCTAAAGGTAGTTCTTCAATCTGAAAGAAAAGGATGCCAATGAGCAATAAGAAATCACCTGAAGGTACAAAACCCACTGGTAACCATAAGTACACAGAAAAACACAGAATATTATAACACTGTAATTGTGGCGTATAAACTACACATACCTTGAGCAGAAAGACTAAAAGATGAACCTATTAAAATAATTACAACAACTTTTCAAGACATAGACCGTATAATAAGATATAAACAGAAACAACAAAAAGTTAAAAAGTGGAAGGGTGAAGTTAAAGTGTAGAGTTTTTATTAGTTTTCTCTTTGCTTGTCAGTTTGTTTCTGCAATCAGTGTTAAGCCTGTCATCAGTTTAAAATAATGGGTTATTAAATAGTATTTGCAAGCCTCATGGTAATGTCAAGAGACATGCAACAGATACACAAACAATAAAATGCAAGAAACTAAAACATACCATATGAGAAAATCACCTTCACAAAGAGAAGGAAACACCACAAAACAACCAGAAAACAAATAACAAAATGGCAGGATTAAGTCCTTACTTATCAATAATAATATGGAATATAAATGGACGAAACTCTCCAGTCACAAGATATAGAGTGGCTGAATGGATTAAAAAAATGGGACTCAACAATCCATTGCCTACAAGAAACACACTTCACCTATGAAGACACATATAGGCTGAAAATAAAAGGATGGAAAAAGATATTCTATGCAAATGAAAACCAAAAGAGAGCAAGAGGAACTGGACTTAAATCAGACAAAATAGATAGCAAGACAAAAATTAGACCAAGAGACAAAGAAGGTCATTACATAACGGTAAAGGGACCCATTCAGCAAAAGAATATAACAATTATAAATATATATGCACCCAACACTGGAGCACCCAGATAGATAAAGCAAATATTATTAGAGCTAAAGGGAGAGACAGATCCCAATAAAAGCTGGAGACTTCAACACCCCACTTTCAGCACTGGATCAAACATCCAGACAGAAAATCAACAAACATCAAACTTCATCTGCAGTATAGACTAAATGGACTTAATAGATAGTGACAAACCATATCATCCAAAAGCTGCAGAATACACATTCTTCTCCTTAGCACATGGGTCATTCTCAAGAATAGTTCATGTGTTAGGCCACAAAACAATTCTTTAAAAATACAAGAAAACTGAAATTCTGTCAAGTATCTTCTCTGATCACAATGGAAAAAAACTAGAAATCAATAACAAGAGGAATTCCAGAAACTATTCAAACAGAAATTAAACAATATGCTCTTGAATAACCAGTGGGCCAATGAAGAAATTAAGAAAGAAATTAAAACAGTCTGAAGCAAATGAAAATGGAAACACAACATACCAAAATTTATGGGATACAACAAAAGCAGTATTAAGAGGAAAGTTCATAGCAATAAGCACCTACAACAAAAAAGTAGAAAAACTTCAAATACACAACCTAACAATACATCTTAAAGAATTAGAAAAGTAAGAGCCAACCAAACCCATAATTAGTAGACGAAGAGAAATAATAAAGATCAGAGCAGAAATAAATGAAACAAACAAAAAAAGATAAAAAAGATCAACAAAATTAAAAGTTAGGTTTCAAAAGATAAACAAAATCAATAAACCTTTAGCCAGATTAAGAAAAAAAGAGAGAGGATCAAATAAATAAAAACCGGAAATGAAAAAGGAGGCATTTGGCCAGGTGCAATGGCTCACACATGTAATTCCAGCACTTTGGGAGGCCAAGAAAGGTGGATAGCTTGAGCTCAGGAGTTCAAGATCAGCCTGGGCAACATGGTGAAATCCTGTCTCTGCCAAAAATATTTTTAAAAAATTAGCCAGGCCTGGCGGCATGCAAGGGAACCTTTGGGAGTGATAAAAAGAATCTGTATATACATCATCCTATATGGTAGACACTGTGTAGCTACTGAGCATCTGAAATGTGGCTATTGTAACTGAGAAACTAAATTTTAAATATAATTTAAATAAATTTAAGTTTAAAATTTAAAAATTGATACTGGACTTATTGGAAAACATTTAAGTATCTTTGGACAAACTTAAGTATGAGAATCTATGTTTTCAACTCTAAATTTTATGAAATCTAAATACAAATCAAGCATTCTGATGAAAATTTAGCATCTGAATTGGGATGTAAATGTAAAATGTTCACTGGATTTTGAAAACTTAGTCTCAAAAAATGAATGTGAAATGGCTTACTAATAATTTTGTCATATTGATTACATGTTGAAATAATTTTTGACTTACTATGTTAAATAAAATACATTATTAAAATTATTTTTGTTTCTTTTAACCCTTTAAATGTGGTAGCTACTACAAAATGTAAAATTACCTATCTCACATTACATTTCGACTGGATAGTGCTGTTCTACATCTTCACTGTGGTGGTGGAAACATCTGTCAAAACTGTACACTTAAAATGCGTACATTTTACTGTATAAAAATTATGCCTCAATAAAGTAGACAAAAATATTAAATTGGTAGTGAATATATGCTTGTGTGTGTGTGCACATATGTGTGGGAAGGAGGGAGTATGTATCAATGAGTATCTTGTTTGTGATCTTTCTTCATCAATAATCAGAAAGGAAAAAAATTCACTGAGTATATATACATGCAAAAGTAACTGTTCTCCTGAAGCGTCATCATATTAAATTATATTATAGTTATTTAATGTGTGCATCCCTCACTAGCCTTTGAGCTTCTTGGAGGCAGGAACCCTGTTTTGTTCATCTCTGTATAAACCTAGCACTTAACGTAGAAAGTTAACATAGTACCTTAGCAGTGTTTTGCAACTGTAGAATTCTCCTAGATACTTTATATAGTTTAATTCTGCCAAAATACCTGTAAATTTGGTATTATTAGTGCCGGTTTTCAGATGAAAAACTGAGGGTGAGAAGGTCACAAAGGTTAAAGTAACTCACCAAATATCCAGAGCTAGTAAGTAAAAGAGCATGTTCCAAACCCACACTTACAAGTCCCAGGCCCATTCTTCCACCCTGCTCCATACTGCCACCTCTCCATGTGGGCATTTCACAACTGTCTGATGAATGACTGAGTCAAAGTAAAGATCTATATTTAGGGGCAATGGAACCACAGAAACTTTCCTGAACTTCTAGTGTTACAGCTTCATAGTCTTGAATAGGCTCTCTCTAGACAAAGAGCCACCTGGCAGCTCTTACTAGAAGATCAGAAAGGGTGACTATAGTATGGAAAAAAAATTCCATCCCAATTAAACTTTCCATTTGGGAGTCTGAAGAAAAATAACACAGAACAAAGAGTATGGGAATGAGAAAAAAGGAAATGCTGAATCTGCTAATATAGCTAATTAATGCCAAAGAATGAATGTAACAGCAACTTCAGCATTCAAAAATGAAGTTAGGAGATCTAGAGAGGTACAGTTTCTAAGTTTTTTGGAGCTCTCCTTTAATTAGCCTCCCTGAATCTCAGCATTCCTGTTTGAATAATCCATATTTCTGGTTATTTATTCAGCTCCCCTCTGCTATGCAATACCTAGCCATATGCTGCAGAAATATATCACTTCATATTTGCACTCAACCAACCAAAGACACTGGCAATTCAGACCTTTAAGAAGCTTAAGGAAAAGTCCCTTCAGAACATTGTGTTAAGGTTAGAAGATCCAAGAAGCCAAATGTATCTTCTATTTATGCTATTTACTTGAGAGAAGGTGGGTCATTTCAACAAAAGGACAAGCAATTAGAAGGGTAAGGGAGATAAACAAAAGACTCAAGAGAGTAAAGCTAGCAAAAATCAGCTAAACACAAAAGGCCTCTGAGTAATTTCTCATGCTCCTCTCTGCATTTTTTTAAAAATTGTTTTTAAAAGCAATTCCTCAAAGGAAGACTTTTGGTCAATGCAAGGTCTGGTACACACTGGACAAATGAAGAGGTCTACTGTGCCTCCAGCCCCCCAGAAGCCTTTTAAAGATAATATATTTTAGAAATATACACAGTAAGTCATCACTTAACATCATAGATAGACTTGGAAATGGCAACTTTAAGTAAAACGGGATATAGGAGGTCAGATCCTCAAATAACACCGTTATAACAATGATCAGAAAAACTGGTTTCATTATACATCATTTCGCTTAAAGTTATGGTTTCCAAGAATGTTACTGATGATGTTAAGTGAGGACTTACTGTACCTGGATAATCCTAACATCATTTTAAACACAAAAATGGTCACTGTAGAATTTGTTATAACGGCAAAACATTGGAAATATCCTCAATGCCAACAACAGAAGAATACTAAGTAAGCTACAGTCCCTTAGAGGCCATGATGCAGTTACTGAAAACTCTCATGAAGATTATTCACAGCATGGGAAACAGCATCTTATGTCTGAAATGTAGCAATACAGAAAATCCTATGTGTGGCAGGCTTAAAAAGTTGTTAAAAATTATAGAAAAAAAGACTAGAAGAAAATATACACCCAAAGACAGGCTGTGTTTAGCTCACAGAACTGTTTTCCTAACTTTGTGGAGACAGAAATTCTGTCTTAGGTATTTCTGTGTATGCCCAGTACTTAACATAGTACCTTGTCAATGTTTTAATAGCAGTTTTATATGTTAGTATTCTAAATTCTATTTAACAAATATATATCACATTTATGAAAAACCTTTCCAAAGAAATATCTTAGTTCAACAGAACTTTCAGTATACTTGAAGTTTTAAGACAGCAGACTCTGGCTCCATTTCTTTTTTTCTTGTTTTTTTTTTTTTTAAATCTCAACTTGCTCCTCTGTAGGGCACAATTCATAATGACTAGAATCTTCCAACCACATAAACATGCTCGATTTTTTTTTTTAAGTCCCTTGACCCTATACCACAGTCTGGTTATCCCCTCAGCCTTCCCCCACACACTTCTCTACTCCCCTTCCTAGACAGGGTCTCAAGAGTTATCAACATAAGCTTCCTCTCCCCTTTTTGCTTCTAACTTTAGGATTCTATAAAATAACTGTGAAACTAATATAAGATCCACTTTCAGGAATTAGCGTATAAATAATAAGACACACAAGGAAAGTACTATAAATAAAAGTTTCTAGAACTGTCTTGCACGTTTTCATATTTCCTAAGCTAGGCATACAGCACATGTACAACTCATTACTGAATGAGGAGTGAAAAATATGAATGATACGCTGCTTTCAATAAAAATACAAACATATGGCATAGATAGGTCTATGTGATATATACAGAAAATTAGTCCAAGTTTAGAAGTAATGGCTAGATTTCCCCAAAACTAACACACTATGGGAAGGAGAGGAAAAACACCAATGTCCTTCAATGGAGTGGACGTATTAGCAACCACCACAGTAGGGCACAAACAGAACACAATATACTTTTTATTCATCTACTCTAACTTTAGGAAAGACCACATACCTATACAAACACATCCCCCCATGCCTGAAGACTTTACTCTTCAGGGTAAAGTCTAGGAAACCCAACAGAATAAATGATCATAGCTACATGCTCTTGAATTCAGGCTAACAGTGAAAAGTCAGGCAAAAAAGGTGGGAGAACTAGGGCATTCGAAACATACCTGAGCATGAGATTCATCAGCTGAAGACCCTCGCCCTTCAGGAAGCGCTCACGATTGGAACTAAGCATTAGACAGGAGCAGAGGGAATCAAACAGATTCTCCATCATCTCCTGCTCCTCAGCCGTGCTGGGATTGTGTCTTTTAAACACCTGTCAAGCAAAAACAGCACAAAGCACAGAGCTATAAGAGAATGTCTTTTCATGAGCCTCCATCCAACAATTCCTAAAACCTGTGGGTCATAACTCTACGACTGAGGAAACAGAAGCTCACCAAACAAAATTCTCATCAGTTTCCATTTTAGAGAAACTAAATGATTCACATATATTAAATACATGCAAAAAAAAAAGCCAAAACACTCTACTGACCACTGGGTCCATCAGTAATTGACAGTTCCAGGCAAGCAGATTTTTTTAAAAACCAAAACCCAATAAAAAACAAAATCTTTTTATCGTGAAATATAACACAGATACAGAAAAACTCCATAAAGGACATATAAAACTAAATGAAGTGAACACCCCTGAAATCATTATCCAGGATGAGAAACAACTTTGCCAACTCCCCTCAAAGCCCTCCACTTGCCCAACCCAACCATATCTCATTTCTTTCCCTTCTAAAAGCAACCACAATCCAGAGGGCTGAATCGTGGCTCAATATAAGGAAGCATTTCCTGACAACCAAGGCTACTGAATTCCCTCACAGGGGAGCTGGGGCTTTAATTCATGGGAAGGGCTTACAGCATTAGTTTTCTTTTTGCCAGAGATGTAAGGCATGTTAAGAGAAGCCTTTAAACTGTATATGCATACCCATACAGTCTACTACAAGAAGATCAATAATCTCACAGGAAAAGGACTAAGCACCTTCCCAGAACTGGAAACAGATTCACATTTCAAAGCTCTATTTTTGGGGTGGAGGCCAAGACACTCAGGCTGCTGGCACCAAGATGGAAGCTGTATGCAAACTGACATCTCAGACTCTCCCAACACTCTTAAGATTTTATCCAAATGATCTATTTTCAGTCCTGTTTTTAGAATAACACAGCTAAAACTTGTAAGAGGAAATCTTAACAGTATTTTCAGAATGCCAGCAGAATAACATTTCAACTGGATTTACATTTCTTACAGTGAGAAAATGGCAGTTTCCAAGTTCTCACTCCAGCCTTCAGCACCACATCCTCCCCTATCCTCCCCTTGACCCCCACCCCACTGCAGTGGAACTTGTACTCCTTGAGCTTATTCAGATCCTAAATGAACATACTCCATTTTCACAGCAGATTGAAAGGAAGGTTGGTGAATAATCTTGGCAGTGGGTCAAATGAAAATAATTTGGTATGCTTGGCCCAGAACATACACACTTAAGCATGAGGCACATCTTTTTTGAGTTGACAATATCATATCAGAAGATGAAGAAAGTTCAGAACTGATACACAGTGATGTCTGGTCATAAAGAGCAAATGACTAAGAAAAGGAGGCAAACCATGTCCCTCCGTATAACCCTCAAACCTGCCAACATGCTCCATATGGCTTGCAGCACATGGCTTATTCCTTCCCACAGTTTCCAGCTCCACCTCCCATTCAAAGCAGACCATGTATCTTACAGCAGACAGGAAGCATAAGAATTACTCACGGATAACTGCTGAAGAAGCACATCGATTCCATCCAGCTCCCCAAGCAATTCCCTGTTTTCTAAAGGGGAAAAAAATAGAGGAAGAAAAAAAATGAACCTAACTGTCAGATTTTACAGCCGTCTAACACTGATACATCAGCAAACAAAATCAATACAGCTTGACAGAGTACAAAAGCAGCACAGGGAGTGAGAGGGAGAGCAAGGGGATGCCAAAGGCAAGAGAGCTTGCTGTCATGATCTGAAACAAGCCTGGCTCCTATCCTAACAGAATATCAATACTGAGAGGGCGCCTCACCATCATTGTCCTGGAGCAATATGGCCAGCACTTCACTGCAATACAGTTTGTTGGCATCAAAAGGCATCTTTGCCTATGGGGAAATAGGAGAAATGAGAAAAATGTTAAGGGGTCTTGCTTCCTTCCCCAGGACAAATTTTTCACGAGTACTATGATCTGAGTTAGAGAGAAGCAGAAGTTAGAAAAGGAAAAGGCAGTTAAGGGTAAAAACGTCTGCCTCTGCTCTCAAGAGACCAGAACCAAGTAAAGTGACAGATTGAAACAATGGCTCTCACACTCTTAATGCCCAGGTATTAAGGTTACCTCCTCGGTGAAGACTTCCAAGATTTCCCATTTTGAGTCCAGAGATTATATATGTCTAGCCCATAGTACCCAAATGTGAACTAGATGAATGAGAGTTTTGAACTTTTAAGATTAAAACTCACCATGAAGCTTAATTCACAAGTTACAATCATGAAATTAGGCTATAAATTAGTTAATATATGAGCAGAGAAGAAAGCAATTCTTGATTAACTGAATGTATTTATCACAAAGTAGTTCCTTCTGGATTTTTTTAATGCTTAAAATTTAATTTGAAATCATAAACTTATCTGCTTGCATGCCATAATCTGCCTACTACTTAAAACAGAAACCACATTAAATATGCAAAAATGTGTTAATATTTTAACACCCAAATTACTACCCACAATTCTTTCCCCGCTGCATGCTCTGCTATTTGGGAGTTTCAGAGGGGACACATCTACTGCACAGACTATCTTTCATGGCTGTCCTCAGTGTTGCTTCGGTAGTGAGACTTAAATATCTCACCATTATCACTGCCCCCTGGATAAAGGTGCATAGAGAGGAGCGAGTCTCAGTGGTGTGTTTTTATTTATGGTGCCCATGATCCTTAAAATGCAGGCATGTAAACAATGATTATTAATCAGCAGCAACCTTTGCTACCTATCTGTGTTTTTGAAATGACAAAGAATTTCTGTACTTGGAAAAGACAAGGGAAGTGTTTATCTTGGAACTAACACTTCCGTCACCTTACCGCCATTCACAGATCTGTTTAGATATTGGTTTTATACTTAAAGAGGAAGAGTTGTACCTAATCAAGCAATATTCAGTATCATTTCAGTTTTCTGTGCACGTCTTCCTCATCAAGCTAAGTGCAGCCTACAGGGTTTCAGGAGGTCAACCAAGTATGACCATCTTAGGTTAAAAGATCTATAAATGCAAGGTCTTACATGTGCTAAATGTAAGGTATGCTCCCTGGGCGAGCTTGAAGCCTTGTTTCAAGAAATTCAGCATAATAGTCAGGGCTTAAATGCAACCTGTGGTATGTTTCACTTTAAGAAAAATGGTTTCATATTAACGAAAATCAAAACATGAAGGTGAAAAGCCAAGGAGTAAGCATCTCTATCAAAATCAAGGATTTGCGAATAAAATTTCCCACTCAAATTATGTAAGTTCCAAGTACTGCTATTATATTTTAAAAGATTTAAGCCACACCAACTTATACATTAGCATTGCAAGGGCCATGGTTCTTGTTTAAAACAAGACACTTAACTGAAAGAAGCCAAAAGACAGTAGGTCACTAGAGCCATGGCCTTTCTGTGGATCTAATGCCTCTTGTCCTTTATTCAATTTTGTAAGCTCCTGTTTTCAAGTTGGGGGGAGTTTTTCTTCCTTTCAATAAATACTTATTAGGCACCTGCTATAGGGAAGACACAGAATTAAGCAAGAGAACAAACAGGGGTAACTTAGATCTGAACTCTGTCCACTGTTGTGGCATTTAAAAACCTTACACTGAATTAAAATTAATTTTGTAGAAATATCAAATTTTAAAAAAGGAAAATAAAACACAGATCTGGCATTAGACACACCTAAGGTTGACTCAAATCTGCAGTTCTCCAACTTTGCGCTGTGGCAACTGGGGTGTCATATTTAATTCACCACAGGATATGTTAAATTTTCAAGGAGAACACAGTGAAATGTGACATCTGTTGAACACTGCATTAACCAGGAGCTCAAGTTACATTTCTTCTGGTGACATCATATCTTTGTGGAGCTGCGTTTGGATAGCTGCTCTGACAAAAATAACTGTGAAAATCGATGTGAAATCAGAATGATGGTCGTAGCGTTCAATCTGATCCTAAGGTTTAAGGATTTGAGCAGTACCAAAAGGCACACATACCATTAGGAAGTAACTATGATATTTAAGAATGAAATAAAAATATTTTTTCTTTCAATTTGTGTGTATTATCTTCTCAAATGGCTAATAAATTGTAAGGACATAAATATATATTAAATGGTTTGGACATAACTACTTAATAAATGAGACTATTAGGTACTTTTTGGCATAGCGGTGCTGTAAAAACAGAATTACTGAGACACTAAGAATGCTGTAAGCTGACAATGGGAATCTATGACCCAAGAAACATTCTCAGTCTCAGTTTCCTCATCTGTAAAATGAAAATAAAAAATAGCACTTTTTTGATTAAGGGCACTGACATGAAAAAAAGAAAAAAGAAATAGAAAAAAAATCCCACTTATTTGGAGAGTTACTATGAGAATTTAAAAACATAATATGAAAGTACCTAACACACAGTAGGTACCACAAGTTTTTCTGACAACCATAACCAGAAATATCTGCATTAGAATCTGAGCTCTAACAGTTACCAGCTATGAGACTGGCCAAATTAATATCTTCCTCATGAAGTGGCTGTACTAAGGGAACTGGTGTATACATAACAGGCACCGACCAGCTGAGTTTCTTGCTACTGAGAATTCTTGGTTCCACAGGAAATCTCCACCTTTTGCTGTAAGACACTACTAAGAGTTTCCAATTTAACCAAAGTAAGTTTTTAAAAACCAGACTGATAACTTCATCATTTTTAAATTAAAATATAAGTTCTGACTGAGAAATTGGCATGAAGGAAGAATCTAATCAGGAAACCAAAATGATGAGGCCCGATAACTCCCCAACGCTGAGCTCTGCAATGCTTCAGAACCTAAAAGCAGTGCCAGCTGAGAAGCAGCTTGGCAAGAGGAGGTGGCTTCAAAGATGCCAAGGCCCAATGCTCACAGGCTCTCTCACGTGGTTCCCATGTGGTTTGGGCAACACCATTTCCTCTCTCTCTGGGATTTCTTTATCTGTAAATTGGGGATAGCTGCACCCTCTTGGCAGGGCTGTTTGTGAGGATTAGAAATAATGTATGTGGCCAGGCGCAGTGGCTCACACCTGTACTCCCAGCACTTTGGGAAGCTGAGGCGGGAGGATCACTTGACCCCAGGAGTTCAAGACCAGCCTGGGCAACATAGTGAGACCTCATCTCTACAAAAAACTACAAACATTAGCTGGGTGTGGTGGTGTGCACCTGAAGTCCCAGCTACTTGGGAGGCTGAGGTTGGAAAATCACTTGAGCCTGGGAGGTTAAGGCTGCAGTGAGTAGTGATGGCACCAACACTCTGGCCTGGCCAACAGCATGAGACCCTGCCTCAAAAAAAAAAAAAAAAAAAAAAAGAGAGAAAGAAAGAAAAAGAAGAAAAAGACAGGAAAGAAAGAAGAAGGTTCTAGAAAAACACTTTAGCATGTAGTGAGCAGTCAATACATGAAACTCATATCAGATGATGAAAACTTAGTGGTGATGATGATGATGATGACAACCAAATGTTTTAATCTGGTAGAAAAGAAATAGAAGAAATTAGGCCAGGTGGGAAGAAAGGAAAGTAATCTTTCATGTCTAGCCAAAGACAACACTTACAAAGCATATTTTATTTCTGTTTAAATCCCAGCCAGAGATTGCACAATACCAAACTGCCAAATTTCAAAGACATTTATTCAAAATCAGGAGAAAGGAGATTTTACTTAGCAGGTATAGTCTCTTGGATTTTGCAAAGTTAATCAGCGGGACTTGGAACTTGTAGGGCTCTCTTCTATCCAGGAGCCTGGCTCTCTTAAATCTTTCAGCTGTCAGAGTAATTATAGAGTCATGCATAGGTTTGTACTCAGCATGTACTAGCCTTGAATAAAATTACACTTCACCTTTTTGGGAGCTGCTGCTTTTCTGGAAAGTACAAAACAATTATGCTACCACTCACAGCCAGAAGCTGCAGGTTATATCTGTAGCTCACCTCTGCTACCTGGAACACATGGGGCAGGTTCAGACATATCTACAGCTCTGTACAATTGTCAAAGCAGATTGTGCCCTACAAAATCCCAACCTCTGGTCATAGAGGCTAAGAACTTTAGCATCAACCAGTTGTACATGTAATATAACTTAACTGAACGCTGCAACTGTTTCTGAAGCATTGATTTAACTGGGTAACAAGAGGGAATCTTATACTTGGTTTTGCTGTTATTTTCAATAGTACGTAATATCTTAATAAGCTTGTATTCCCCATTAAAAACATTAATTGTGATGCAGCATCTCTCACACTACTGTTATCTACTTACCTGTTAATCCATTTAATGCAATCATCTGCAGTGGTTTTTATCCTCATAAGAATAAATTAGTGGGGGTTGATTTGTTGGATGAAGAGATCCATGAATATCTCTATATACTGCTAGGCTACCAGTACAAAAAGGAGAAATCCAACACTAGAATGCTGTCACCAGTGTGCCACTCACTTAAGAATCACTCAAGGATTACTGAATAAATATGAGATGATCAGTCAAATCGTAAGGTTTTATCAAGCAATCTAGACATAATTACTCTAGAACCTTGGTTCTCAGACTTCAGCTTACATCAGAATCATCTTGAGGGCTTATTAAAACTCAGACTGGGCCGGGCGCAGTGGCTTACACCTGTAATCCCAGCACTTTGGGAGGCCAAGGCGGGCGGATCACAAGGTCAGGAGATCGATACCATCCTGGCTAATACGGTGAAACCCCATCTCTACTAAAAATACAAAAAATTAGCCGGATGTGGTGGCGGGCGCCTGTAGTCCTAGCTACTCAGGAGGTTGAGGCAGGAGAATGGCGTGAACCCAGGAGACGGAGCTTGCAGTGAGCCAAGATCGCCACTGCACTCCAGCCTGGGTGACAGAGTGAGACTCCGTCTCAAAAACAACAAAAACAACAACAACAGCAACAAACACAGACTACCAGGCTCCACTCCAACTTTGCAGACTCAGTGGGTCTGGGTGGACCCAAGAATTTGCCTAACAAGGCACTAGGTGATGCTGATGCTCCTGGCTGGGAACCACAGTTTGAGAACAGCTGGGAGGAGGTACAGATATGACAGAGACATGGTCCTTGTAATTATAAAATTTAGAGATATTTGGAGAAAGAAAATCAGCACACATAAGAATATTCAAGTTGGCCAGGTGATGGAGTCATCTCCACTTTACAGATGGAGAGAAGATGCTCCATGAGGGCGAGCATCACACAGTTACGGGTAGATGCTAGAACCCAGATAGGCCAACTCTTGCAAGAGAACCCATTGGAAAAAGATGAAGGTGTTGATTTTTTATAAAAGAAAGTGGGCAGTATAGGCTGGGGGCAAAGTACTATGGAAAGGGGGCATGAAGAAAATTCTGGAGGCTTGGGTCTTAATCCTAGCTCTATCTCTAACTAGCTACAGGGGTTTGGGCAAGGCACTTAATATCGATAGGTCTCAATTTTAAATTTTTTATCTACAACAGAACTTACAGATTTCCTTTCAGTTCTAAAAGTGATAGAGGCTACACAGAAGATTAGGGATTTAAGCTGTTTCACGAAGGGTGTGTAAAATTTAGAAATACGAATGGAAGAGAGGAGCCAGTCATTCCTGGTAGAGTTGGGAGTATGAACAAAGCCAGACACAGAGGTCAAGATAATTTTGACCTTTGCAGAGCAGGAGATAGGTTTAAAAAAAAAAAAAGGTATCTAAAAGGTAACAAAGGCCAATGTTTCAAAACTGGAAAATGAAAAGGTCAAACTGGGCCTGGGTAAGAGGCAGAGAAGGTGGGATCTGATGTAGAAGGCACAGCATCACTCCAGGTAAGTTTCTGAATGGGTAATAGCATAGTGAAAATGGAGTTTTAAATTAGTCTCCAGAGTAAAATGGTTAACAAGAAGGTCCACATTTCCTGAGACAAGTGGATCTTAGTGAGAGTTGTACATTAGAATCACATGTGTTTGAAACCTTTCTAAAATATACCAAAGACAGAGACTGAGACGGTAGGTCTAGGGTACAGTGTGGGAATCTGTATTTGTTCAGTTCCATTGGTGATCTTAATACAAACCCCCAGCTGAAACCCACTGCTATAACCTCTTTACAATTTAAAAGCATTATCATATTTGATTTCGCAATAACCCTGTGAGATTGGAAGGGCAGGGAGTATGATCCCCATTTTTCAAAGGAGAAAACAGGCCAGAAAAGTTAAGAGGCCGTTACCCACAATTACACAGCTAATAAGGGAAAGTCAGGATCTGGGTCCAGTACTCACTAAGAGTCACCACGATGTTGAAGAGAATGAAGATTATAACATTCCCCAGATTATGAGAAATAAGAGCAAGGCATTGCTGCGAAGGACATGCCCTCTTGCTGGCCTCACCCTTAAGCAGGACTTTATTTCATTAACTAATTAATGAAAGAATTAATTAAGCCTGGGCAGCACAGTTTTCTTCTAAAAGCACTTGCTTACCAGTAAAAAACCCAAATAGCATTTTGATGTTTAAATATCCCTAAAAGCCTGAAAACTGTTTCAGAGACAGCAACATGGCTATTTGTGCCCCGAGGATTACATCAATGCAGTGCCTATGTGGCAAGAGTCAATAGCTTGCTAAACTATCAAATGGGCCCCTTCATTATGATCATAAGGGTAACGGCATCCAAGCCAAACACTCAAAAGTCAATTTCCCTTCCTATGTTACCAATTAAAAAAAAAAAAAGACTCTGGCAGAAGACATTCTAGTTTAATGAAGATCCCTGAATCAGTATTAAGTCTCAAGTAACTTGGAAAAATCTGTCCCGACATAACAGAGACAAAAAAACTATTGAATTATTTTGTGTATTTCAAGGTTGCGTCCCTAACGTGTGGCTACTCCCCCAACAACTCAGGTCCCTGACATCTACGCCATCCCCTTAAAACTCGGTGCTCTACTTTCCTCTCCTCCACTGGTTGTTCCCAAAATGTCTCAAGGCTTTGGAGAATAAAAAATGTGTTGAATACTGAGGAAAGAAGAAACGGAGTTTAGAGAGATGTAAAGGAAATTAAATGAGAAACAAGTCTAGTTCTAAAACCAAAGGATATTTAGACTCAAGAGAGGAGGTCAAAAGGAAGTTGCAAATGACAATGCCTGAATTAACTACTTGCTGGATGCAAGACTGAAAGGCAAGAGGGATGGGGTTTGGAGGGAGTTAGAGTTTACTGACCTCTGCTAGGCAAATGTGCTCATACTGATGGTAGCAGCTGGGCTAGCTGAGCATCCTTGGGCCAATATGTTATGTAAATCAAGGTTACAGATTTAATGGGAACAAACGGCTGAATAAGTAGGATTGGAGAAGACTAGAGTGTCAGAAACGGAGAAAACCATGCAGCATATGATATCTTAGGCAGAACCTTCTCCTTTAGCCCTGCCAAGACAGTGGAGGACAAATCTGACCTGATACACCCCAGACTTTCTGGATGCTTGTGACATTCTGAAGCAGAGCAAGGCCATTACTTAGAGCATTACTTTAGTTACAAACAAGTGCCTCCTTCTCACAAAAAGTTAGGATCCTTGCCTGCCTGAGGGCCATTTCAATAGCATATAAGCAGTTCCAAACTGCCTCCCATCACACCTTTGGTCCAAACTGTTCTGAGAGGAGCTCTTGCCTCTTCTTTTTCTCATTTACTCTATTAGACAATACTAACTGTTAAAAAGACAATCACAAGGACTATGCTAAGAGAATGAACAATTCAATAGAAATATGGACAAAGAATATAAATATGAAGCTAAAAGACATGAATACAAATGGCTAATCAACAAGAAGCCAACACACTTCACTTGATGTTAAAATTACAAATTAAAATAATACCAGTTTTCACTATCAGATTAACTAGAAGCAGAGGGAAACAGATAACTCTAAATCAGTGGGGCAGCTGATTTATCAGTGGGATATGATAAATCAGTGGGAATAATTTTGCAATACTACAAAAAATGTTAAGGTGCATAGCCTTTGGCCTATCAATTCTACTTCTATGAATTTATCGTACAGATAAACTGAGACAAATGTATATTTTAAAAAGTCTGTATACAGCAGTCCCTCCCTTATCTGTGGGGGATAGGATCCAAGGCCCCCAGTGGATGCCTGAAACTACAGATAAATTCTGTATTTACTATGTTTTTTTCCTATATATGTACCTATAATAAAGTTTAATTTATAGGCCAGGCACGGTGTTTCACGCCTGTAATCCCAGCACTCTGGGAGACCAAGGCGGGTGGATCACTTGAGATCAGGAGTTCGAGACTAGCCTGGCCAACATGGTGAAACCCCGTCTCTACTAAAAATACAAAAATTAGCCAGGCGTGGTGGCGCACACCTGTAATCCCAGCTACTCGGGAAGCTGAGGCAGGAGAATCACCTTAACCCGGGAGGCAGAGGTTGCAGTGAGCCAAGATCATGCCACTGTACTCCATCCTGGGCAACAGAGTGAGTGAGACTCAGTTTCAAAAGAAAAAACAAAAAAACAAAAAAAAGTTTCTAAATTAGGCACAGTAAGAAATTAACAACAATAATAAAATAGAACTATTATAACAACATACTGTAAGAAAAGTTTTGTGAATGTGGTCTCTCTCTCAAAATACCTTTTAGTACTATATTTACCTGTTTTCAGACCATGGTTAACTGTGAGTAACTAAAACGCAGAAAGCAAAACCACAGATAAGAGGGGACTACTGTATTCACAGCCGCACTGTTTATAACACTACAAACTTACCAGTGGGAATGATGAGATTAATTTTGGTACATCAGCATAGTGGAATACTAACTAGGCAATAATTAGTTCAGTGAGAAAATCAACTTGCATAAGAAAATATTACATAATTCTGTTTGTGAAACACACACTCTCTCATATACACAGAAAATTTCTGAGAGAATGGATATAATATTGTTAACAGTGACTGCCTCTGAGAAGTGGAACTACAAGGGATCAGCAGAGGGGATCTTTTCAGTTTTATACCTTTTGTATCACATGAATTTGTATTTATAACGTTTGTATTTTCAGAGGTACTAAAGACTATTTTTAAAGCCTCTTGTTTTAAAACGAACAAAAACGGAGAAGAAAGAAGCAAGAGGTACCAGAAGCTTCCCAAACTAGATCATATGGCCCAGCATAACAGTCTATGCCAATAACCCAGCATCAATCAAGCCCAGAGCAAAGACAGGTGTGAGCTGCAGTTCCCCACAGCCAAACTCACCTTCAGCCTCTTCAACAGCCACTGTAGAAGACCCTGCTGGGCACCCTCTGTACACATCTCAGGCCGGAACTCAGCCATGTTTTCCACAATAGCTGAAGGGAGACAGACACCAGTCATTTGGGAGGACAACTTTGTTTCCATCTGCAACAAGCTTGCTTCCCATGACAGGCATGTTATTCCTCTCCCCACTTCCCTGCATTACTCCCAGCCAGATGCTGGGTTGTCATTTTCAGATTAACCAGGGAGTTGCTGTGGTTTTCTTCTTCCAGTTATGCTACAGGTAAAACTCATAACTGAAAATGATGGAACTCACAAAAGAGCTAAGTGATAGATTTTCCATGCTAATAGGGAACAACACTAGAGCGGAACACACAAAAGGGTGGGTATCTACCTAAGAAGTCCCACCCAGTCCCTAATGAGTCCCAGAAACCCATAACCAAAGAGATTGGGAGCTAGGCAAAAGCCTTAGGGAAAACTCAGGGTCTGGTGAACTCAAGAGTCGCTTCCTTTCCTGATTCATCCATTTGCAGTTCTATTTCCCTGCATCAGGTGGAAGCAAGAATATTGCAAAGCAGGCAAGCATGGTCTTTTTAATTGAACAAAATAACATGCACAGAGGGGAAAGGCCATGCTGGCAGAGGTAACTCCCAGGTACTAGGAAGCAAATATAATTGGTCCTGCTATCTCCTACAACAGCCAAAGTGTTGCTTAATAGAAAAATTAAAAATTAGGAGGAAAAAAAAGTTATTGCATGACTATGATACGAAAAAGGAGATCTCTTTTTTTTTAATCACCTAGAGTCCTTAATATCAAATGGTTTCATTTCTTTCAGCCCCCCTTCCAATCCGTATCCTGGAATATGTTACTAGCATGAAACAGATACACTTCTGTGTTCCCTAAACACAATACCCAGAACACATTGGGTGTGAATTTTGAAGGAGAAAGGGCTGAAGAAATCACCACACCTCCTGTCTTCTTTCTCACTCCTTTGCCCACATCAGCCTCCCCAGTGGCAAGTTAAAGGATGACCAGGCAGGGGAAGCACGAAGCTGTGGGAGCAGAGGAGCAAGGAAACCCTGAGAGATGAAGAGCACTACGACACCCTGAATTACTTTCTGCCATTTCCTACAAAAATCAACTCATTCGTTTTAATCTTCCATGACTTTATCCTATTCTTCTGCTTATATTTTAGATGGCTTCCTATTGTTCACTCGAACAAAATCCAAGCTTCCTGCCATGGTTTACAAGGTCTTCCATTATCTGGACAAACTTATTCCTCCAGTTCCATCTCCCACCTCTGACTGTCACAGGCCATTTCTAGTCTTTCCTCAAATCCCAGCCCCATTCATGACTTTGCAAATGATACTCCCCTCATGAAGGCCCTTCTCCCACTCCTCCACCTGTCAAAATGCACCTGTCTTCATATTCAGCCACAGTCATGCACAGGAGCTAGCTGCTCCTATCCAGCAATTTGGAGGCTCTTCCTCTTCATTCCCACAGTGCTTTTCACTGACTCCTACGATACCGTCTGTCACCCAGCATTGTCTTTCCTTTCTTTTCAAGACTCACCTATCTGTCTGCCCTGTCAGGAGCAGAACCATGCCTACTTCACCATAATCTACCCTAGTACCTAGCACAGTGCCTGACAAACATCAGGCACTCAATAAGTGAGAGAGAGGGAAGACTCTCCTGAGCTGTTAGTAGCTGACCGAGCTGCAAATAGATCTCTGTAGACTGGCAGGCTGGTACTTTTTATTAACAGACAGTTAGCAGTCAGTTAACAGACTTTTGATACCGCAAAATCCAGCACTCTGCTAACAAATGGCAATGCCAAATTCTGGCTCTAGACTACAGCCAACCCAAATTACAGAGTGTTGTGTTCCTCCTCTTCCCCCCAGGTGCCCATGTTTCCCCTTCTTTATGATAATCCTCAGGGAACAGAGTCCAGAACTACAATAGAAATCTGTGGTACACAAAGAAGCTAAAAAAAAAAAATCTAATCTCATCAAATTTTCTGCTTCCACTGGGCCTTGTTCATTTCTCAAGCTCTGTTTACAGATATGTCATCTCTGGTTTTATAAGACAGTGACCAGTAATAAAGAGAGCTACCCCCAAAACACAATTTTAAATAGGATATCGGTTCAACAACTTTACAAAAGGAAAGACTGGGGAGATTCAAGGAGGAGAAGGAAGAGGAGAAATACTACAGAGGAATCCACTTAAATGAAAATCTGATGTAGGGACAGCCAAGTAGTAGCAATATTTCAAATCACAGTTTACGTGGTAGTCTACACCTAAGAAGAGAGAGAAAAACTCTTTTTCAAATAAAATGTCCTACAAAGGTACAGAATGGTCCAAAAGTTTGCAGTTCCATGAAAGAAAAGTGATAAGAAAAAACGACTTAAAAGGATTTAAAATGTTTAAATATACACATTCCAAAGGAAACAAAATTAACCAGCATAGGTTTCATCCTAACTTTTGGAGGCGAAGGCCCGCTAACCAGAGCCACTGGTTTTTTGTTTAGGAAGGTTACCTACTTAGTGGATTTCTGCTTTCATTACCTACAAGCCAAACCAAAGCTGAAGTTATATGAAATTTACACAAAGGTCTTCATTTCTGAGAAGGCAGTTTGGGAGCAGAAGGAAGGAAAACAGCCTGCTATTGACTCTATTATGAAGAAGGAAGGGAAATGAGCACAGAGTCCCAAAACAAACACAAAGCAACTCAGGCAATGGCAAGCACCCTTCCTCTCACCCAGAGTGTTGTGGACGCCATCTGCCTCCTCTTTCACAGACTCATCCAGGCGCTCCAGATTCTGTACCAGCAGTGCTACCACCTGCCCATCCACCTGCAAGAATAGCGAAGCAAAAGGAGAGAGGGATGTCATAAAATGGTCCCCAAAATGTTCCCGTTCCCATACTTACTTCTCCACTATTTGAATGAACAAAGTAAGTAAATAAGCAGCAATCTATGGTTTACAAGGTGCTCTCCCATCCCATTATCTCTTTTAAGTCTTAAAGTGACCCTGAGGTAAGTAAAAGGCAGGCATCATTATCTCTAACTTCAGATGAGTCAACTGGAGCTCAAGCAGACAAAGTAAAATTCAAGGTTAAAAGGTTGGTGAGTGACAGTGTTAGCACTTGAACACAGACCATCTGAAACCAAGCCCTGTGCTCGTTCTCCTTCTCTGTGGTACTACCTTACGAGAATGCCATCTTAAGTCAGGTCAACGGTTCATTCAAGCCAAAACACGTCTTTAGGCCAATGCACCAAAAGATGTTTCACTAGAATGTGCACCAGCCACATTCTATGTTGACCTCAAAACATTCCTGTTTCCTTGCTAAGCTTTTATGAAACTACTACTTATGAAGAATTTATAGTTCCCTCTTAAAAGGAATAATCAACACAATAAAATGTCTTCTATTTGTATGACATTGAATGCACAGAAAGCTACTGTATTTCTCTTAATGGAGTCACACATGTTGAAACAGATAGGAAACTTTCAGTAGCCACATCATACAGCTGATGTTCAAGACATTAGTGACTCAGCCAAGACTACACAGCTATGGAGCAGTGGAGGCAAAGGCAAAACCCAGGCTTCCTTCTCCTTAGGTGAAATAATGCTTTTACTACTTCATGCTACCTCCTGTGCACAATCTGTGTTCTAAGGAGACTGCCCTTAGGTAGCCCTGAGGCACACCAAGGAAGATAACTAAGGAAACATCTAGTTTTCTATCATCAGGAAGGGATGATCCATCTGGTAATGGATTCTTAAGCACAGCCAATAAGTAAAGCCACATCTGAAGACACGGTCTGCTGCATATTTGCGTTATCCTCCCTCTCAGTGTTTCGGTTTCCTCACTTATGAAATGGGGATAAGTGCTAAAGAGTAAATGAAAATATGTAACAGGCCTTACCCTAGGTCTAGTTCATGGCAGCTCCTCAAAGAATCAAGCAGAAGGTTTGAATCTAGCCCTTTACCCTGTTGATGCCTGATTATTCACAGTTCCTCTCTTCCACTGGCTAAGAAAAAGCCAAGTTCCTGAAAGGCAGGCACCTTGCTTCATTCATCTTTGTATACCCCAAGTCTACTACAATGCCATATACGGCAGATACTCAGTAAATCTTGCTAGATTTAAATAAATTGATGGAACACATAGTTTGTGCACTGTAATTGCTCCATTTATCCTCATGTAATTCTCACATCTTTCACAGGTGAGAAAGTAAAGGCTCTGAGAGGTTAATTAGCCTGACTGAAGTCACAAAGCTGGTGGCAGAAGTGCCCAACTCCAACTCTACTTTTTCCCATAATCCCCCATTAATTCAATGACGGGAGAGAATGGAGGGAGAAAAAAGAAGGAAACGATCTCATCCAACCAATACTTCCAGAGTCCTTGCGTGTAAGGTATTCTATAGACACAATTCAAACCAAGCTTGAGGAGGCAGGCAATGGTAGGTGGCATAGATCTTGAAACATGGACTCTTTACTCTGTCTGGGTGAGGCTTAAGGGAAATACACGGACAAGGGAAAGGTGAAATTATTGACTAATTTGTGATACCTGAATCACAAATGAATTAGATTTTTCTAGGCTCTCCTTTATGCCCTGGTATGAGGAAAAAGGAGGGGATGCTATTTGAAGAAACACTGATGCCAGATTTGGGAGCCTGTAAATACAGGAAAGTGCTGTTTTCCCATCTTGTGCCAAGAGCTACACAATCTTGCTCTCAAATCTCACAGCCAGCAAAAGCTTCACTAAAGAAATCCACTACAGTGTTTTCCTTAATTAACTGGACATTTTGAGTACGTGAGAGAAAACAGAAAAACATCTGGGGGGAAAATATGAACCATGTCACAGTATGTTTTTCCCTAAATCACCCTGATTGACTTATAATCTCCCTGAATCCTAAAGCAGCAGACACCGCCACTCCACTGGGTATCACACTGCTTGCCAGTTCTGCAAACTGCTACACCAATTTCAATTGCTTATTGCCGCTTTACCTGCATTATTTTCCCTCCTTTCTTTGATTCTTAGTTATGTTTCCCATCTCTGCTGCCTAGAAGCTAGTGGGGACACTGTCAGTGAGCAATGCATTTAAGTCCTAGAGCTGAATGGTTATGGATAATGGGCCTCTGGCTGGAGGAAAATCTTTCTTCTTGCTACGGAAATCCAACTTCTAACAGGCAGCCTTTTTAAGCTTGCAAACTGTGAAACTTTATGTTTAGTTGGGTTAAATGCAATTTTATCTGATTGCAGGAAGGCCAAAAGCAGTCAAAATACATTTAGCTCAGAAAACCCTTCAAAAAATATTTATATTATGCATAGCTCTGGATATCGCTCAGTAAAAGTACATATTAGCATTCTATTCTATTCCCTCTAACCCCTTGGGTCTACCTTCAATTTTCTGGACCTGTGACAAAGTCTGAAACTAAAAACAAATCCTGCTTAGGGATTAAAGCATCAGCCAGGGCAACCCTTGCCTTGGAAATCAGGACTGTCTGGGGTGTGATGTTTTCTGCTAAGTCATTTGTTATTTCTGATTGTTAGCAGGCATCCCAAACAATATTCCGGGAGTTAAAGTTCAAGGGCATGATCACACATCATCTTCCACTTGACCAAAGAGGATGGATATAAGAGAAGAGGAGGAAATAAAAAAGAGACAGATGAGAGGGTTTGAAGGAGGCTTCTTTTTCTATCTGGTACGATCTGCCAATAAGCTTTCTCAAGAATGAGATTGGGATTTTTCTGCCTACTAGGAGTTTCAGGAATTTCATATTTAAAACACAGTAATAACAATAAAACCCCACACCCACTGAATCTTGATCAAACAAGTTTTGAGAATAATATGGTAACATGGTCATAATGCAAAACTCAGGCCTGTTGTATCCTAGCTGTAACCTTTTAGCTTCCATTCTTGCCCCTCCAGTCCATTATCCACACAGCAGCTAGATGCTCTGTTTAAAATGCTGTCAGGCTATGACACCACTCCCCTGCTTATATCTTCTAATTACTTCCCTTCACCCTGGCAATGCCACCCAACCTCTTCACCAAGGCCCACAGAGCCCAGCGTGGTCTGGCCCTGACTCTGCTTTCTCCCCTCGCCCCAGCTGCACATTAACAAGACTGGCCCCTTCTCTGTTCCTTGAATATGTCAACCTCAGTCTTGCCTTAGGTCTTCTGCCCTTTTCCCATCCTGCTCTTGATCATTTTGAATGGCTGGTTTCTTCCAGAACTCAGGCCTTGCCTGACTATTTAATCCAACCTGACTTCCCAGCTACTCTACATCACATCACTCTATTTTAATTCTCTTAAACAGAGAACCACTCTCTGATAGTTTTCTTGTTTATGTATCTACTGTCTCTCCCTACACTCATACCTTGTGAGCTCCACAAAAGCAGAGGCTTTGTCAGGCTTGCTCACAGCTATATAGCTGGTTCCTACAATCAGGAACACATCAAGCATTCAATAAACATTTAGTGAACAAATGAACAAATGAATTTTGCTTTGGAACAAATACAGATGAAGGTGAGAACATGAATGGAAATGGGAAGGAATAGAATCCAGGAATTTTCATAGTAAGTACCCTTACAGCAACATAAACCTGGCCAACCTCAGCCTCACCTGGGCAGCACAAATCCATTGCCAACCAAGTCCAAGGCAAACCAAGATAGGGCTTCAAAGTTTAACATTTCAGTAGAGTTAATTTAGTGCAGGAATGAGTATGGAGGGTAGTCCCCTGGCAGTCCACATCAAAGCCACTTTTTGTGGAACTCTATAAAGCGTTTCTATAAAGCAAATGCTGGCTCCTAGACACTGGCCAGCTACACCACCCAGCCACACTTCCATCTCTGTTGGCTGGGACACCTCCATATGCTCTCATATTAAAGCCCCCTTTCAGAGGCCATCACCGATGCCTGCATCTCTGCAGCCCTTCCTGATTATTCCATCAGAAGCGAGCACTCTCTCTTCATGTCCACAGAACACTGCCCCTCTCATAGCTGTTTTCAATGTTCTGCCTTGTATTATCATTACTTACTTCTTCCTTTTTTTTTTTTTTTAAACTAAAGCTCTATCCTCTCATTTCTTATTTAGGCCCACCCCATCCAAATGTGGTTTTATTGAGTGTTTGTTCAAAATGTTTTTGAAATATTTTTTAAACTGAAAAAAATGTTTGTGAACTCAATATTCACAGACATCTCACTGTGTGGTAGATGATACATACAATTTTAACCTGACATTTGCTAAATGCTTAATATCTGCCAGGCATAGTACCTTTATAATGATAATGGCCAACATTTATCAGGTGTTTACTCTGTGCCAGACTGTTCTAAAGACTTATTAAATATCTCACTTGTTCATCACTTTGGTACTGTATGATAGGCACTACTGTTATCTCCATTTTACAGAGAAAGAAACAGTATGGAGAGGTTAGTAACTTTCCCAAGGACACAGAATTGGTAAATGACAAAGTCACTGCTCTGACCACTCCCCTGACGGGGATCACACCTCAGGAAGGACAAACTTATAAACAGACATCTATAATCCAATGTGACAAGTGCCAGAATGTACAAAGTGCTAGAACAACACATCCTGCTGAGGTGATGAGTCTGGAAAAAACTCAAAAGGGAAGAGATAAAGGGATGAGAGGTAGTATTCCAGGTAGCCCCAGAGAAGCAAGGCTAGGCAAGTGGAAGGCAAAGCATGAGCGAAGGCATGGGACTACCTAGCACATGGCAAGTTTGGGGACTGGCAAGTAGAAAAATGACTGTAATTTAATCATCATTCTCAAGAAGTCCAAAGTCATCTTTGGAGAGGTAAGCCAGAGAATTGCCATCAAAGCAATATACCCTCTCGCTTACCACTCTTCAGAAAAGAGTCCATTTTCCAGGCTACCAGATCAACTTGTTACAAAGCACAAATATTTGCCTTTTGCGTAAGTAACAGCAGTGGATATGAACCAAATTTTAAAACCCCGAAGATCCCTGAGAATGCCAGGACAGTGTTCTTTCCCCACAAATGTGCCATCCTATTGCTTAGGACTTCCAACTGGGAAAAAGACCAAAGCAATAACTGCAAACTGCACACCACAATAAATTCTGCCACATGCCCTCTAGCCTCTGCTCGTGCAATTCTAGGCCTCAGATATTGGCCTCAAATTAAAACTACAAAGACAACTCAACCCTTGTAATATGAGAGTACTTATCAAATTTCTTCCTGAATGCAGCCAAGAGTAAAAAAAGTAAATGGAAGACCACCGCTGGTTCTGTTCTCTGATATTTACTGATGACTTCCGACTGGTTGCAGACAAGCAAATAATCTACTGGAGTCCAGGAATGTTCAATGCTTGTGATTCCTACCAGCCCCACCAGGATAAACCTGTAAGAGTCAAAATCTTAAACTAATATAATAATAATAAAAATAAAAACTAAACTAAACAAACAGAACATCCTGTATAGCAGTTACCTAGTGGCTCCCCAGACTGAGGGTGAACTGTTTCTTTCCAAACAAACAATAAAATCTGCCAAGATGCAGCTTTTGTCAGTGGGCTTGACAACACAGAAAAAACAAAGGGGGCTTTTGAGTGAATTGCTGTTTCTGGGTATGTTTTACATGCAACAGCCAGGCTAGCTGTTCCTCTCTCGTCTTCCCTATTCAGACAGGCAAAGGATGGTAATTAAAATCAGCCCAGGGACCAAGCAGGAAGGCTCATTCAGGGCCATGTAATTAACCTCTGGAAGGTAAGACTGCACAAACGACACTGCAGGGACACAGAGTAGGAGCAAGTGCCACAGTCTTTCCTCAGACGCCCCTCAAAACAAAACGACATCCCAACATCATCCTCTTCTTTCTGCACAGTGGTTCAAACGAAAAATAAATGCCCTGAATTCTACAAAAGTAGCAGTTTGCTCTCTAAAGGAGCCTGAAAGAAAAATGGCCATAGAAATTTTCATTATATTCGGTCATAAATGGCCCTGCTGGACACTAGCCTCACTCTCTGTAAGAGCCAGTTCTTCATAACCAGTGGGTTCACAACCCCTTCATTCACACCAAATGCCAACAGCAAGCACGGCACATGGGAAATTTCTAGTGTCGAGAACATTATGAGAAAGGGTGAGGAGGGGGTGGGCAGTGTAGCAGTGGGGTTTCGGGATCATCTGGGACCCCAGGCCCAGCCATTCTGATTCAGTGGGTCTTGGGTAGGACTAGAAAGTAGCCAAACAAGCAGCCCAGGTGCTTCTAATACTAGTGGCTGGAGTAATCTTTGATCAACTGCTAACTGAGTCAAAACCAATACTAACATTCTTACCAGAGAGAAAAGACAAGAGAAACAACAGAAGAAGAACAATCCACAGAGCCTTGAGGAGGGATACAGCTCTGCAGGTGGACAGAGCTCCACAGGTGGTATCAGGGTAGGGGCTGGACTAGATGCACTTCTGCCGCTGGCCAGCTGGGGTGCCTTTGCAGCTTTGTGGCCCTTTCTGATCACCAGTGAACTGGGGAATCTGGGGCAGTGGAAACAGAATTGTGTTGGGGATCAGAACATGCAGTCTCTTTTATCAGCTGTCACAGGACGGGCTGAGCGACCCAGCGGGAGGCTTCACTTCTGCAGCTGGGTTTCCTCACATGTAAGGCAGTTTGCCTAGCTGGCACCTGGTCACAGCTGCGCCTCACAGACCAACTCCTCTGGGTTAGCTGCTGTGTGGATCAATAGCTAAGGAACATTCTGAGGCCTTGCCTAGGCTCCTCAAAAGATGGCAGAAATCAACTGCCTTGTCGTCTACAGGCAGGGAATGCCATTCTGGCCTCAATGAGCTATAAAGTTTGTTCTTATTTTCGACATTCTCCAATTCCTCTCTGATGACCTATCTGTAAAATAAGTAATAATAATAATACCTGTTCTCACTGGCACTTGGGATTAGAAAGTCCAGATGAGAAAAACATTTGTGAAAGCTCTTTGTAAAAAGGTCAGTAGCAACAAAAGAGAGGAGGGAAGAAAGGGGCAGAAAACATAGAGTCTAGGAGACCACAGGTTCAAATCCTGGCTGTGTGACCATGGGCCATTTGTTTGGCCTAAGTCACAGCTTCATGGCTGTAAATGGAAATAATAGCAATAATGCCCATGTGAGAGGATGTGGTGAGAAGAATGAGAAATGGCCCTGCCCACAGCAGAGACTTAATAAGGGCGAGGCCTCTACCTGACACAGTCCCAAAGCATAAAGCACTGCCCCAGCCACATCTCTACTTTTTTACTCTCCTTATTCACTCCAGCCTCACCACACTCCAGCCTTGCCGTGGAGTTCCACCTGGTGGCCACTCTCCGAGACGATGGTGGTGGCAATGCCAACAACTTATACAAACCTGCAAAACCCCAGAGGATGTGCAACTTACCAGAGCATCGATGAGCACTTCTGCTCCCTCTTCACTCTCATGGAGGGTGTCTATATCTGTTAATTCCTGAAGCAAATCGACCACAGCTATGGACACATGTGAAAAATGTTAAGGGTATAACACACATACTGAAACGGTACCAGTATTTTTCTTAATCCTTGATTCCCTTCCGTTTCCTCATCAATTGCTTTATCACCATCTACCTTTAATAGACTCCAGTTTTATTAACATCTCTTCAACAAGGTTCTACCCACAGCAGGTGTTCATTAAATGTTAACTGACTCACTCAGTCTCTTGCCTTATGCTGCCTTCCTGGCTGCTTAGTCCACAGGTTCACTGAATTTTCACAGATTTCAAAATTTTAAATAGATCGCCTGGGAAGTCACTTCCAGTGAGAAATAGGCCAACACCCTCAACCTCATCTCATAATTTAAATTCTTGAAACTCAGTATAATCTTAACTACCTTGTACAGTTCACCTTTGAAGGCAGTAATAATTTCTGAGAAGAGGTGGCTGATGTTCACCAAGGAGTCTTCAGAGATCAGGACATGATATAATTGGTTGAAAACAAAGGGAAAAATTTATATGGAATTGGGCTAGTCCCCACCAACCTCTGTCCCTTCAAATGTCACACTGCTGTGAATATAAAAGGAAGAATACAGAATTTAAAATTGTGCAAAAATAGGAAAAGGAAAGGGAAGTACAGGGCCAGGCACAGTGGCTCATGCCTGTAATAACACCCAGCACTTTGGAAGGCCAAGGCAGGAGGACTGCTTGAGCTCAGGAGTTTGAAACCAGCCTGGGCAACATAGTGAGACCTTGACTCTACTAAACATTTAGAAAAAAAAAAAATCAGCCAGGCATGGTGGCACATGCCTGTAGTCCCAGAAACTTGGGAGGCTAAGGTGGGAGGCTTGCTTGAGTTCAGGAGATCGAGGCTGCAGTGAGCTATGATCGTGTCACTGCACTCCAGCCTGGGAAACAGAGTGAGACCCTGTCTCAAAGAAAAAAAAAAAAAAAAAAGAAAGGGAGAGAGAGAGAAAAGAAAAGAAAGGGAAGTATAAAGAAAAGAAAACATGAAGGAGAGAAAGAGTTATATTTGGAAACTGGGTGGCAGAACTAAACTTATAAGTTTCCTTTCCCTCACCTTAAAACTCCCTCTCTCTCTCTCTCACACACACACACAGACACACACACACACATACACACACGGGTGCACACACACACAACGGGGGAGAGAGAGAGAGAGAGAGAGAAACAGACACCTTGCTCCAGCAAACTGCATTTATTGAATGCCCATGATGACTAAAGTACTGAACATGATAAAGGCCAATCCATTCTTCATTCTGGGCCTCAGTTTCCTCATCTGTAAAATGAGAAAGATAGATAATCTAAAACAATTTTAAAAACCATACACCACAGGACATAACCAACATGTAACAAATGAAGAATACACACAGACAATATGAACTGCAGGCGTCCTGAAAAGGAGCAATCAGATGGAGCTGGGGAATTAGTTATGACTTGCTAGAAGAAGACTGCTCAGAAAACAGGCAACTAAAAATATGAGGACAGGGAGACTAGAAAGCAAAACCAAAGGAATAAAAGCAGAGAGACTGGAATGTACAAAGGCATTTGAAGAGAAGAAAGGATTGGAGGAGAGGGGAAGGAAGTGGAAAAGGGAGAGAAAATTGTAACTAGCTGAAGAAAATAGTATTTGGAAAGAATAAGCTAAAAGCTGTGTGCAGGACGCACTAAAGCACGGTGAGCATGAGGGACGGGGGTGGCACACAGGAGCCACCATGTGGACAGCATGTGTGGGTAGTTGTGGGAGCCAGGCCTGAAGGAGAAAGACCTATTCCAAAGCTACTACATACAACAGAATCCAGAAGATTCAACAAAGGTCAGAATCAGGGCAGTTTCACTTAAAAGAAAAAATAAAAGATGCAGAATATAAGAACAAGAATGACAGGACTTGCTAGCTGATGACTGATGTTCTGGGTATTACATGCAGGTCTTTTGCTGAAAGAAAAATTACTTGAAGGTTTGCTTTACTCATCTCTAACTGACCAGCTGACCATCACGAATAATTAACTATGCTTTCTGTGTCTTACTCCTTCACTCTTAAAGGTGATATTTACCCAAAACTTAATATGAGTAAAGAGCTTAAAGGTCTTTGGACAAAAGTCCTTCATGCTTAGCATCTTCATCTAAAAAATAATCAGAAAGCTGTTGACAGAGTCAACATATATGCCTGATACAGAGTAAACCGAAACACACAAATTATTTGAATCAATTATAATAAAAAACAGCAAAAATAACCAGGTTAGCAAACTAACCCCTAGAAACCCTAGAGCTACCCTTGACTAGCAGGAATTAGTAGTTCTCCCTCTCTAAAATTAAAAGTTGTCATAATAATAGCCGCCATTTTTAAAAGTCACAGCATCATGTCTGGTGCTATGCTACTGGAATTCTTTCAGCAGCATTATAAGATTCGGTGTAAGCACTATTTAACAGATAAGAAAGGTAAAGCTAGTAGTGGTTAAGATCTCTGGCCTGTGGTGGCTCATGCCTATAATTCTAGCACTTTGGGAGGCCGAGGTGGGCGGATTACTTGAGGTCAGGAGTTCAAGACCAGCCTGGCCAATATGGTGAAACCTGTCTCTACTAAAAATACAAAAATCAGACAGGTGTGGTGGCACATGCCTGTAATCCCAGCTACTCAGGAGGCTGAGGCAGGAGAATTGTTTGAACCCAGGAGTTGGAGGCTGCAATGAGCTGAGATTGTGCCACTGCACTCCAGCCTGGGTGATAAAGCGAGACCCTGTCTCAAAAAAAAAAAAAAGTTATCTAAAGGTCACTGCAATAGTAAGGGAGAATGTTAGGTCCATCTGATTTCAATAACAATGCTATTGCCAACTATACTTCATATTAATGCATAAGGGGATATACACTCAGTTTAAACACGGCTACATTCAGGTTAATTCTAGCTATTGACCCTGTTGTAACCACAGAGAAAAGAACTATCATTTAATTCCACCATAAATTAGTAAAAGACTCAAGGAAAAGAATAAAATGTTAACACCTCCCCACTCTTCCAAGAAACTCCCATATTTATTCTCTTGAAAAGTTCATAATCCATTCAAATGCTTATTTAATATGCATAGCAACATTCACCTAAATCCATCCATCCACCCATCCACCCACTGTGGAGTCAGATGTCTACAGGACAACTGGGCTGGGCACGGTGGCTTACACCTATAATCCCAGCACTTTGGGAGGCCAAGGCAGGAGGATTGCCTGAGTCCAGGAGTTTGAAACCAGCCTGGGCAACATAGTGAGACCCAGTCTCTCAAAAAAAAAAAAAAAAAAAAGCAAATAAATAAATACATAAATAAGATGTCTATAGAACAAGGATCTAAATCAGCATGCAATAATGCAATAAGTAGTGTTATCATTACATCTCTTGAATAACACCATGCATGATTAAATTCTAGTTAATAAACTTATTAACTAGTATGTGATGATTATTAAACAGTAGCCTCAAAAAGACAAGTGGAGTATATCTGAAAGACCAACAGATGAAGAGTCAATGCAAGCTTGAGGACAAGGGTCATGTCATATTCATCTTTGCCTCACATGGTCCCAAAATTATCACCAGCCATGTAATCTTGTGCAAGCCCCTTTATTTCCTTACAGCTTAATTTCCTCATCTGTAAAACTGGGGTCGTGTCATATTCATCTTTGCCTCACATCTTTAGTGACCTGAATGGTCCCAAAATTATCACCAGCCATGTAATCTTGTGCAAGCTCCTTTATTTCCCTACAGCTTAATTTCCTCATCTGTAAAACTAGGGTAATAGTCTCTGCCCAGCCTCTTCCACTGAGTAGCTATAAGGAATAAATGAGATCAGGTATGTCAAAGGCCAAGGAAGTTAAAATACTCAAGAACTATGAAAGCACTATAATACAGATTGTCTTCCCACAGAATGCCCAAAGCGCTCACTATTGCCTTCATTTTTCCAAAAGCCTCTAAAATCTGAAGTTTAAGCTAACAAGAGCATGGTCCCCCCTTTCCGGGTCACAATGGGTTGGAAGACCTAATTTCATATTTCAGCTATGCCACAGAGATTCAGATTGATCAAGTCCTTTTTCAGCCTCTAAGGTCTTGTGGGCCAGATATCACATTTTTCTTTGATTAGTCTTATACCATGTTCACAAATGTGTCACATGAAACCTAGAAACTTAAAAAATAAGAAACATTTTAGACAAAAGTGATTTTATAGAAGAGCATAAATGGCTTTTCCAGGAAAACTTGTTTCTTATCATATTTCAGTGGTATCTCCTTGCCTACTTTCCTGCCTCAGTTGAGAAGTCAAACAAGAAATCAGCTACCTACCAGGCCTGGTAAACATCTCATCAATCCTACCACTAACTGATTTTATATAAATTCCCAACTTTCACAAAATAGCATTTCAGCAAGGCAGTAATAAGTCTGTAATTGTCATCATCAACTCCTGAGTAATACAATATGACCCAGGAGACAGAGGTCATTTGAAGACCAGAAAGAGGAATGAGAATCAAAACTAAAGACAGACAAACTCTCAATCTTGATGAGAAAATTCAGCATGGTTGGCTATCCCTCCAGCATTTCTTCACAAGCAGACTCTGGGCATGGGTGATAGGTTTTTCCTCTGTAGTTACAATTTCATTTCACAAGGTAAAAGGCTCTTCTGTCCAAGTATAATAGGAAAAGAGAGAGCCTGTCTCCCTGCGAATTACTAAAACACAGTTTTTGATAGCCTATTTTGTCATGTCGAGTAGAAAGGCCACCCACGCACTCCCTCTGTACCTGTCCACTACTGGGGCAATAAGTTAGTGTAATAATAGGTAAACCAGAAAAGACCAGCTGGGCACGAAATGGTCCATAACACAATGGCTCTTGGAAAAAAAGAGTGGTGTTTACTTCTATTTTTTGGCTGTGGATATTTGTTTTGGAGCCATATCCCACTTAGAGTCTTGGTACAGAAATTAAGCATTAATCTCATTAATCTCCAATGAGATGACTCCACAAGGAACAAAGTTATTAAAAAAAAAAAAGAGAAATAAGATGTATTAAGCAGATGGCTTTTTAAAAGTCATTTCAAAAAGGCTTTCTTAAGACAAATAAACCAGTATAGATTCAGAGAATATAACTGATTAATGCAATAAATGTGAGTTAAAAAATATCTTTTCTTTAATTTCTAGACTAGGACAGTAATTAGATATAGCTCAATTAATGCAGATGAATTTCAAAACAGACAAAATGGTCTTTTTCTCCTTTTAAAGCAGCTGGCACAAAGCCACCTAGAATGAACCTGGACTCTTATCCCCATCCTAGATCAAACTAATATGAAGGAGAAAATGTACTCATTCAACATTTATTAAGTCCTTCTTAAATGCCAGTGGGGAGTAACATGCCACAGGGGAAATGTCCAAGGCAGGCTACAACCACCCTAATCTTCCAGGGACATAGATTTTACCTAAAACCCATAAACAAGACCAAAAGTTACATTAATGTGGTACCAGGTTTTGTGTGTTTGTCTGTTTGTTTCAAGTTACATTAAAAGATCCTTCTTCTACATTGCCATTTTGGCACTTTTAACCTAAGATGTTTATCTTCAGAGCACATTTAATTGGTTCCAAAAAATAAGTGGCTTATCAATACATATCAAGGAAGTCAGATGACAGATGAGAAAAAGAAGTAAATTCTTCTAAATGTAATTTTAATTCTGGAAATATCAAGACAAATATAGCTCCTAGCAAAATAACAGCTCAAAATATGTAAGTCTTGTTAGACAGTGCTTACGGGACAGCAATGGAGCAAATACCAACTCCCTCCCAGTCCAATTAGAAGAAAGCCCCTTAGGGGGCTCAAATCCTTCCCAGCCCTATTCTTGCTCATTAGCACTGGGTCTGTAACACAAGGCACCCTTGACTACTGTACGCACCTTCTGGGATAACACGGTAAGTCTCAGTCAGTTTGTTCCACTTTAGTATTCTCAGACCCAGACTACTCAAGTTCAGTTGATCCCTGTTGGTCTAAAAAACCTGTCTCCTCCGTATTTTCCGAATTCCCACAGTAATTCTTCACAAAACTCACTTGACAACTCTGTAAGTTCTCCTGGTTTTCTAGAATCAGAAGAAAACTAAACAGTCATTTGGAAAAGAACAGTGTTAATGACCACTCCCTAAATTATTCCACACCAAAAAGAGCTGCCCCATCAGCACAATGATCTACTCTGCCACTTAAAAATTTTTCCCTGCTTAAATATTAGCATGCAACCCAATGTACTGGTGCCTTAAGTTAACATCACAATGAGACCTCATTTTTCTGTCTCACAAAGGGGTGGAGAGAAAGCTGACTTTGAATAAATTGGGTTTAGATTACTGGATTATTATTATTATTATTATTAAAGAATAAAGGCATTTAGCTGGGAAGCAGTAGTCATGATTTTTTTTTTTAATTAAGCCATGGACCCGATACCTTGATAAATTTGTAGTGACTACATGGGCAGCCAGCAAGACCACATCAGCTTCCATCCGGAGTAGGAGGAATGGCAATTTCCACTGCAAAGGGAGAGACTACAAAAATAAACCTGAAATGCATGCTAATCTCCATGTCTGTCAAAAGCTTACCCATCTCCACTCCCCACACCCCCAAGCCAGAGATGACCCACACCTTCTCAGGGCTCCAATCAGTGGTGTTTCCTGAGCATACTGTTCCCAAGGCACTTTCCACACACACCATGGTGGGGGAGGGTGGTAATTTGAGAGTTTTTGCTTTAAACTGGAGTTATTATTTTTTATTAGCATCCAACACACTTAGCATACAAAGGAAGAACCCAGTAAATAACAGTGATCTACCAAAAAAACTTTAGAAGGGACTCAACTGACCACTCAAATTAAGAACATGGCAAAAGACATACAAAAACAGAATATTTATCAATTTGGTGCCATGTGATCGTTGTTGTGGTTTGTTTTTTTCCCTTTTATTCCTCCTTGTTCCTTTGGGCCAACTGAGTAAATCTGGCTTAAAGCAGTCCACAAAAATGGATTTTTTAGCAATACCTTAAGAAAATATCTTTAAATGTACCTTTGGTTTTATTTTTCCATAGAAACACTCTAAAAGGTTCACAAGAAAGGAGCTCTAAACACGTTTAATGAATTACTTTAAAGGAAAAAGTGTTTAAAAAGCATTATTTTGAAAAGGCAGCAGCTGCTGGATTCCACCTTCTGCTGCCTCCGACTGCATTTAGAGTAACCCTCCAAAACCATGTGAGGTGTGTGCTCCCCACCCCCAAGATATGCTCTTCACAGATCAGAATCCATTCTGCAGCCAACCGATAGCTGGGCTCCAGCCTCTCAAGGGGGCAGATGAGGCACAGAAGCGCTGACAAGCCCTCACCAGCAGCAGTGATGCAGAGCGCCAGAATAAACTCTGAAGCTGCTTCTCACGGTTGAAAGGATGAGGCACAAGCTGTTTTCTCACATCCTCTGCCTCTTAAGGTTACAACAAACCAGGCTCTGATTGAATTAAAATCCCTACAGTTTATGTTTTCACAGAGGAGGATGAAGCAAAGATGACCTGTGCTTGCTGGGAACATAACCAGCCATATATGGTCTTGGTTGATAAATGAAGAGTTAAAAAAGATTAAAAATTTAAGTCATGACTGCCATGAAATTGTTTATTCATGCTAAGGTGTTTTGGGCAGTTACAGCTGTACAACAGTAAATTGTTAACAACCGTTTCCTGAAGAAAAATTTCTATTATAGATCACAGATAAGACAAGCAGCAGAGTGCAATGTTGCAGGGAGAGCAACATTACGACCAACAGAGGATATGGTAGATGCAAGTCAAGAGGACCTGCCCTTTCCTGAAATCACTTTCAAGAAAAATCGTACTTTGAGGAGGATGACATTTACCCCTATTTGCTGCCTCTAATTAAAATTAAGGTAATTTAAAAAATTTCAAATGCACTTTAAATTTGATGTAAGACATAATTAAACATCAGATTTTAAAAAATATCATTAGGGCAGTTGGGTGCAGGTTGGCATACAAGAGGAAAAAAAAAACAGTTTAGCTCTCAGAAAACAGGAGGGAAATGGCAATCTGTCAAAGTTATTATAGGGGGATGTGTTTTTTCCCTTTTTAAAGACCAGAACTTAACAACTTGGAACATCTGTGCCCTTGCCTTTCCCAAATATGCCGATGTCGAGCAGCGTTTTTTGTGTCAGTCTTCTCCCCGGCAGGAGCCAGGCTGGTGAATCAGCAAAATGTCAGTATCTTCCAAAAGCAGCTACTATTATTTTGAGTTAGCAGGAATAGAAAAAAGAATGAGAGTGGTGTTTCCAGAAAGAAAATAAGTCATTTCTGTACTAATAATATACAGGGTAACAGGTGACCATGCGACTCTGTCAGCAATGTCGTAAATCCCACAGGAAGACCTGAGGTGCACTGGAGGAACACCGGACTGAAAATCACAGACCTGGAGTGCCTGTCTTAACTTCAAGTTAGCTGTCCAACATCTGGACTTCACACTTGTCACTAAGTAGAAACAAACAAGGTACTGAGCTAAGTCCTCTCTAAGGTCTGATCAGATTCTGAAATCTACCCTTCTGTAGGTGAACTGAAATGTGAAGTAACAACCAGAACTCGTAGTCACTGAGTCTGTGAACACCATTAGTGCCCAGAATAGAGCTAGGCATATGGCAGTTACCTGCCAAAGATGGAATGTTTATATCCCCCCACAGATTCATATGTTGAAGCCTATCCCCAATGTGATGGTACTTGGAGGTGGGGCCCTTGGGATTAGTGTCCTAAAAAGAGACACAGCGAGCTCCCTCACTCCTTCCACCATGTGAGGACGCAGTGAGAAAACAGCTATCTACAAACCTGGAAGCAGACCCTCACCAGACACCAAAACTGCTGGTGCCTTGGTCTTGAACTTCCCAGTCTCCAGAACTGTGAGAAATAAATTTTTGTTGTTTATAAGCCACCCAGTTTACGGTATTTTGTTATAGCAGCCCAAATAGACCAAGACAATACCCAATATATACTTACTGACTGATGCTGCTTGAGCAACCAGCACAGCTTATGGTTCCTAAGGGCCTAGCACAGTGCCTGGTACATCATGAGCACTCACAGCAGCTCTACTGAATGAATTTCATGAGACCATACACTGAGCTCACTCAGCAGCAAGCTAACTAGGGTTCTTATACAACCCAGAACCCCACAGCAAACCCTGGTGAACAAAGTCATAAATCTGGGAGCTAACAGATCAATTCTTGATGCTATCTAACATTACATGAAGCATCAGAAATGTCTTAAGACTGCCCTTCAAGAAGCCTGCATTAAAATTACTCACTGATTTATTTCTATGAGAATTATCAGCCAGGCAAGAACTTAGTCAGACACGCTCTCAGGAGAGAGATTACCAGAAAGATGAAAATAACATGAAGCAACAGCAGATTCCCTGTGAATATCACTCAAGCAGACTAACTACATTTGTCTCTTACCTTTGGAAATCTGGATTCAAACAGAACAACTACTAGAAGAGAATTTGGTTTAATGAACATAACCCTGTCCACAGGCACATCAAAAGCCTTTGCAATAAAGCTACTGCACACCTGATAGCCAAGATAAAGTATAAAATGGTTTTGGAAGTCACGAATCAGATTCAGTGACAAGTAACATTTACCAAGTACCTACTATGTATCAAGAACTGTGCTCAGCACTTATACACTCCTTTGATCCTCTCAGTAACATGGAAAGCTACTCCAGAGGCTGAGGCAAAATCACTTGAGGCCAGGAGATTGAGTCCAGCCTGGGCAACATTGCAAGATCCATCTCCAAAAAATTAAATAAAAAAAAAATTAGCTAGGCATGGTGGTATGCACCTGTAGTCCCTCCTCAGGAGGCTAAGGAGTAGGATCACTTAGGCCTAGGAGTTTGAGGCTGTAGTGAGCTATGATTATGCCACTGCACTTCAGTCAGGGTGACAAAGCAAGACCCTGTCTCTAAAAACAAATAAAAATAAAAATAACACTGAAAGACAAAAGTTATTAACTCTATCTGTGCAAAAAAGAATACAAGTTGTGGAAGGGCACCGTCTTTCACACAAAAATGCGGTTGAGAGTCAAACCTAGATTGTCTGTTTAGGTCCAACATGCACTCAACAAATATTAAATGCTATTTACTGTGTACTCAGTCTTTTTTTTTTTTTTTTTTTTTTTTTTGAGATGGAGTCCCACTCACTCTGTTGCCCAGAGTAGCATACAGTGGCATGATCTCGGCTCACTGCAACCTCTGCCTCCCAGGTTCAAGAGCTTTTCCTGCCTCAGCCTCCCGAGTAGCTGGAACTACAGGCGTGCACCACCACGTCCAGTTAATTTTTATATTTTTAGAGATAGGGTTTCGCTATGTTGGCCAGGGTGGTCTCAAACTGCTGACCTTAAGTAATCCAACCACCTTGGCCTCCCAAAGTCTTGGGATTACAGGCACAAGCCACCACACTCAGCCTTGTTTTTAGGAACTAGGAATGAACAAAACAGAACAGCTTCCCTGTCCTCCTGGACATCCAAATGTGCTTTTTACCATGGTTCACTATCTCTAGTCTCAACTCCACTGGACCATCAGTCAGCAGAAAGATGCCTAGATTTACACATTCAAATCTGTCTGGCTTTGCCCCCATAAGGGGCCTTCCAATCCAGATCCTGAAAAGTAAAGCTGTTAATGTATGAACAGATATATCACGATGAATTCTAGTACTAATAAGAGCAAATAGGACAATTTTAAGGATTGCCCAAGATTTGCAAGATTTGTTAATAGAGAAAAACCAGGTTTTCAAATGAGTAAAAAGCATTGTGTGTTTCAAGACAGAAGATAATTAGAATGGAAACAGAACATCAGATTTTATAGCACACATCTACAAAGAGAGACAGGAGAAAGAGTAACAGCACTTCCCCACCATGTCAGCTCTCCTACTGAGGTCAGATCTGAAAGGATATCTGTATTATCGTGTCCGAGCAAGCCGAGAAGCGACTGTACAGCATTCAGCTCCACCAGAAGGTGGTACAGGTCTGGCATGGTGGCCACCACGTGCATCTCCTGAATGATGTCATTTAGGTCCAGCTCGGATTCCATGAACCTAGGAGGGAAAACAAGACATCATTAGAAGGAAAGGGGCACTATCAGCAATGAGGAGCAAACAGCAACAATCTAGACAACAAGGCAATCTGTCAAAGTGTCTACAACAGACCAACCAAGAAGTACACTCATCCAAACATCATACTGTCACACAATTTCCTTGGGAAATCGATTTCCTCATTACAAAAATCAATCTTGGATTCAGATCTCATTACAGGGTTCCCTTACTCTTGCAGTCACAAGCTGCCTTTCAGAGGCTCCCGAAGCATTTTGTAGCACTAAACGATCTTTCCACCAGTCCTATAGATTAGCCACCATTACCCCTTGGTGTGGCAATTCACTCTGTTGCCCTGAACATAGTTATCCTACTACCCATCCAAAAAGGGTTTCTCTTACTTCCCACTTCAGATCAAGGGCCAGTTATTCCCCTTACCAAAGAAGATAAGATTTTCTGTATCCAAAAATGCCCTCCCTCTTCCTCCTCTTTGGAGCTGATTCAGAGGCAGATACCAAAGAAAAGCAGACCTAGTCTCTGGCATCCTACAATCACCACCAACTTTACACAGCATGATACTTTACTCACATTTCTATACCTGAACCTTTCAACAAACCTATGCCCAGGCACTAAGAACAGAACTACTTTGCATTCACGCTGCATGCCCTCCCCCGGTGTTTGACATACAAGAAATGCCGATTAAGCCTTGGATGAACAAGACAGGAAGGTTTGTTCTGAGATGGAAATGAGCTAATCTGGTGTAAGGCAACTGAACAATACCTGACTGAGAGTGACTGAGAGGAAGCAGTGGTTAAACTGACTCTGGAGTCAGACTACCTGGGTTTGAACCTGGCTTAGCCACCTACTTAGCCTCTCTATGCCTCAGTTTCTTCTGTAAATAGGGACAATAAGGTTATCTGTCTCACAGGGCCACTGTAAAGAGTAAATGAGTAAGGACATATAAAGCACTGAGAACAATGTCTACCATATAAAAAGCACTATGTAAGTATTTGTTCTCATTACTATTGCTGCTACTATTACTGTAATATGTCTGTCTTCTCTTCTAGAAAGTAAACTTCTTAAAGACAGGAAATGTATCTTTGTCTCTTATATCCACAGATGCCTACTGAATTAAATTGAGGGCACAAAGAAAAGGAACACAAGCAGGGACTCTTGAAGTCACACAGGACTCATCAACTTCCAGATGCTGTGGGGCTGGGTAGATACAGCTTCTCCAAAAATCTGGAGTCGGTAAGCAACAAAATCTAGAGACTTAGAATTCTTTAAAACATGCCCATATTTTAGACAATTTCTATTACTGTTTTTCTCCATTAATATTTTTAAGTATATGCTTATATATTTTTTCCCAATTACAGTATACTTTTTGTAGAAAACCGGAGAAAGAAAAGCAAGCCCTCAAAAATGTAAACAAATTATCCATAAGCCTACTAACCAAAAATAACCATTGATAATACTCTTTATGTTTAAGCCTTTTTCTCAACTCACAGACTCTTAAATTCTGTTTCAGTGTATGATATAAGGCAAAGATCTAACTTTATTTTCTGTGAATGTTTGACCAACCGCTTCAATACCATGTATGTTTGCCTGTATGTTTAAGTCATTCTTCTCAACTCACAGACTTTCCCCCCAAAAAGTAAGCCTATATAGTATATAGTTCTATATTCATTTTGCTGTTGTTGTTAATATAGGCTAAATAATTCCCCTTATCATTATTCTACTACAATAGGAGAAGCCAATACCTGACAAACTGCTATGGGTCCTTCTCCTTCTCCATGGCAAAATCCCTCACTCACCACAGCACTCTTCCCTGCTGAGCCAAGATGGCTGGCCTCAGAATCCTTCTCAACACAGTGTTCCAAGAAGAGACTATGAATCAATCACAGGCTGGGTGTGGCCGATTAAGCTTATCTACAATCCCTGTTCTAAGTCATAGATTAATGGCCACACAATATTCCCTTGAGTAGACGTACTGTGATTTAATTAACCAATCCCCCTTTGTCAGGCATTCAGATAATTTCCATTTCTTTTCCCTTTAACAAATGACACTAAGATGTATGCATTCCTAATTACTGTGTTAGGATAAATTCCCAGGAAGGAAAGGGACAAGTCAAAGAGTACACATGACTTAAATAGATTTTGATATATTTTGCCAGAAAAGTACCAATAGTGCATGAAGTGCCTATTTCCCCTTACCCTCTTCACAAACAGTATCTCCTCCAATTTGAGATAGAAAAGACAACTCATTTTGTATTTTGCATTTCTGATAGTAAGATGGTTAACATTCTTCTAATGTTTACTGTTTGTATTTCTTCTTTGCCCATTCTTATTAGGATGCTCACTTTGTTTATAGATTTATAAACACCGTATATTAAGGAAATTAATCTCTATCCTACACTGCAAAAAAAATAATCAGAGAAAAGTGTTTGCCCTTTAATTTGTACATTGTGCTTTTTGACATAAAGGTTTTTTTTTCCTTTTGACATAAAGGTTTTAAAAAGTTCAAGTAGCAAAATCTTTGCCTTTATGAACTCTATTTTACATGTATCCTGAGCAAGATATTTTCTGTGCTAAAAGAAGATATATTTTATGATGTATTTTTATGTTTATATATTTAAATATTTAATCTATCTGAAATTTATTTTAATGTATTGATATAGGGCACAAATCTAACTTTATTTTCTGCAAATGTTTGGCCAAGTGCTCCAATACTATAATCTATCTTTCCCCAGAGATTTAAAGAAATGTCATCTATCATACACTAAATTTTAATGTGTACTTTATTCTGTTTCTGGGTTTTTCACTCCATTTCATTGATTCGTCTGTAAATTCCTGAGTCAGGACCACACTTCCACATTGTTATAGCTTTATAGTATGTTTTATGTGTGTTACTGCAAACAACTCCCTTGTTGTTTTTATTTTTCAGTGTTTCCTTGCCTGTTCTCACTTATTATTCCAAGTAAATTTCATAACTATTTTAGCAAGATTTTCCCCCAATACCTTTTTTTTAAAAGGCTTCCTTCTCTGCTTGCAAATAGATTATTTTTTTAGATCACTTGAAGTGTGGAAGCTAAATCAGAATCATGACTCAGTAAGGCTGGTGCAGAAGGATTCAAATATTCCATGGGCCAGGAGATCTACATAATCCTTGAACCCAAAGGCCTCAACAAACCTCTAAGGCTTATTTGCCTTATGTGAGTGAGTGTATACAAGATTTCTGGAGAACAACCTGACAAAAGGTTTTTCCAGTTCACTTGGAAGAACTGGCAAGGGAGACTGGGCACTAAACAGTAAAAAAAAAAAAAAAAATTGTGCTGAGTGCAGTATAAGATCTGGTGATTTGGGTGATCGACAGCGAACGTGGTGGCTCATGCCTGTAATCCCAGCACTTTGGGAGGCCAAGGTGGGCGGGTCACTTGAGGTCGGGAGTTTGAGACCTGCCTGGCCAACAGAGTGAAACCCCGTCTCTACTAAAAACACAAAAATTAACTAGGTGTGGTGGCGCACACTTGTAATCCCAGCTACTCGAGAAGCTGAGGCAGGAGAATTGCTTGAACCTGGGAGGTGGAGGTTGCAGTGAGCTAAGATCGTGCCACTGCACTCCAGCCTCGGCAATGCAGTGAGACTCTGTCTCAAAAAATAAATAAATAAAGTAATTGAACGATTGTTAGTCACCTGGAGGGGTCTGTCCTTAGGCCTGTTTAGATCAAGTATTTTATTATTTTTTTTTAATCAATAACATGAGCAAAGATAGATAAAGGGCAAAATGAAAAAATGTTATATGACACAAAGCTTAAAGAGACAGTAAGCACAGCAGCTGACAGAATCAATTCAAAAGTTCCTGACAGGCAATAATGATGTGCCAAATCTAACCAAAGGAAAAATACCTGGGATCCACACAGAAAACTGCAATGAACCAAAAAGTCAAGTACAAATGTAAAGGCTGGGAGAGATACAGTTTCATAAGGGCACATGTGTTTCTTTCTGAACTTGATGGCTTTATTGAACCATAACTGTAATACAAATCAGAACATGAGCCAGTTCTGCCAGAGACAATTTCTTATTCATCTCTGGACATCCAGCACCTGACGCAGGCCTTGGTCCAACACAGAAACTTGGGAGATGCCTGTAAATGGGGGCACAGATGAAAACAGCTGCCACAAGTGCTACGGTGGTTTTAGGGTACTTAAAAGAGGACAATACAGAGTTATGCTGATTCAATGACCCTAAAACTTTGTGACATCTGTTCAAGGAACCATCTTTTAGGAGGGATGTGGAAACCAATTCAGGGAAACAACCAAGATTCTAAGGAGTCTAGATACATCTCATATAAGAATTTGTTGAAATGCTTTCTCATTCTGAGTTGAAATTTTAAGAGTCAAAGCTGCCAAATGATGGAATAGCTTTCTTTGGAAAGTTAGATCCTTCTCACTGGGATAGTTAATAAAGGATGACATTAAAAAAAAAAATACCAAGAGTTAGATGGTAGAATAGACTGTGCTTCTCAGTTCCTTCCAACTTTGAAATTCTTCTTCCAAATATGGTCTTAACCCAGTGCTTTTAAGTTTAGGAAGTCAGAAAATTATCAAAATAAAACAAACAAGCAGAGAATAAAACTGCAAGCAGGGAAATATTACAAAAATATACTGGGTCCAGTGTTATGTGAGTAACAAGATACCGTGAGAAATGCTGGACTTGGGAATGAGACTGACCTGGGTCATACTCCCAGCCATGCTATTTACTAGAGGTGTGGCCATGAACAGTGAATTGACAAATATTTACTAGGCACATACTAGGTGCCAGTCACTGTGTTAGGCACTGAGGATATAACAGATAAAATAATCCCAGTTTCTGGCCTCCATTAAATATAAATAATCTATTACAAACCATTAATTATAAGCATGCCTGGTACTACCAAGAGAAGTGTCACTGGAACACAGAGCGTGGTGTCCCAACCTGATCAAGGAAGACACAGAATATTAACTAACTTATTGCTAGACCCTGATTTCCTTATCTTCCTATAGTGAGGATTAAAAGAGATAATATATATACAGTGCCTAATAATAGCTGGCACATACAAGTACTCAATGAATCTATGTACCCTCAAGTTTGTTATAACAGTCGTCTTCTGTTTTGCCTGACCAAGCACAGCCTACTCATGAGCCTACTCATTTAAAGCACACACTACTATTTGCAGAGAACTGTCTTTAGGAATTAGGCATACCTTCAGCAATAGATGACTCACAGCTGGGGGAAAGGATAAAGTTAGAGGTGACGGGAAAGCAATAGAGCAACATATTAAAACAGTAACCCAGGCTGAGATGGGGTCATCGATTCCATCTAATATGACAGAGAATATTTTCCTAGGCTGCCCATGTGCATTTGCTTCAGACCAGCAGGATATTCTCCTTCAACCACAAGGGTGAATATCAGCAAATGACCAGCAAAGTTCAAAAACACTGGGAAAGCCACAGAAATTGGTAAGTCCTAAATGCAATCACTGCTGGGGGAACATGATGCTCCCTCCATCCAAGTAAATCAGCAGTTCTCAAAGTGTAGTCCTAGGACCCCAGGATGGGGTAGCGGGGTGGCTGGAGATCCTTTCAGGGAATTATAAGATCAAAACTATTTTATAATAAATCTAAGACACCATTTGCCTTTTTCACTCTCATTCTTTCAGGAGTGTACAATGGAGTTTTCTGAAGGGCTCCATGACATGATGACATCACTGCCCTGATGGCTAATGAAATGTGTGCTTGTCTATTCTTGTATTTGCCAGAATTTTCTAAGCACTTTGGGATATTCAATAATTTAAGAGTACAAGGAGATCCTGAGACCAAAAAGGTTGAAAATCAGTAAACTAAGTAATTCTGTCCCTGCAAAAATGAAGAGAAGAACTATTAAAGGACTTTCTAGGGAAACAGCACACTCTAGTCAATGTGGTGTTTAGGAGAAAGATCAGGCAGTGCAAATTGGAGGGTGCATAAGGAGAACTGTCAACTGAATCTCAAATGCAGTCAAATGAAGAGAGGCATTTTTGGGTATGCGATCAAAATGACAATTGGATATATGGGAAAATAAATTTGAATGTTTCTGATCTCAACCGGAAAGTTTCATCCGAATACACTCTAGCAATTTTCATCTTAATTTCACCTCGCTGATCTAGAGAATTACGAAAGACACTGCACCAGTGAGAATTCAAGAACTCAAGGTTAAAACACAATGTAGTTTCCTAACTGCTTTTCGACATGAAAAAAAAAAGTTCTTTATGCACAATTTCAATTTTCATATGCTCAGATTTTAAAACTAAAATAGTATATACATTTTGTCTGAATGGAAAACACTACCGATTTTTTTAAATAAAATCACATTGTCTTAAACCCAGTTAATGAACTGTAACACTAAGGTACCTAAGATGTAGATGGTGAACATAACCTGCAGAAACTCTGCTCCAAATTGAGAGACGTGTATCTACCAAGCGGGCGAAGGAAATACTGGTGTTCAAAGAAGTAAACTGAATTTCTTAAATTTCCAGTATCATTACCCGCAGCATAGCTTCCTCATAATGTATCCTTAGGTTCAAGCAATGGGGATGTAATAAAGACGACAGGGACTACATGAGCTCTCTCATGTTTACTGAACACCTACAGCAAGGCAAGTACTGTGGTAGGCACTAGAGACAAACAAGACACCGTCCATCTCCTAAAAGGAACAGAGTCTAATGCAGGAACCACTGAGTACAGAAATAACAACAAAACAAATGGCAAAGATGTTAAAGACTGATCACATGCATTGTGGGCAAGAACACAAGAAAAGAGATGCTGCTGCTGGGGGGAGAATTTAAAAATACAGTGAGAAAATTGGCAGTAGCTATCATTAAAATGTACATACCCTTCAATCTGGGAATTCAAAATTTAGGTATCTATCCTATGGAAATATATGCACACAAAGACACATGTACAAGTAGGTTCACTATAGCATTTTTCATAAAAGCCGATTTTAAAATAATCAAATGTCCATTAATAGAAAATAATTAAATAAGTCATGGTATTTCCAAACCATGAAATACTATGCACCAATTAAAAAAACACAAGGTAGATATGCATGTACCACCTGGACAGATCTGTTAGATGACCCAAAAAATCAAGGTGCAGAATATGCACAGTATGATTTAAGTAGAAACAAATACATTTGCATAATTAACTGTTCACAAGGTTCCTCTAGGCAGAGGAATGGAAAGGGATCAGAGTAGTGAAGGAAAACTTTCATTTTTCACTCTACTCATGTACCACTGGTATTTTCAGAATGACAATCTATTCATGCATTACTTGTGTAATTACACACACACACACACACACACACACACACACACACACAGTGCTCCTGTATGGTGGAGATCAGTACAAAACCTGATAGGACTCTAATGCTGGATAAGCTGGGCCCTGATCTATTAATAGCTACTCCTACTATCAAAGAGGGCTGTGGCCCTAGGCCCAGTAACCACATTCTCCCCACTCTGCCTTCTCATCCACAGCACAGGGACAACATAGTTGACCACGCTGGCCTCTCTAGGTTGCCATGAAGACTCTGTGCCCGCTGACACCTCTGTGCCTTTGTTCATGCTCCTCATATTGCCTGGCATGCCTTCCTGTGTTCTTTTCCGCCTAATAAAAATGAATCTTCAAGGCCCAGCTCAACTACTATCTTTTCTGTGACACCCTCAATAGCCCCCAACTTGGTATTTACTGTTTCTTCTCCTATTATATCTCTTTTAAAGTGTCTGTTTCCTTCTACCTTGCCTTTATAGTCAGTCTCCCTAGTAACCTAAAAACTTGAGTGCAAAGCCTGTACTACTCAATTGTTAATTGCCTGGGGGCCTTGGGCATATTAAGATTCATTAAAATTGTATGTCCTGGGAGGGACAAAGATAGGGAAAGAAAGAGAGGTTTAGAACATTAAAATCGTATAAATGTGAAAGTCCCCTTGGTTAGGATTCAAGACTGACTGAAAGATGCCAGATTCCTCACATAGCACTTCATAGTGCACCAAGGTGCCAGTGTAGTAAAACTCACGTTAACTATCATCTCATGGGCACCTACTATGTGCCAGGTACTAAGCTAAACACTTACATTATTCTCCTTTAATCTTCATACAACCCTGTGAGGAAGGCATTATTTCCTTATACAGATGAGACACCCAAGGCTAAGAAAGGGGAAGTAACTTATTCAAAGGGATGTGTGTATCACACCAATATCTGTCTAACTTCAGAGCCTCTGAAATGATCTCCACAGTAAAGCTATCACTAACGGCAGGCACGATCAGTCTTCTTTGGGCACTGAAAAGAATAATGCAGGAGAGTTAATATGTTAACTGCGGGGCTGATCTTGAAAAGGGCTAGCTTACAAGGCTGGCCCTAGGCTGGCAGCCAGGAATTTGGCTTTTGAAATGTTCCCTAAGTGATAAGGTTGCTGCTTTGTCAGCCCGGGGCACTGAACAGCTGCTTTCCTTCCAGGAGCCTACAATTTTGGTTGTTATTGTTATTACAGGCAGAGAATGCCTACATGACCAGTCCTCCATAAAAACCCTGAACTCAGAGTCTGAAATGGGCTTCCCTGGACAGCATCACTGCACACATGTTGATGCATTTCATTGCTGAAGAAAGAAGCATGTTTGTATAATCCCACCCACTGGGAAGGAGAAAACATAGGAAGCCTGTATCTGAATTTCTCCAGATGCCACCTGATGTGTCTTTTTCTCTTGCTGATCCTGTTGTGTGCCCTGTGTAATAAACCACAGCCCTGAGTATCACTGACTTTGAGTCCTGGGAGTCCTTCTAGTGAATTCCCAAACATGGGGGTCATCCTGGGATTCCTGGCCCAAATCACAAAAGCCAAAACAAACCAAAATCAAAACAAAATTAGCCAACGAAACGCCACAGAGGAGACATGGTATCAGTGGAACAGAACCTTACTTCTCTGGATTGTCTGGAAACTTAATCCGCAATTCTTGGTTTTTATATGATCTCTTTTCAAATGTGAGGATCATTTTCTTCACTGAGCTTTCATCCAATGGCTCCTCCTGGTACAAAGAGACAAATGCAAAAACTTCAGTCCACAGGGGTTTCACATTCATTGTCACTACTTTCCTGTGGCTCTTATACCCCACCTCACTCTGCCATTGACCTTTCTGGGTTCAATGTACAGTACACTTTTTTTGTTTTGTTTTGTTTTTTGAGATGGAGTCTTGCTCTGTCGCCCAGGCTGGAGTACAGTGGTATGATCTCAGCTCACTGCAATCTCTGCCTCTCAGGTTCAAGCGATTCTCCTGCCTCAGCTTACCGAGTAGCTGGGACTACAGGCACATGCCCCCATGCCCGGCTAATTTTTTTGTATTTTTAGTAGAGACAGGGTTTCTTCGTGTTAGCCAGGATGGTCTCGATCTCCTGACCTCGTGATCTGCCCACCTTGGCCTCCCAAAGTGCTGGGATTACAGGTGTGAGCCACTGTGCCCGGCCACAGTACACACTTTATCTCTCTAATTACAATGAGGAGTAAGGGCCTGTAATCACATGCTTCTTTTCGGGTATATCACATTGGGTGTCTCACACAATGCCCACTATCTGTAACACAGAAAATTCGGTTTGAGGTGTTAAAGACTGGGCACTTCAGCACTTCAGGAGTCCAAGGTGGGCAGATCACTTGAGGTCAGGAGTTCAAGACCAGCCTGGCCAACATGGCAAAACCCCATCTCTACTAAAAATACAGGCACATGCCTGTAGTCCCAGCTACTCGGGAGGTTGAGGCATGAGAATCACTTGAACCTGGGAAGCAGAGGTTGCAGTGAGCCGAGACTGTGCCGCTGCACTCCGGCCTGGGTGAGAGAGGGAGACTCTGTCTCAAAAAAAAAAGAAAAGTTGTTAAAGACTCACTCATTCAACAAATATTTCTTGAGCACACTGTATGGCAGAGAGTAAGCAACAATATTAGATAATATTATTATACATTTACCTTGTCATCCTTTGCTATACATGTAAGATAAGACTGACAGGTTTAAAAGAATTGTTTAAGGTCAAACTCTGAGTCAGTGACAGTGACCCTTAATCTTTTCCTACAGCAGAAGTTGGCAAACTGCAGCCCATGAGCCAAATCCAACCTACTGCCTGTTTTTCCACAGTGCGTAAACTAAGAACGGTTGTTAATTAGCTATAGTCACTGCTTAGCATTTCTTATATATTACTTTGCCTGGTACTTACTAGATGCTGAGAAGGAATTCAGACAGGTACTTTGAACCCTGAAGTAGCATCAAGAATTTAGTAACCTTGCCTAGAGAATGCAAAAAAAAGCTAGTAGACTGTACAGAATTTTCTGGCTTCATACATTGGAATAATACCTATGAAAGCAAATAAAATGAATATTTGAAAACTAAATCATTTTTTCTCCAAAAAATCTACACTGAAATTTCACACGTTTTATCTTCAGTTTCCTTCCAGTTTAAATTAATGTGCTGCAATGCACCCTGCTTCTCTTCATACTATCCCAACTCAAAGCTTCACAGCTTTGTAGTCATTGACCATAACTCACACCTAAAAGCAATAAAGAAACTGCTATTAAGAGAACCTGAAATAGATCCTTTTGGAAAGCACTGAATCATCCCATAATTTTATAAGTACTCAAAAATGTTAGCTATTATTCTATTATTAAATTTCTATTTCCACATATGGGGTTTTAAGTGGGAGCTACCCATAAATTCATTTTCAGCATGACACATTTATTAGATTATACCAATGACTCCTAGATCCCAAGGTTCTCTATTGAACCCCTACCTCCTCCCCAGGGTCTACAGCTTAAAGACAGGTTCCCTGACACAGTAAAAACAAGTCAGAGTCCTGGCTCAGTCAAGACTCAGAGCCTAGCTTCACTACTTACTAGCCATGGGACAATGTTACTTTGCTGAATATATTTCTCAAAGCTTCATCAAGTCCAGCTAATTCTATCTCCTAAGTCTTTCCTGAACTCATCCACTACACACTTAGAATAAAATCCCAAATCCCTCACATGATCTACGTAAGGATCTGGCAGGATCTGCCCAGATAATCTCTCCAACCCCAAACCAGTGCAAAGACTCCCATTGCTAGCCCATGTCTACTTGTTCTCTGGCATAAGTAGACTCTCCAGTGTCTGGCACACAGCAGGTACTCAGTGAAGATCTGAGGAATGGAGGAAGGGAGGAGGGGAGGGGAGGGGAAGGAAGGGGATGAATGAAATTGTTACCTGTTATCTCTCAAGGTCATAGAGATGACCTAAAGAAAGGATGTACATAAAACTACTTTGTAAACTACATGAATGCAAGCTGTTATGGTTATTATCAGCAACAGGCACAATGTACCCAACATACCACTAGAATTTAACTAAAATAATCAAAACATTTCTAGGAAAGGGTTAAATCACTTTCAAGTAAGCTCAATATCTGCTACTTTTTCTTTTCTTAGCTAACATCTTGCCCCACTCTGGAGAAAAACCACATTAGTGTTAACACAGCTCTCATGGGATTTCCGAAGTCCTAGCCTCTCCGGGGTTTGGCCTTCCCTCCTTTAATTTCTCTCCAACACTGGGGGAAAACTGAATTATCAGTCTTAGTCATCAGCCACAGCAGTATCTCCAATAGCTCAACGTCAGAAACCAGAGGGAGATTTCAGAAAGATGAATGCTGATGATGTAGCACAAAAAGGACAATAATATTTTACAAGTTCACGTGACTTTACAGGGGCAAACATCACTTGTTTTTCATCAAATGGGACTTCAGTGGCAGTGAGAAAATAACTCCTGGACTTGTAGCCTTCCATGTGTCATTTTTACAAAGCGATCTCTTTTTCCCTGTCCCTTAACAGACGGGTTGGTCCCACATTACATTTCTGTCTCCCAGGCTAGAAACCACTTACCCATGACAGCTACTATCCTAATCCTCCAGTACCAGCCTTGCCCTACATGGGAATTATACCTGCCAATTAACTGCTGCTGCAGGGCTAACAGATTGAGCAGAAGCTGGTGAGGAGGGAAGGGAGGGAGGATGTGCTACACACACTGTTTGTCTAAGCCCTGGCAAGGCTGCTGCCCTCAGAGAGGAAATTAAAAAATTCAGGACTGTCTCCCACCACGTATTTCTAAAGTGCCATCATCTTTTAGCGGGAGACCCCCAAATTAGCACTAGTACAAATCCTAATAAAGACAGAGCTATTGTCACAACACAGTAAAGACCTTTTTGGAATATGAATCCATTTTTTCTTCTTCTCAGATTCACAGCCAACCTCATTTTGTAATCCAAACTTAGCATCGTGTCTTTGAGAGAACCAAAAAACAGCTGGCTCTTAAGACTCTTATTTCCATAATTCATATTGAACAAAATGCCAGAGTGAAATAACACACAAGTTAACACTTAAAGATTTAAAAAGACACAGAGGTAAGGTCATTTTGTTTTTAATCACTGATATTTTACCTCTACTCTTCCCAGCTTCATTCATTTATTCATTCAATAAATATTTATTAAGGGCCTACCAAGAGCTAGGTATTGCTCTGGGTGCCAAAGATAGAGCTGTGAACAGAACAGAGCCAGTCTCTGTTTTCATGGGAGGCTGAGAGGAGGACAGCAATGAGCAAAATAAACAACTAGAATTTCAAATCATGATACGTGCTATGCAGACAATATACAAAATACAGTAATGAGGAAATGAGAGAATGGCTTGCAGGGCTACATAGGAAAGACTTCTTGGAGGAGGAAACATCTGAACTGAGACCTGAATGTGAAGAAACCAGTCATACAAAGCATTAAGGGAGACGAGCATTCCAACAGAGGACACAGAAGTCCAAAGGTCCAGAGGCAGGAATGAGTGGAAAGGCCCCAACGCATCTTGAGGAACAGCAAAGGGAAAGGCCCGAGGAATCTCCTTCCCTAAGCTGTACTTTTGCAGTCACACCTAAATACCTAATACTGTGGAACCCATTAAACTTCTCCACTTTTGTTGCTTTGCTAATACCATTTTCTCTGCCCAAAAAGCCCTTCCTTCCACTTGGTGAAATTTGACCCCTCTTTCAAAGATAATAATGCAAGTGCCTTCTATGTGTCCTCAGTAAGATCCAGGAAGCCTGCCCTGACCCTCCCCTACAGTACATAATATGGAACAATTTTAAAACTCTGTCACATTCTTTACATCTCATAAGATGCTTTCCCAACTGCACTAGCCCACTTAACCTTCACATTAACGCGATGAAATATGAATTCTTAACCCCATTTTACAGATGAAGATGGGAAGCTCAGACAAGCTTAGTATTTGGCCCAAAATTACGTTTTACAGGGCCAGCCATCTCAGCTCCCACCCAGCGCTGCCACGTTACCTCTTCCTCTTCCTCTTCCCCATCTCTGTCAATAATCTGCAGCAGCCTTTTTTTGTCATCATCCGCTTCCTCCACCACAGTCATTTCTTCTTCCCGATAGCGGCCGCGTTCTCGAGTACCAGTTTGTTTCCGACGCATCTTCTGCTCCTCCTCTTCATCATCCCGGGGACGTTTTGTGCCCCTATTGGGCTGAGAGAAAAGAAACATAAGATTTTAGAGCTGGATACAACATAGAAGCCAGGCGTGGTGGCTCATGCCTATAATCCCAGCACTTTGGGAGGCCAAGGCAGGCAGATCTCTTGAGCCCAGGAGTTTGAGACCAGCCTGAGGCAACATGGTAAAACCCTGACTCTACAAAAAATACAAAAAAAGACTTTGCAAGGCATAGACAGCAAATATCCTAAAAGCTTTCAAGAATTCTCTGACTCAAAAGCATCCAGCATACAACTTCTCCCACCACATGGGGTAAAGCTCTATGTGGTCATTTTTCAGATCCTTAATGATTCTATAAATATACCATGAAAGTCAGTGGGAATTTTTTTATACGCAGTTTTGCCATTTCACAAAAGTTCCTATGTATACGGAAATAGCAACAAAGCTATCTTAAGATGGGGACACTGGGTTAGGCTCACATACTAGTCAAGATATAACTCCCAATGCCAGCGTCTTAGCACCTGGTTTTAATTCACATCTACGTAAGATTACAAAGCCTTTTTTACAGTTACTCACAAATAGTACAAACATAAAATATTACATATGTAACTTCTGAATGTCTACTGTACTCCCAATTCTATTTTACAGAAGAGTTGAGTAAGGCCCAGAGCCTGGGCAAAGGACCTAAATAGACACTTCTCAAAAGAAGATGTACAAATGGCCAGAAGATATATGAAAAAAATGCTTACCATCACTAATCATCAGGGAAATGCAAAGAAAAATCACAATGAGTTATCATGTCACACCTATCAGAATGGCTATCATGAAAAAGACAGAAGATAAAGTGTTGTTGAGGGTGTAGAGAAAAGAGAACCCTGTGCACTGTTGATGGAAACACAAATTAATACAGCCATGATGGAAAACAGATGGAGGTTCCTCAAAAAATTAAAAATAGAATTATCATATGATCCAGCAATCCCACTTTTGGGTATGTAACCAACAGAATTGAATTCAGTATGCTGAGAAGATATCTGCCCTGTTCATTGTAGCATTATTCACAATAGCTAAGATATGGAAGCAACCTATGTGTCCGTCACTAGATGAATGGATAAAAAAAATGTATACATACACAATAGAATTCTACTCAGCCCTAAAAAGTGGGGAAATTCTGTCATTTGAGACAACCTGGATAAACCTGGAAGACATTAAGCAAAGTGAAATAAGCCAGGCACAGAAAGACAAATACCTCGTAATCTCACTTGTATGTGGAATCTAAAAAAGCTGAACTCATAGAAGTAGAGAGTAGAATGATCGTCACCAGAGGCTGGGGAGGAAGGGAGACGGAGGGAAATGTTGACTAAAGAGTATAAGTTTCAGTAAGGCCGGGTGCGGTGGCTCACACCTGTAATCCCAGCACTTTGGGAGGCTGAGGCGGGCAGATCACCTGAGGTCAGGAGTTCAAGACCAGCCTGATCAACATGGAGAAACCCCATCTCTGCTAAAAATACAAAATTAGCCAGGCGTGGTGGTGCATGCCTGTAATCCCAGCTACTTGGGAGGCTGAGGCAGGAGAATCGCTTGAACCCGGGAGGCAGAGGTTGCGGTGAGCCGAGATCGTGCCATTGCACTCCAGCCTGGGCAACAAGAGTGAAACTCCGTCTCAAAAAAAAAAAAAAGTTTCAGTTAAACAGGAAGATAAGCTTTAGTGATCTATTGCACTGAATGCTGAATATAATAAATAATAATGAACTGTACATTTAAAAATTGATAAAACGATTTTAAATATTTTCACTACAGAAAAAGTATTAAAGGTGATAGATTTGTTAATTAGCCTGATGTAATCATTCCAGACTGTAAACATATATCAAAATATCACCTTGTACCCTATAAATATATACAATTATTTGCTAATTAAAAATAAAAGTTTTTTAAATCAAATATAATAATAATAATAAAGGCCCAGAAGCCAAGTATTACATAAGATCACAAAACCACTCGTGCACCACTGAAAATAGAACTGGCACTTCCAGACTCCTAGTCCAAGGACCTTTCTACCATACTCTGTTAGGACCTCATGTTGCCTTTTGTTGTTGTTTACTTTTTAGAGATGAGGTTTCACTATGTTGCCTAGGCTGGACCTGAACTTCTGGGCTCCAGCAATCCTCCTGCCTCAGCCCTCTGAATAGCTGAGACTACAGGTGTGTGCCACTGCAGCCAGCTCATTTTGCCTTTTACAATGCAATCCATGAAGAAGGTCTTACTGTTGTTTTCCATTAAATTAGAATAAAACAGAGCAGTAGTGAAAGGGGCTTCAGAGCTGAAGAGACACAGCACTGCCCAGACACCAAACAGCCCAGTGTCTCCATTCAGCTCAACTTACTCCTGGTTCAACTTTGGGCCCATCACCTACCTCTCTAAACCTTAGTTTCCTCATCTGTAAATGGACATTATAATTCTTTTCTCTGTGAACTTCAAGTGAAAGAACTCTAAACCATAATGGTACTAAACAAATACATAAAATCATCACTGTGAGGTAATCCACATGATTCTGTCTTCTCCAACAAAACATTTGTGTTAGATTCTTCAATGAGATTTCTTTATCTGATATAGTAATCACACCCACCAGCGATATGCTTGGTGCAATGTGGTATGTTACTACCAAACAAAAGAAAATGCCACTTTCACTGCCAGCCTGCTAAGTTGTTTGGTAATAAGAGAAAATTTTCTATTATACATGTTACACATCTCCCCTTTTGACTTGTATTGAACAGTACTCTGCCAGTGGTAGAAAGTCATTCCCCTCTTTATTCATGTTTCCTGCTTGCTCCACATACCAGGTGCTTTAGTAAGTCTGAGCATATGACATTGTTTAGAAAACTCACACTCGACAATTTAGTTTGTAGGGTACCACCTGCTATTTTTCACTCTCTTCCTAGTCTCCCTGAGCTAGATGATAATTTCGTATGAACACACTTTATTTTCCATAAGGACAAAAATTACAAAAATGTACTATCATCATTACTGCTCTACCCTAAAAAAGAAAAATAAAAAGGAAAGCAACATGCCAGTAACCACAGACAGGCTACAATAAAAAAGGAGGTGGTGGTTTTCATGTAAGAAGAGGAAGGGAAGGTAGATTCATCCTAAAGGAGGGCAGGCTTCCAACTGGAAATCTGTAGCTCCTCAGCAGGTAAGGAACTTCAGCCCTCTGGGAACACTAATTCTTTCAAGCTCATAAAATAAGCCCTGCTGCGATTCTGATTAGCGTGAGCCTGCTGCAGCAGCCAAGTTAAGGCATGAGCTCCATAGTTCTCCACGGAAAGGAGATTTCTAGATTGTTTATCTCCGAGGGGAGAAAGAAAAGGCAGTGGGCCACAATTAAAAGGAGAAAGCTAAATATTGCCACAGTTAAGAAATGCAAAATAGAAAAAAAAAAACACTAGCTATGTCTCTTTTGAACACATCTTCCAATCCTCTTCTTTAAAACAAACATTTCAGAAGTCAGGGGAGGAGTTTCATTTATTAAATTCCCATTAAAATAGCACTTTCCTTCTGCAGAACTTCAATCTTCACCACATCTCTGGCAATGAGAAGTAGTCAACAGCTCTATTTCATAAACAGGGAGACAGGATACCTAAGATCTTTTAATAAACTCATGCAAAGACAACCTGGTCCCTTCTCAAAGTTGAATCTGATCTCTGGAAAACTGCTAATCTACCAAGATTCCAGGACCCTAACTGAGACAGGGCATCTGAGGAAATTTCAGGCAAAAACATCCACCTATAAATATGTCATATAAGACCCTGGTTAAGTTAAAACAATACTTTTTAAATCATTAATTCAACAAATAACTTACTAAAGAGTTATAAGGTTTGAAGGGTCTTCAAGTAATCAGCTGCCAGTCCCAGGCTTCCAACAGGGTCGTGTATAAATAGGGACACAGGGATAAATAGGGCCAGTGTGGATTGAGACAAGAATAACTCTGTTAACTTTTATCAATAGTGTAAGTATACCATCCCTAAGAGGGTTACCTTTAAGTTCACCAACTGTTTCTCCAACCTCCTCCCTCACACACAGTATTCAGCTTTATCTTTAGCTCCTCATGATGACTCTATGGCAGAGCCGAACCCATTACAATGCTCTGCTACAGCTCCTTCAGCAACACAGCAGCTCCCACCTCCCTCTCCAACAGAGAGTAAGCCATGCAAAAGCCCTGATATGTTTTATTTCCACATTCTCTTCTAAAGGCAAAAATCGTAAGAACTTCTCTTCATTTCTCTTCTTAACCCTCAAACATCTCTTTTTCAAACACTAACACTGCAAATAGGGAAGTTTTGAATCATTCCTGAGATTTGACCACTCTGAATAATAAGAGTTGGGATTCATTTCTTCAACAAAGTGCCAACCATATGAGGTACTGTGATGAGTACTGGGCACATAAGTGTGAACAAGACAAACACTGCCTTGTTATCAGAGCTTAACAATCTAGAACAGTGTTCAATTGAAATATAGTACAGGCCACAGATGTAATTTAAATTTTTTAGTAGCCACATTTAAAAAGAAACAGGTAATAATATGTTTATTTAATCTAACATACCCAAAATAGTATCATTTCAACATGTAATCTATATTAAAAAATTATTCATTTGTTATTTTACATTCTTTTTTTCACACTAGGTCCTTGGAATCTGGTATGTATTTTACACTTATGGTGTTTCTCAATACAGACTGGCCCAATTTCATGTGCTCAACAGCCATATGAGGCCAGTGGCTATAGTACTGAACAGCACAGGCCTAGGGGATTTCCATCTGAAGGGTTCCAGCTCCCTGATACAAGCTAAAATGGATTTGCCTTTCCAGCAACATTGAGTGAAATATGGACGCAAAAAGTTGAAGTCCTGTCTGTTCGTGAAAGAGTCACACTAAAAATTATGAAGCTAACTCAACACCCTGACCAAGAAATAAACTTCCTAATTTATATTTACCCAATAGTCACCACTGAGAGAGTGACTGCTTATACAAAACAAAACAAGAATTGTAAGCAGGGAAGAAGCTCAGAGCTGTCAAACTGATTTCACCAAAGGGAAGCCAAAGGGCTCTTGATCCACAAAAAGAATGTAACACTCACAGCCTGTCACAGAGGTCAACAGCTCAGGCTGAGCTCTCCCTGTGTCTTACACAACCAATCCCCAGAGGCTTAAGCCATTCTTACCAGTCACCTTTGGAGATTAATTTGTTTTGGTATCCGAAAGGTATTTGGAATCCCTCAAGATGAAGGAATGACAAAAGCAACTGTTCTTAATAAAGTCATTTCTCTGCCTCTGCTGCCCACAGGACTAGAGAAAAAATGATTAACTCTTAACTTCTGAACATCAGCCTTTAAGGGTTTTTACAATCTTCTACAATTCCCTGCCTTACTCCCAATAGGTGGTGAGTGGTATAAAAGCTAAGCATTTCCCACCATCCAACCACACAGCTGGTAGCCTTTCTAGGATAAAGGATTCCCACTCACTCAAAGCTCAGAGTAGGCTTCACGATAATAGATAGATGCCTTTACTCGCCAATAATCTTGAGGCCTATTGCCTGTGTGTGTGCGTGTCTCCATCCATGCCCCTGAAAACAGAAATCAAGACATCTTCATGAAAGCTTTGAAGGAGTTAAAAAAATTAAATAAGCAATCTGCCTAGGATACTCCCTGCGTACCCAGACAATATCCAACCTAAGCTTTGGGTTTCATTTTTCCCTCTTTTTTTTTAATTAAAAAGCAGTGAGAAGCTGTAGCTATAATGAGGGGCTGTGGGAACATGCAGTTATATTGAGCTCAAAGTAATGTACCATAGGAAGAGGCTACATCACCAGAACGAATCCTAAATTAAAACTCCACTATGAAAGCAACCCCATTTCCTCTGAGCACGCAATCTATATTATCACATTTATGGGCTATCTCGACCTCAATTAGGCTTGGGGGCAGTGGGGAAAAAAGAGAACTTCTATAATGAGCAATAATGGTATCATTATGATAAATTATGAAAACACATAATGCAAGTATTAATGTGAAGAGCGCATTTGTATCAGAATATAAAAGTGTAAATGTGTGCATGTGTGTGTGTCTAAATATAGCTCAACATTCCAAGTTCCCTGGCTAAGAAAGGGGATAATTCGTAAAAGGTACTTTTATGAAAAAAGATGTCCAATTCTAATGAGAAAATGGAAAAAGTCAAAGGAAACCTTCTAAACATTGTAATAAACCAAGAATTCTTCATCTAGAACTTAGGAGCTTGGCTAACTTCAGAAAATGATCTTCCAAATGGGGCATGAAGTACTGTTTCCTAGATATCAAACAACAGGAAAGACTTAGTAATTTGAGCTAGGAGAAAGAGATAATCTAGTCTCTCTCTCTCTTTATATTAATAGAATAGGGAAATCTGAGGCCAGTGAGTTTAAGCAACTTGCCTATGGTGAGCAAGACCACAAGGCTTCTAAATCCCAATATAGTGCTTTTCCTTTTTCTCCATGTTAACTTAAAACTGGCTGGAAAGAAAATAAGAGGACCCTGAAGAAGTCACTAGTAAATAAGTAAACAAAGCTACTATTAAAATATAAGAACACAGACTAGTGGCTATTTTAGACAGGCTATAACTAGAAACGACCATCAACAGGAAAAGGCTTTCAATTCATTATTGCTAGAGTTAATGATTCCTAACCTGTTTGCAATGGTGATATCCTGTATGGAGAATGAGTTTTGAAGTCAATTTTTCCTAAATTCAAATCCTAGCACCTCTACTCAGCAGTCCTGGAAAGTAAGTTACTCCCTCTACGCTTCAGTTTTCTCAGTCTATAAGCTGGGAACAATAACCTCTTTCACACAGACATTTATGCATATATGTATGCATGTACATAAAGGCCTATGTTTCTTTTCTTTTCTTTTTTTGAGACGGAGCCTCACTCTGTCACCCAGGCTGGAATGCAGTGGTGCGATCTCGGCTCACTGCAATCTCCTCCTCCAGGGTTCAAGCGATTCTCCTGTCTCAACCTCCTAAGTAGCTGGGACTACAGGCACGTGCCAGCACACCCAGCTCATTTTTTTATTTCTGGTAGGGATGGGGTTACACCATGTTGACAAGGCTGGTCTCGAACATCTGACCTCAAATGATCAGCCTGCCTCGGTCTCCCAAAGTGCTGAAATTACAGGCATGAGCCACTGCGCCCAGCCTAAAGGCTTGTGTTCCTAAAGTACAGAGCAGTTTGGCCCATAGAAAACAACACACTGAGCTCCCTATTTCTCCTGACATACTTGATTAAGAAATCAAAGAGGCGGCTGGGCGCAGTGGCTCATGCCTGTAATGCCAGCACTTTGGGAGGCAAGGCAGGCAGGCAGATCACCTGAGTTTAGGAGTTCGAGACCATCTTGACTAACCCGATGAAACCCCATCTCTAGTAAAAATAAAAAATTAGCCAGGTGTGGTGGTGGGTGCCTGTAATCCCAGCTACTGGGGAGCCTGAGGCAGGAGAGTTGCTAGAACTGGGGAGGCAGAGGTTGCCGTGAGCTGAGATTGCGCCATTGCACTCCTGCCTGGGAAAACAAGAGTGAAACTCCGCCTCAAAAAAAAAAAATCAAAGAGGCTCAAGGTTGGAAAGAACTCTGACCATTAATAGTTAGGTTTTTAAATGTGGGTCCCTTTTTAATGTCAAAATATTTGACAAGACCAACCGGGTGCAGTGGCACACGCCTGTAATCTCAACAATTTGGGAGGCAGAGGCAGGAGGCTCACTTGAGCCCAGGAGTTCGAGACCAGCCTGAGCAACATAGTGAGGACCTGTCTCTATAAAAAATTTAAAAAATTAGCCGAGCATAATGGCACGCACCTGTAGTCCCAACTACTCAGGAGGCTGAGGTGAGAGGATCACTTGAGCCCAGGAGGCTGCAGTAAGCCAAGGTCATGCCACTGTATTCCAGTCTGGGTGACACAGAGAGACCCTGTCTCAAAAAAAAAAAAAAAAAAAAAGATTGACAGGACCACCCGCCCTCGGACTTCCATTTTTTGGTACCCAATGATTAAGACACAATGACAACAAACAAATAAATTACTATCTATTATTTGGTAATACTTTTCATTGAATTTGTGTTTTAATGTCCACATTGACAAATAAAGAGAGGGGAGACAGAGATTATGTACTCATTTCTCGGAAAATGCTTGTGTACATCTGGATCCACAACTTCTTGCAATAATTCTGAGGCTCTAGAGACAGTTCAGGCATCAGGCATCCTTGATCTCACCCAGTCATCTATCTTAAGTTTGAATCCTTTTTAACATATCTCTCCCCAGGCATATGCCAGGGCTTTCCTAACACCTCCAGTGACCAGACACTCACCTCCTCCCTAAACTGTGCCCCCTCCACCTTTGAATCACTCAGTTAGGAAGCTCATTCAATTGAGGAGAAACCTTTCCACTTACACTCTCCTTCCATGGTTCCTAATACTTCTAATACTTCCCCCCTTAAGGAAATGTAAAACATTTCTAGTCTCGCTCACATTTAAAAAAAAAATTACATTTTTCAAGACAGCAATCCTTCTTATTTCTTCCTTCCCAATGCCTTTTCGAGAATAAACACTTTCAATAAGAAGGTCAGACAGGGGGCAACAGAGGAGAAGAGGGGGGTATACACATAATTACATTCCTTCCTACCATTATTTTGGAATTTCATAATTTTAAAGCATTCTAATACCTCTTGGAATAATTAGACATGTGGAACGTCGCAAACCCGCTTGTGGATGCATTGGTCTAACCAAATTGAAATGCTCAGAAATCATCTGCTGTTAACCTCTTCTTATTACCTTTTGTCAGAATAAAAGGGAGTTTTCAACATTCATTTTTACCAGATGGTAGTGAGTGGCCTGACCCAGAAGTTACAGATGAGTTGCAGTAATGAGTTTTCCCTTGACTTTACTGGCTGCACATTCACTGGTGACATTTTACAACTAGGACTTCTGGCTCAATCAATATTTGCAGGCATGAAACCTGCCAAAGTTAACATCAGGGCTCCCTTGCAAATTTGCTTAAGGCACCACAAATGAAACAGCTCACACTCTAATGCTGCAACTATCATCAGCCAAAGTTCATAATTAGAGATCAAAGTAATCAGAGACAGAAAATTCCACCCACCTCAAAGGGTTGTTGTGATGATTAAACAATACACCTTACAAAGGTGCCCTAGGTAAACTATAAATTGCTATACCAATGAAAGGTGTTATCATCATCATATTTTTAGGAAATGTCTGAGTGAAAATGCCAGATATTCAAATATAAATACATATTACACCTCTGCAAATTTGCAAGACTGGCTTCAAAAAAAGATCAATTAATTATGTCAACCTACTACCTTTTTTTCTGGAGGAAAAAAAAGATATCAAGCGCTCCTCAAAATCCCAAAGCAGAGTCTTTGCAAAATGTAAAAGAGAAGCACCATTTATTCCCAATTAAAAACAAATTACAGGCAACAAGACCACAGTAATTACTGGAGAATATGGTCTTTATCAATGTTCACAATGAAGGGGAAAATATCAATGTATCAAAAATCAAAATTACAAACAGTCTCACTTATGATCTGTAATCTGATTGGCTGACAGCTAAGATGGATGTGATGTACGATTTAAATCACTAGTCATAAAGACTTAATCCATTTTTCCTACCAAAAAATTATTATTCCTTGTTAAAGCCTGAATATATATTCATCTCACCACCAAAGGGTGTATAGATTTCTTTTTTAGAAGTACAAACTATACTTTAATGTCCATGGTTTACTTTGACATCTGCTCTGATTGATTCTACAGCTACATCAGAAAGCTGAATGTTGATTCGGTTTCTTTATCAAAACTAACATAGGCAGATTACTTGTAAAGTCACTGGAAGGCAAACTATCTCCAATTTAGCACACTTATGAATCTGTTTTGTCAGCTACACCAGAACCATCCGCATCCATTCATTCATTAAGGAAGTATTTACTGAGCTAAAAGAACCTGAACATCACTCTATTAGGTGCTGGAGGGACAATTAGACATCAATTTAACAACAAAACAGCACTGATCTAAAAGAAGTTAAGGTGGTACAATGCAAACAGCAGCAAACCAAAAATCAGAAAAATCTGGGTTCTAGTGGTAAATCACTTAAGAGCCACATGACCTTGCATAAGTCATTAGACTTATCAATGCTGCATTTATTAAAAAAATGCTCAGCCCTTGCTTCGCTATCTCACAGGACTAACTTTACTTTAGTAAGCTAAGGGATAGGAAGATTAAAATGAGATAAAAATACAGGACTTTGAAAAGAAAGCACGGAATTCAATTTCTCTTAATGACTGCAAACTGCAAAGCCCTGTATATACAACAGACTTTATTTATTTATTTATTTATTTATTTATTTATTTATTTATTTATTTATTTTAGACGGAGCCTCACTCTGTCTTCCTGGATGGAGTGCAGTGGTGTGATCTTGGCTCACTGAAACCTCCACCTCCCAGGTTCAAGCAATTCCCCTGCCTCAGCCTCCCAAGTGGCTGGGACTACAGGCGTGCACTACCACACCTGGCTAATTTTTGTATTTTCAGTAGAGATGGGGTTTTGCCATGTTGGCCAGGCTGGTCTCAAACTCCTGACCTCAAATGATCCGCCTGCCTTGGCCTCCAAAAGTGCTGGGATTACAGGCATGAACAACCATGCCTGACCAGACTTTAAATAACTTAAAGCCAGCTTTTGACAAAGAACATAAGATGATTGTAGAAGAAAAAATAATGAGTAGCCCATAAGCATATAAAAAGTAGCCCAACCTCATTAGAAATCAGGGAAATGTACATAAAAACCATTAGTTATCATTGGATTGACAAAAATGAAAAAATAAAAAATCTGGTAATACCAAGTGTTGGTGAGGATATGGGGAAACAAGAACTGTTGATACTTGCTGACAGAGGAGAATAAATGAATACAGAGCAAACTGGTGAGGCCTGATACCACTGATGCATATATTCTACGACTATCCCAGTAGTTCTACTCCTAGGGACATAGACACTAGAGAAATGCTCACACATATACACAAGTAGTTATTTAAAGAATGATCACTGGACAATAAGAAACAAAGTTAAATGATCCATGGATGCATGCATAAATAGTAACAGTAAGAAAAAAGTACATGAGAATAATAATCACCAAATTCAGGATACTGATTGCTTCTAAAGGAGGTTAAGAGAGAAACTGGATTAGAGAGGAGTATGTGATGAAATGAGATTAGGGAAGAGTGCAAAGGAGACTTTATCTGTATTTACAATGTTTTATTTCTTAAAGTAAGATCTGAAGTAAATTTGGCAAAATGGTGTGATTATGCACACACTGAAGAGAAAAAAGGTAGGGGGGTACCACCAGAAGCTAGCAGGGATCAGGCAGACCAAGTCATGCCCAACTGGTTGTGCTGCTTTGATATTGTTACTGTTGATTAAGGGTTTATAACACTCACAGGGTACCTTAAAGTCAACAAGATCTCTCACAGAGTTATTCAATGAGTCAACAGGATAACCAGCTTTAATTATTTTTAAAGCTAATGCATATTAAGGGTGCACTTTTTAGAAGTATAAAACCCAATTCACCCTAGCTCCACAGTCGTGAGTTAGCTACTGTGCATTAAAAGAGACACTACCAACAGGGGAATATATGAGCGGGATAGCAGAGGGTCTGGAAGCCTTGCTATAGGAAAAATCAATAATGGAATCCAAGAAGATTCAGGCAGGGACCCAGGAGTGAATCACCATCAGTTATTAACGGATGCCTTAGAATAGAGTACGTGCAAACAGTGCTACAAAAAATGGCAGATCACCTTCCATCCCCCTTCACTGCAGCTAGAGAAGTGCTACTCAGTCTTAAGCCCCCACTCAAATGTCACCTCCCTTGAGAGTCCTCCACATACTCCAGTAAAACTTGTGAGCTTCCTCGGCACTGTATCAGATCTCTCCCAGCACACAATGTATGTGTGAATAAGTCTCTATTTCCTCTACTAAATCATGAGCTAGGTCTTCAAGAGTAGGGATCCTAGGATTTGACCCTTGCTTCTAACAAATATCTCAGCACCTAAGAGTGCCTTGTTCATAGCTGGCACTTAAATCAATGAAAGACAGATTTTTGGCTCTATATATATTAGCATATATATACTCACTAAAGTGAAAAAGAAAAAGACACATTCACTGAAAGTGTCCCAACAGAGTCCAAATTATATGTCATGCTGCTGTCAACAGACCCTCCTGGCTGGACTATTTAGACCTCTAAGATTCTCGTAGTCAATGTCTGGGCCTTAATCCAGCTTAAATGAAAACTATTTTTCTGTTTTTCAAAACAATAATTTACCACCACCTTTTTTTTAGTTTAAAAAATAATTTATTTAATTCATCCTGTCGAAAAGGTTTTTAAGTTGTATAGGCCATGCAATGTGGCTCACACCAGTAATCTTAGCAATCTGGGAGGCCAAAGCAAGAGGATTGCAATAGCCTAGGAGTTCAAGACCAGCCTGGGAAACGGTGAGACCCTGTGTCTACAAAAAATAAATTCAGGCCACGCACAGTGGCTCACGCCTGTAATCCCAGCACTTTGGGAGGGTGAGATGGGCGGATCACGAGGTCAGGAGATCGAGACTATCCTGGCTAACATGGTGAAACCCCCTCTCTACTAAAAATACAAAAAAATTAGCCGGGCATGGTGGCAGGCGCCTGTGGTCCCAGCTACTAGGGAGGCTGAGGCAGAAGAATGGCGTGAACCTGGGAGATGGAGCTTGTAGTGAGCCGAGATTGCGCCACTGCACTCCAGCCTGGGCAACAGAGCAAGACTCTGTCTCAAAAATAAATAAATAAATAAATTTTAAAAAAATTAGCCAGGCGCAGTGATACACGCACATGCCTGTAGTCCCAGCTACTCAGAAGGCTGAGATGGGAGGACTGCTAGAGCCCAGGAGATCAAGGCAGCAGTGAGCCGAGATCACATCACTGCACTCCAGCCTGGGCAACAGAGCAAGACCCTGTCTCAAAAAAAAAAAAAGAAAAGAAAAGAAAAATAAAAAAAGAAAAACAAGTTGTATAAATGTCAGCCATGAACAAATGCAGGATGAAAACAAAACAAAATCTTTCTGCCTACAGATTATATCTCATTTCAAATAAAATAAAATATCTTCTAACATTTTTCTAAGGTTATTACATTTAAAAAGTAAGATAAATCCCACTTGATAGCCAATGAGTGTCACGTATATGGGCCCTTGTGAACATGAAGGGGAGATGAGAAAGGAACTGTCCTCATTGAGCTTTACAGGGCACCCTTACTAAGCAGCTACCTAGCTCCATGCCAAGAGTACAAGGTTTAAGAAACAAAGAAACAAAAAAGGCATGTTCTTTCCTTCAAGGCACTTTCAATCTTGTGAGAACCACAACACTGACAAGTCAATGGAGGATTATTGAGCCTTCCGGTTAGCGCTGTGGCTGAGTGGGCATAGAGAACAAAGGGACCATGGATGGGGCATCTGTATCAGACTGGAGATCAAGGAAGGTGGCATAATTCAAGGGAAGAGGACAAGTTAAACCAATGAAATCACCAGGAATCATAATTTACTATTAGCAAATGTATGCAAATTCTCCAAGTTCCTTGGGCCATTAGGGTGACTGCAGCCAAGCAGAATTCATCCAAGTTCCTTGGGCCATTAGGGTAAATTCTCCAAGCAGAATTCATCTCTTCTGAATCTACCTGTCTACTTACTTTATACCACACTGGGCCATATCTATATATAATCTGGTAAATTTTCCAATGGTGGCATCAAGGATATTCAGAGGCTAAGTATAGTAAAACTCAGATTCAGACAAAGAATACTAGTCTAACCCTGTAATTTACAGATGAGTAAACTGAGACTCAAATTAGTGACAATACTTGAGCCCGAAGCCATAGAACTGGGCCTGGAATCTAACTCTCATCTTAGTAGAAGCAGTATTACACAACCTCAAGACTCCTTTCCTCAGTCAAGACCTCAGAAATTATCATCTTCAAGGCATACTTTGCATCAGCTCTCCCTGCTGCCATCATCTTTCAGCCAACACTAAAATCCCTGTGCTGCTTTTCTGCCCATGCTTTTAGTCAGGTGAGTTCCTTCTGCAGTTGTTCCTTGCCTATCTGCAATTTTGCTATCCAGAAGAGTCTAGTGTCATCTGTCTAAATGGAGATTTCAGTAAGAAATTCCTCCCTCATGAGGTGGGGTGGTCAGCCCCCCGCCTGGCCAGCCGCCCCGTCCGGGAGGGAGGTGGGGGGGGTCAGCCCCCCGCCCGGCCATCCGCCCTGTCGGGGAGGTGAGGGGCGCCTCTGCCCGGCCGCCCCTACTGGGAAGTGAGGAGCCCCTCTGCCCGGCCAGCCGCCCCGTCTGGGAGGGAGGTGGGGGGGTCAGCCCCCCGCCCGGCCAGCCACCCCGTCCGGGAGGGAGGTGGGGGGGTCAGCCCCCCGCCCGGCCAGCCGCCCCGTCCCGGAGGTGAGGGGTGCCTCTGCCCGGCCGCCCCTACTGGGAAGTGAGGAGCCCCCCTGCCCGGCCAGCCGCCCCGTCCGGGAGGGAGGTGGGGGGGTCAGCCCCCCGCCCGGCCAGCCACCCCGTCCGGGAGGGAGGTGGGGGGGTCAGCCCCCCGCCCGGCCAGCCGCCCCGTCCCGGAGGTGAGGGGCGCCTCTGCCCGGCCGCCCCTACTGGGAAGTCAGGAGCCCCTCTGCCCAGCCACCACCCCATCTGGGAGGTGTACCCAACAGCTCATTGAGAGCGGGCCATGATGACAATGGCGGTTTTGTGGAATAGAAAGGGGGGAAAGGTGGGGAAAAGATTGAGAAATCGGATGGTTGCTGTGTCTGTGTAGAAAGAAGTAGACATGGGAGACTTTTCATTTTGTTCTGTACTAAGAAAAATTCTTCTGCCTTGGGATCCTGTTGATCTGTGACCTTACCCCCAACCCTGTGCTCCCTGAAACATGTGCTGTGTCCACCCAGGGTTAAATGGATTAAGGGCGGTGCAAGATGTGCTTTGTTAAACAGATGCTTGAAGGCAGCATGCTCCTTAAGAGTCATCACCACTCCCTAATCTCAAGTACCCAGGGACACAAACACTACGGAAGGCCGCAGGGTCCTCTGCCTAGGAAAACCAGAGACCTTTGTCCACTTGTTTATCTGCTGACCTTCCCTCCACTATTGTCCTATGACCCTGCCAAATCCCCCTCTGCGAGAAACACCCAAGAATGATCAATAAAAAAAAAAAGAAAAGAAAAAAGAAATTCCTGCCTCATATCACTTGGAGAAACCCACACTGAGCACTGGGTCACCTGCCATTGACACCAGTCCACTCTGAACCTTTAAATAACAAATTAATATGGGAAAGCTATTTAAAATTATTTATAGGTTTAAACCAAGGCTCAGATACAATAAATTTACTTTGCTATTTAGGATGACACAAATGCTGATACTTTATAAGTTTCTAAGAGAGGAGAGTGGAGTATGCATTCTGCAACCAGCGAACTCACACAATGGTTCTGCACGTTACAAGACATACCTGTTAACAGAGAAGTCTCCAGCCAGTGGAATACTGCCTCTAGCAATGCATGATTTTATTAAGACCAAAGTGGGCAAAGAAATATTTAATTATTTTTTCTACAAGTTATCTCTCAGGTCACTGCCAAGACTAAAAACGTAAAACTGCATTCCCTTTTCCAATAGGAGTGGCTGGGGGAAAAGAGTGTATACTACCAGGAATAGAGACAGGAAAAAAAGAGAAAAGATGTTTTGGAAAAATGGGAAGGGGGGAATGAATGATCCAGGACTGAATGAGTGAGAACCGGATCATGTGTGAGAAACTAACCATTTTATTCACTTACAAACACCTGCTCATTCATTCCTTAAGACTTCTTATATGATTTTGGTCTCAGAAGGCTTAGGACCTTAGACATTGCCATTGTTTCTTCAAAAGCTTAAAATGTATCCATATAAGTCTGTTATTCAATAGCTGCCACATTTATTTCAAGGAAGATAGAATGCACGTGGAACTTTCCCTTGAGTATCTTGTTAAAGAAGAATATTTTTCAACATTATGGGCAATACTTTAGAGTCTGAAAATGTAGCAAGATTATATAACATACTTTCCAGCACTTGACTGCTGATTTACCTATCCCTCTCAGCTTGAATGAAGTGTCTGGTGTTATGGCCTCAAAACATGCCTGTTGATGGGTCCATCAAAGACAATGAAAAGATATGGTTTCATGTCTGCTTTTGTGTAAGATGCACTTTATTTCCTCAACTCAAAGGAAATAGTAAAATATTTCTGGAAGCTTTACAAACCACTAAAGCTAGCAAAATACCTCCATTTCCAATAAAGACAAGGATGGTGAATGAGTTATTCTTAGATAAGACAATTCAGTGTCAGAAATACTTCCCCACCTGGAAAAAAAACAGAGAACTCTGACCTCCTGGCCATGTGGATGATCAAAAGAAATCCTCTGGCAGCCTGGGCAAATGCGTCTTGGCCACCTACAAATTCTCCCTGCAAGCTCTATCCACACCATCACAACATTCTCTCAAGGAACCTATAAAGTTGATTTCAAAGTGATTTTTAATTAATACTTGCTCACGTCAAGAACATTTTAAGATACTCAATTTCCTAGCAAGCACATTTAGTAGACCAAATAGGCAAAATGCATACCTTGCTGGGCAGGAAGAAGCTCTACCAAAGGTAATACAAATAAGAAAAATAAGTGTCTTATACATAAACAGTAGAATAAAATAATTATTTTGACCCATCTTCCCCTATTTAAAGTTTTTTTTGAAGCTTGGCAGGCTTAGGGTATCAAAAATACTTAAGAACTGGTTGCCTTTAAAAAAAAAATACCCAAAAACAGTGCACAGACAATACTACATATTACTATAGCTTTACTTTCTGATAAAGGAATGTAAAGTGAATTTTCATAAGCAAGTTTCCTCTGTGGGTGAATCTCCAGTCAGTTACAACCAACTCAAAGAGAGCCATCAAGGCAAACTACCCATTAGCTGTCAATTTACAATGACTTCAGAGAGCTAGCCTCAGAGCTCCACTGATATCTTTTCAACAACCTCTTAATCTTGTTTATAACACCTGTGTTAAAGCAGCCTGACATCAATTCTACTCACTTGTCGCAGACTGAAATTACTTAGAAATCTGAGAATTCCAGTAAACATACCAAAAAAACACAAAGATGCACGGCCTGAAAAACCCTGTACACAAGGGAATTCGGCCACTTCTTTTAAATAAAGCTGCATAAGTGAGCCAGAATGGGCCTCAAAAGGCAAAGTCAGATATAAATCTCACAAATAACTTCTTAGGAGGCACCGAGGTCACAGCATTGTGGGGTTTACAGAAACCATAAAGAATTCCTCCTACAGCTTCCTCACCAAACGATTATCCAAACTATTCAACAGTTACCATTAACTATGTGCCTACTCTGTACCAGGAACTTAACATTTTCATTATCTTTTTAACCTTCACACAACTCTTCTAGGTAGGTGATACCATTCTTCATTTCTACAAGTAAGGAAGCCAAAGTGTGGTGGCTTGCTTAGTGAACTGCCAAAGACCAAAGAGCTAGAAAATAGTGGAGATGGGACTCAAACGCTGCCCGTCAGTCTATGCCTAAGGCTCTTTCTATGACATCATACTACCACCATGAGATTGAGAAATCATCTTGCTATAACTGGTTTCTGTGATTACTACAGATCTGTTTCCTGAGGTTCCTTTAACTCAAGTGAACTGTTAGCGGCTCTAGTACTTTCTGTTTTAGAAACCCATGTTTGTCCTAGGTCTGTAAGAAACATAAAACACATAAGAAATTGATGCTAAACTAGTCACGTGAACGGGGGGGTGAGGTGCGGTGAAAAGAGTATGGACTTTGGTAGTCAAAATCTCTGGGTTTGTTGTCACTAGTGTGTGACCCTGGACAAATAACCACCATTTCAGCCTTAGTTTCACCCTTGGAAAAAGCCATCCTACTGATGTGGGGTAGCAGTGTTGTGGAAGCACCTAACCCAAAAAAAGCACTCAATAAATGTTTAAAGAAAGAAAGAAAAATATCAAATGGAAATGGATAGGCCAGATCCAACCAACACAAAATAAAACCTAATTTGGTTGTTCTGTACAACCTCTTATTTTTTGCCTATAAGGCTGGGTAAAGAGAAAACAGCAATCATGGCCCACAGTAGACTTGCAACAAATCTTTGGCAAATAAATGAATCAATCAATCTCCTGCTTTAGAGTCAGAGACAGCAATAGCCTTTAAAAGAAATGCCAGTCAACTGTCAGATTACAAAATAATAGAATCAGGCTTTTATGAAGATCATCTACTATTACTTAAAGCAAGATTCACTCAACTCCAAGTTATCTATGACTAGGGCTACTATCATTCACAAAAACACCTTAATCTGTTCCCATCAAGGAAAAGGCAAGAAAAAAGGCAACTGGGGAGGTGCTAAGCCTCAATATAAAAAGATACCTAGAGAAGACTCAAATTCAATCACCTAATCATTGATTCACTGCTTCATTCATTCACCCTCATCCTTTCCTTTCTTTAGTCAAGAGATATTTATTGAGCATTTACTCAATGGCAGGCGCTGATCTGGTCACTGTCCTTGAGCAACTCACAGTCCAATAAGAAAAGTATGTAATCAAGAAATTCCAATAGAGAGTGGCAGGCAGAGTAGACTTGGAGGAAAGTACAAGGTAGAGGAATGGCAGGATTCTGCGGCAGTTTATTCTCGAAGGTCTTCCTTCTTGTTTTTTTTTTAGAGTACTTCATCCATTGGAGCCCTCTTCTAGGAAGAAGATTCCACCATCTACTTACTGGGTATCTTTGGGCAAGTTACCAAACCTCTGTGAGCTTCCTTTCCTCATCTGCAAAATGGAACTAAGAATATTGACTTCCCAGGGTTGCCTTTAGGATGAGATGGGATAACACACATAAGTCGAACAGCACAAAGCCTGGCTCTCAGTGGGCTTTGATACCGAGTAGTCCTCAGCCCTTTGTTTTGTTCTTTTGGCTTGGTTTCATGGGAAGGAGAAAACGTATATTCTTTTATTTCATTAAAAGTAGGAAAATTTCCATGCTCCTCTATGAGCTGCTTTGCATTCACTTAAATTCAGGAACACGCCATCCCTGTGACACCCTGCCCATAAACACAAAGTCAATCTGTCAAATGAAGAGCAAATCTGCCATTAGTGCAGAGGCAATACCTCAAGGCCAGCTGCACACCCACCCCATGATATTATCTGCCTAGGCTTGGTGTCATGCCCCTGAGAAAAGCTATGCTCAGTACATTCAGCAATCAGAAAGTTCACACGGTCAGAGGTGCCTCTGCCTCACACAAGGTGAAGCATAGCTAAAAATTGCTTTTTTAATTAAAATAAGACTTCCTCAACCGCCTGCTGACAATCACAACTAGAACATGGAGCCCAGAATCAGTTAACCAGTCTCCATTCTGCTCTAATGGTGGTTTTAAGCACTCAGAGAGGGGAGGGGGAAAAAATTACCAATTTAAACAAAATGTTTAATCTTCTAATTATGGGACAGGCTCCAAGAGGATGGGAAGTGATTTGCAGTCTTCATTATGGAATCCCCACGCAACCACTGGCACAAGTCATGTCAGCCAGAGGCACATGCCATCTTTTTCCCCCACTGAGCCTTCTGTGTCCTTGCAAGTTTTGTGGGAATGGAAAAAGAAATCTTCAGTCAAAAAAAATGGGGCTGAAGCTTACGAATTTCTGTCTCCAAGTTCATCATGCTGAGTGAGGTGTAAGGATCCCCAGTGAGCAGCCAGGGAGACAATATTCAGTGACTTTACATTGGCAAGCTTAGCAGCCCTTTGAAACTCTAAAATCTTATAAAAACTGCCCAGGTCCGGTGGTGCTTAAGCCATTTTTTAAAAAATTTGCTGAAAAGTCCTGTCATCAGCACTAAGAGATGCACTGAAAATTAGGGTGGTGCCCACCAACGGCACTTCTGGTCGGAAGGAAATCTGTTCCTCTGCAGATATGCTTGTATCTTTGCTAATTTGTGTTATCTCTGCCCGTTCATATCTCTATGTGCTAACTCAGGAGAAAAAGTCCCTGCCAACCAACTCTGACAAGTCTGATGGCAGAACTCCCAGTGGAGATCCAGCAGAGACAGCAGAGGCAGGCAATTATTCCCTTTCATTAGGAACAGTTCTTTTTAAGTTTGGGTGTTTTGTATTAGTATTATTTTGAACACAAAAAGTAGCCATTCACAATCGCTGCTCAATGCAGTCACTTACACAACTGACAGCAACTGTAATTTCCCCATAAGCCAATTGAAAAAGATGGCCTGGAAGTAACTAGAAATGGTTGTGCCCCCTTAATTACCCACTGTAATGTAAAACCAGACATGGAGAGAATGGCCATAGCAGATCTGGGCAAAGTGGCAGTGATATTTAATCATCACTTCAGACCATCTGCAACTGTTTTGCAGAAGCACATCAAGTTTATAGATTCTAAAGCTTCCTACAAGTTACCAGGTGCTGAGGGTCAGCTGCATTGTCCTCAGGCCATGAGGGGATGCTTTCTTCATTCTCTCCAGGCCAGGGCGCTCAACAAAAGGCACGATGCCCACATTTTCTGAGCCAAGCCTGGCACAAGGAGAGCGCTGCTTCTTGATTAAGCCAGAACACAGATTAAATGTTTAGAAGTGGAGATTGTGAAAACAACCTAGGCGGGAAAGCAATTATCCCAGGGACAGCATGGCTTCAGCTGAGGCCCTCTGCAGCACAAAGGTGAATTCCACACCCTCCCACAGCTAAGCTGGCCAGAATGCTCCTCTACAATTCTCCACTCTGTAGATGAAGCCATCTTTTAAAACGTAAACCAAATTGTGTCACTCGACAGCTTAAAACCCCTAATGGCTTCCCATGGTGCTAGGAATAAAGTTAAAAAATGTTAGGATTCTCCCTCCTCCCCGAAGCTGACCCCTCTGTCCTTATCAACTGTCCCCTCTTCACTCACCAAGCTCTGGCCATACATGACAAGTCTGTTCCCACCTCAGAGTTTTTGTTTTGGCTTTTCCCTTGATCTTTACTGCCAGTCCCACAGCTCTTCATATGTCTGGATCTTTCTCATCATTTAGTTCACAGCTCAAATGTCACCTCTCAAAGAGGCCTTCTAGAACCTTCCAAAATAAACAGCCACTGCTCCCCCAACACTATATTACATCAGCCTATTTTTTTCCTTCATATTCCTATTTGAAATTATCTTGTTTTTATTTATCTAGTATGTGTTTGCTTGTTTAGGTATTGTTATTCATTGTCTGTCTTGCCTCCCTGGATGTAAGTTCCATAAAGACAGGGACTACAACTATCCTGTTTAGCACTTTATTCCCAACGTCTAGTGTAATACCTTACATTTAGTAGGCATTTAATAAATATGTATGGAATGATTAAAGAATGACAGGTTCAATATGGAGCACTAATCCAAATGAAATTTGCTAACCGCCCCAAAATCTGGATTGTCTCACAGCCTGACTAGCAGCATATGTTACAATGCCCTAGAAACAATGGTAAACAACATCCTATTTCCTTACCAACCCCTGGTGAATGACTAGGAAACTATGGCAAAAGGAGATAAGACGAGAACTCACAGACTGTCAGAGTTGCAGAACTGGAAAGTCTGTAAGCTTCTCAAGCAAGGTTTTGCTCAAACTGTCCTTTCACAGGAGGATCAGATGGGCCAGATAATGGGCTAGGGCCAAAGGTTGGGTCTTAAAGGTCCAGCTAGGGTAGGGCACACCATATGAGGCACACTGTATATGGCAGCTCCCATCCCAACCATGCAGAGCCCTTAATAATAGACTCTGGGTTGGGAGCCACAGAGCACATGTACATATCAAGCCTAAAGAAACTGGTGTGTGTGTTGGAGAGGAGACGAAAGCAGAGGTAGGGTATGACAGAGAGCCAAGAGTCAGGCACAAGACAAGAAGTGAGCAGAGGCATAAACTGGTGAAGAACAAACATACAGGGTCTCAGGTGATCGATATAATTAGATTTCACGGGCCTGTGGGTGTGTGTATATGGATATAAGGCTGACTAAAAGATACAGGGTTAAGGCAATCAGACAGGTAAATGGCTACCTTCCAGAAAGATAAGCATCATGAAAGAAAGGAGCACCCCACAGAAGGCCAGGTTAAGCCCCTATTTGTGAGTGGTAGTTTCACTTGAAAGACTCATGATTAGTGGACAACAGTAATTGCTCAGATGTTCTCTAGTTCCCAGGATGGCAGTGGGGGGGGCAAAGAGATGCTAGAGGAAAAGCAACATGGAAAATATAGACTACTCAGGCTAAAATGATTTCTAGTATCTCACAGACTTCGGAATCTAGCAACAGAGCTCTAAAAAGTTTTGCAGTTCATCCAAAAATGACCAAGAATACGAATGCTTCATTCTTCCAACAACCTCAACTTTTCAAAACACCATTAAAAGAATGGGCAAAAAAGGCCTTAGAGGTTAGATATCATATCAAACAAACAATAACACTAAGGAGTGACAGCTGACACCAAGGAAAAGAATGTAAACTACACAAAGTAGGCACAAGAACTCAAAATCCCTACTATTCCACAGTGCAGAAGTAAAAGCTTTCCAGATTTCAAAAGGTCATGAGAGAATTCAGGCACAACTAACATGTATTCATAATGATGCTCCTGAGATCACAGTGTGTCCTACTGAGAAAGGCAAGAATGTTCATGTTTTAGAAAGCTCTCCATACAAAATGATGAAAAATACATGTTTTGCACATGGAAAAGAGGACGCATAATCAAGGACACAGCACTGCCTGACCCCGATTTTGTCACCAAGTTGTTGGGGTGCTAAAGTTATTTCCCTCTCTGGGCTCTCTGGTTTACCCATGTGTACAAAGAAGAAGCTGGAATAGATCGTCTTGCCACTTAAAAGCTTCAGTTACCTGGAAAGTCTGTTTCTGAAGGGCATCACATTTTCCAAAGACACCAGAGAAACAAGAAGTTAGTACAATTCAATACAATCTGTGCCACCTTTTTTAAAAAAGGAATCTCATTATGGGTTTCTTTCAGCTACAACCCTCAATCAATCGCAATGTCTTTTTCGTGTCCTCCTTTATTGCCGAGTTTCACTATTCTGTTAGTCCTTCGGCATCTCTACCTTCCCTTGCCCAATAGAGGTACTCCTGGCCAGAGCCCCCATTACGTGTTTCAGCTTCTCTGTGAATAACTATGCAAGCTTGAGATGCTCAAAAGTTTCCCCCATCATTAATCCTATTATGGAAGCATTGATGTTGAGAGCGTCTGCTAAAAGATAACATGACAAACTGTAGCTACAATTTGTTTCTTTTTATACAAAGCTGCAAAGAAAATCGCATTCCAACATTATATACCAGCAGAGGACTGGTGTGCTGCTAATGTTTAACTCTATCAAGGATCCCAAAAGAAAATTTAAACTGAGATGCTCTTAACTGGAAATAGGGGATTCAAATAAAGAAATGTCATCAACCCTCAATTTTATGTATTAACAGAATGAGCACATGAATAATGCCAAACATGAAGCTAGAATCTGCACTAAAAATAATGCCAGCAAAACTGTTCAAGAATCAATCATGCCTGCTTTTGGAATAAAGTCAGATATATTCAGAGAGAAGCATCATGATACTCTGCTTGGTTTCAACTCCCTCTTTTTTTTTGTTTGTTTTTTTGGACGGAGTCTTGCTCTGTTGCCAGGCTGGAGTGCAGTGGCGCGATCTCGGCTCACTGCACCCTCCACCTCCCAGGTTCAAGCAATTCTCCTGTCTCAGCCTCCTGAGTAGCTGGCACTACAGGTGCATGCTACCATGCCCAACTAATTTTTGTATTTTCAGTAGAGACAGGGTTTCACCATGTTGGCCAGGATGGTCTCGATCTCTTGACCTCATAATTCGCCCACCTCGGCGTCCCAAAGTGCTGGGATTACAGGTGTGAGCCACCGCGCCTGGCCAGTTTCAACTCCTTCTTAGTTCAGTGACTCTAGATATTGCTGGGTAGCTGTTGAAAGGAAGTACAAAGAGCCAGTGCACATAATCTGCTTACAAGCAGCTGATAATCCAAAGTGAGTTAAAAGATAGAAAGGCACTGCAGTAGTCTCACTAGATCCTTCACTGAACTCCAGGATGAAGAAAAGCTAATTTCCATTTACCAACCCACAATGGAGCTGGAATTCTAAAGTTTAGGCTAAAACATTTTCAGATCAGTCACTGCTGGAATTCTATGGAAAAGAAACTAGTTCTGAACTACAAGCATACCTCATTTTTTTCCCCCTTTGCAGATACTGTGCTTTTTACAAATTGAAGATTTATAGAAACCCCGCATCAAGAAAGTCTATCAGCTGGGCGCGGTGGCTCACACCTGTAATCCCAACACTTTGGGAGGCTGAGGTGGGCAGATCACTTGAGCCCAAGAGTTTCAGACCAGACTGGGCAACATGCCAAAACCCCATCTCTACAAAAAATACAAAAATTAGCTGGGCATGGTGGCACACACCTGTAGTCCCAGCTAATCTGGGATTGCTCGAGCCCATGAGGTCAAGGCTGCAGGGAACCATGATCCTGCTGCTGTACTCCAGCCTGGGCAATAGAGCCAGACTCTACCTCCAAAAAAAAAAAAAAGAAAGTCTATCGCTGCCATTTTTCCAAAATCATGTGTTCACTTCATGTCTGTGTCACATTTTGACAATTACTGCAATGTTTCAAACTTTTTCATTATTATCATATCTGCTATGGTAATCCGTGATGAGTGATCTTTAATATTACTACTTTGTTTTCAGGCACTACAAACACGCCCACGTGAGACAGCGAACTTAATGAATAAATGTGTGTGTTCTGAGTGCCTCAACCAGCCTTTCCTCTTTCTCTCTCTCTCTCTCTCTCCTCAGGTCTCCCTATTCTCTGAGACACAACAATACTGCAATTAAGTAATTAATAACCCTACAATGGCCCTAAGTGTTCAAGTGAAAGAAAGAGTCTCACATCTCTCACTTTAAATCAAAAGCTATACATGATTAAGCTTTAGTGAGGAAAGGATGTTGAAAGCGGCAATGGGCCGAAAGCGAGGCCTGTTATACCAGACAGAAAAGCGTGAATGCACAGGAAAAGCTCTTGAAGGATATTAAAAGTGCTACTCCAGTAAACATATGAATAGTAAAAGAGCTAAAGAGCCTTACTGCTTATATGGAGAAAGTCTTAGTGCTCTGGACAGAAGATCAAACCAGTCACAACATTCTCTTGAGCCAAGCCTAATCCAGAGCAAGGCCCTAACTCTCTTCAGTTCTATGAAGGCTAAGAGAGGTGAGGAAGCTGCACACAAAGTTTGAAGCTAGCAGAGGCTTATTCATAAGGCTTAAGGAAAGAAGCCACTTCCATAACATGAAAGCGCAAGGTGAACCCAGAAGTGCTGATGTAGAAGCTGCAGCAAGTTAGTCAGAAGAATTAGCTAAGATCATTGATGAAGGTGGCTACACTAAACAACAGATTTTCAATGTTGACAAAACAGCCTTCTGTTGGAAGAAGAGGCCATCTAGGATTTTCACAGCTAGAGAGAAGTCAATGCCTGGCCTCAAAGCTTCAAAGGACAGGCTGATGCTCTTCTTAGGGACTAATGACTTTTAAATTGAAGCCAATGCTCATTTAGCATTTTGAAATCCTAGGGCCCTTGGGAATTATGCTAAATCTACCCTGCCTGTGTTCTAGAAATGGAATAACAAAGCCTGGATGACAGCATATCTGTTTACAGCATTGTTTACTGAATATTTTAAGCCCACTGTTAAGACCTACTGCTCAGAAAAAAAAAAATTTCTTCCAAAATATTACTGTTCATTGCCAATGCATCTGGTCACCCAAGAGGTCTGATGGAGATGTACAAGGAGATGAATGTTAATTATATGCCTGCACACACAGCATCCATTCTGCAGCCCATGGATCAAAGAGTAATTTCAACTTTCAAGTATTATTCTTTAATATTTAAGAAATGCATTCATAAGTCTATAGCTGCCATGGATAGTGATTCTTCTGATGGATCTGGGCAAAATAAATTGAAAACTTTCTGGAAAAGATTTATCATTCTAGATGCCATCAAGAACATTCATAATTCATGGGAGGAGGACAATATATTAACATTAACAGGAGTTTAGAAGAAGTTGATTCCAATCCTCGTGGATGTCTTTGAGGGGTTCAAGATTTCAGTGGAAGAACTAACTGCAGATGTGGTGGAAACAGTAAGATAACTAGAATTCGAAGCAGAGCCTGAAGATGTGACTGAATTGCTGCAATCTCATGATCAGACTTGAATGGAATGTTTCCTAAGGATAAGCAAAGAAAGTGGCTTCTAGAGATAAACTCTACTCCTAGTGAAGATGCTGTGGACATTGTTGAAATGACAACAAAGGATTTAGAATATTACATGAACTTAGATGATAAATTGGCAGCACAGTTTAAGAGAACTGACTCTAATTCTGAAAAAAGTTCTACTGTGGGTAAAACGCTATGAAACAGCACAGCTTGCTACAGAGAAATCTTTCATGAAAGGAAGAGCCAACAGATGGAGCAGACTTCATCGTTGTCTTAAGAAATTGCCACAGCCACCCCAACCTTCAGCAAACACCACCCTAATCAGTCAGCAGCCAGCAAAAGGAGGCAAGACCCTCCATCCACCAGCAAAAAGATAACTTGCTGAAGGCTCAGATGATGGTTAGCAGCTTTTAACAACAAAGCATTTTTAATTAAAGTATGTGCATTGTTCAGATACAATACTATTGCACACTTATTAGGCTGCAGTATAGTATAAACAGAACTTTAATATGCACTGGGAAACCAAAAGATTTGTATGACTTGCTTTACTGGAGTGGTTTGGAACCAAACCCTTAATATCTCCAAGGGATGCCAATATTCAGCTGAAATACTAAAGAGGTAAATGGCTGACCTTGGAGAAGGTAAAAGCAGTATCAGAATTCCTACTACATCTTCTCCTGATTCCAATTTCTCTACAGCTACACAAGACTCAGACCAAACCCAACCACTTCCTTTAGGGACACTAAGGGGAAAAAAAGACAAAGGAAGGAGTAATTTGTAAACGAGATTCTTGGCGCTAGAAAATAGGAAAACTGAGATATCTTAGTAATATTAAAGAGACCACGGGAAAATAATTACTATGGTGATGACATAATTCTTGATATAATAAAGTTGTATTTTAACCTACTGTGAACATTTCTATACTGTAGCATGTGTGGGTAACAAACTGTTCTCATTTCTTTATACAGGATTCTGAACCTTAATCTCCAAGGGACCAATGACCTTGGGAATACTGAGGCAATTTTGTAGAATTAAAAAAAAATTTTTTTTTGCCATGTTGCTGTAGCATGCGTGTTGTTAGTAATGAGATAAATAACGAAAATTAATGGGTAACACTTACTGGGCACTCACTATGTGTCAGGCACTGTACTACTTAGCAATATCCAAATTGTCTCATTTAATCCTTTATTTTTAAGAAAGATGGTAAAGCAGAAATTTTTTTAAAGATGGTTGGGCAGAGATAGACACTATTATACAATCTCTATTTTAAAGATGAAGACCTGAGGCTTAAAGAGGTTAATTAATGGACCCAAGGTCACATAGCTAGCAAGTAGCAGAGCTGAGATTCCAATGCAGGCCATCTGACCCAGAGTTCATGTTCATGCACTAAGCTAAACATTAAGGGATGCCTAACAGGCTTTGAAGTATTTTCTCCCACAGTGCTGACAAGCTATTGTGAACCATCCACATTCTCCAATGAAGTCATTTTTATATACGAAAACTTCTCTAATTGGTTAAACCTTATAAATTCAATCCCTCAATTTAAACAATGACAACTACTGAGAGACTGCAGAAAGACATGGCTGTCTTCACCAAATTCACCTTCAAAATTAGCAAGGCAACTTAGTAAGAAGACCTGTCTCCAAGGAAGCTGAACTAGGTAGGACTGAAGTCTATGACTGAAGAACAGTGTTCTCTGTTGGCCTCTGTTGGATCTCACCATGCCAATATGAGATCCACAATGATAAAAGTAAGACCACCCAGGAGGCTACTTATTTGACAGTCTTCCCTTTTTTTTTTTTGAGACAGGATCTAGCTCTGTCATCCAGGCTGGAGTGCAGTGGTGTGATCACCGCTCATTGCAACATCAATCTCCTGGTCTCAAGCAATCCTCCCACTTCAGCATCCCCAGTAGCTGGGATTATAAGCGCGCACCTCCAAACCCAGCAAATTTTTTTTTTTTTGAGACGATGTCTCACTGTGTTGCCCAGGCTGGTCTCAAACTCCTGAGCTCAAGAGATCCTCCCACCTCAGCCTCCCAAAGTGCTGGGATTACAGGTGTGAAGCACTACACCCTGTCAACAAAGTTTTAAGAGTCTAAACTAAGGTGGTGGCGGTTGGAACAGAAAGGAAGGGATGGAGAGAAGACTCCTGAAGGTGCAGCGCTCCCTCCATAAAGCCTTTTCCAACTTCCCAGCAGTAGAGCTGCTTGTGTCTTTGTGCCACCACATCTTGTTCATGGCACCATAACAGCCCTGACAGCACTGACACTCTATACTTGGATTTCAAATCTGGGGTATACCCCATTAGACTGCAAGCTCCAGGAGAGCAAAAACTGTGAGTTAATCATTTTCATATCCTAACACCTTCTTTACTCTGAGAGAGAGGCAGGCTCTGTGCTCATGAGCCTGTACCAACCATGAAGAAAAGAACCATGGCCGGGCACGGTGGCTCATGCCTGTAATCCCAGCACTTTGGGAGGTCGAGACAGGTGGATCACCTGAGGTCAGGAGTTCGAGACCAACCTGACCAACACGGAGAAACCCCGTTTCTACTAAAAATACAAAATTAGCCAGGCGTGGTGGCACATGCCTGTAATCCCGGCGACTCAGGAGGCTGAGGCAGGAGAGTCGCTTGAACCCAGGAGGCAGAGGTTGCAGTGAGCCGAGATCATGCCATTGCACTGGGCAACAAGAGCAAAACTCTGTCTCAAAAAAAAAAAAAAAAGTAAAGAACCTTGTCTTTCATCTTTGAGCCGTTTCATCTTTGAGAAATAGTTCCAAGGCTCCTTTCAAGTCTGCTGAACATCAACACCCCTGACTGAAATGCAAAGCTGGCCATGGGGATAGGCAGGGGAGGAAGCAGAGAATTATGTGATATCTGAACATCTGGCCAGAATGTTCAGTACACACACGAAACATTAATCAGGGACGGTGAACTAAGAGCTGTCTGCAAAAAGATGCTGAAAGGAAAAGAATGAATGAGTTCTTCTAAAATGATGAAGAAGAGAGTTACAGAGTCAAATTCTAGTGAAGATTCCAGAATAATGAGGCCCAAGAAAATCTTTGGCAAAAGACAGCACTGACAAGTTCAAGAATGTAGGTTTTGGACATTCTACAAAATAGCTGACCAGTACTCTTCAACATGAAAGATAACGGAAGACTAAGGAAATATGACAAACATTATGTGGGATCCTGGATAGAAACCTGGAACAGAAAAATGACCAGACATCTCTGATGGCATGTGAATTAAGTGTGCAGTTTAGTTACTAGTATTACACGAATGTTAATTCCCTAGTTTTGATCTTTACATAATGGTTATATGAGATGTTAGCTTTAGGGGAAGCTGGATGAGGAATATACGGAAACTCTACTATTTTTATAATTTTTTCTAAGTTTAAAATTCAAAATAAAAAGTTAAAAAGCAAAGAATATAGGTTTTGTAGCAAGAGTGGCAAGATATGATAATAAAGAAGAGGAAAATGATTAAGCAACTGAAGTATCAGTTGTGAACCCAATTTTCTTGAAGTCTGACATGAAAGCACAGAGATGTAGGCCAACAAGCTAACAAGATAGTAGAACAAGAGCTTTCCAGAAGGGGAAACAACCAGGGCATATACAAAGGCATGTCCCAGTTCATTCAATCATTAAACAACCATGTATTAGACATTAACTACAGTTGAGATGCTCTGCTAGGTGCTGGTCCTTGCCTCTAAGTCTACAGTTTAGTAAAAAGTGTGTGTAAGGAGGCATATAAATAGAATGTGTTTTGTAAGTGTGAGAAGAATGGGCCAGAAGAAAGAGATGATGAGAAGAACGCAGAGGGAGGAAGTGAACTTAAGGAAAAAAATCACTCATGAGATGAAAGAGAAAAACAGTCTGAAATGTTATCAATGAGAATAGCTCTGTATCTGTTCTGGTCCTCCTTATCTGTTAGAGTCACACTTCCAACAAAAAGTAACTTCAAAATGTACTAAACTGACATGCAAAAAGAGCCTATATAAAATGACTTCATGATTAGAATCATATTCTTAGGGCTACTGGGATGAGGCCTTCACAGAATGAAGGATGTATCTGAGCACCAGTTTTCAGATTTTCAGTAATGTTTCTTATACACACAACAACAACAACCAAAAAACCCATATAACAGAAAAACTCAATTACGAAATTACAATGACTACCTTATGAGGCACATAATAATACAAATGATAAACTCACACAAGAAGAAAATAATGCTTAATAAAGCAACCTTGAACTAGTATTTAATATACCTAGTAGATTAGTGGAAAAAATAAATTATGAACTAGTACTATCAAGATTGTAATAAAACTGGGGCCAGCCACAGTGGCTCACGCTTGTAATCCCAGCACTTTAGGAGACTGAGGCAGGAGGATAGCTCAAGTCCAAGAGTTCAAGACCAGCCTGGACAACACAGGGAGGCCCTGATTCTATTTTTTAAAAAAAGGTTGTAATAAAATTGGAACACACACAAACAGTATACTGTTAGCACTGTAAAACAACCAATGATTCATTCCACGTGCGTACGATGTATTACGCCACACATCTGCAGCTGAGATGAGCGTACAATGTATTACGCCACACATCTGCAGCTGAGATGAGCGTACGATGTATTACGCCACACATCTGCAGCTGAGATGAGCGTACGATGTATTACGCCACACATCTGCAGCTGAGATGAGCGTACGATGTATTACGCCACACATCTGCAGCTGAGATGACCCCCATCGTCTCCGACCACTCCCTGCTTTTTACCCATTGCTGCATTTACCCTATGCTTTGAACATTTCACTACCCTGCTTTTGCTCTTAATAATGCCAGTCAAGAATCACTGTCCCCAGTGTCCTTTACCACCCACAGAATCCCTACCCATTCATCAAGGCTAGGATTCCAGTGTCATCTCCCTTTTCTTCAATGACCAAACCAAATCCATCCCCATCGATATATCCCCTTTCCATATCCAACCGTTCCTTCCATTGTGCTCCCATAATACTTTTATTCATAGAGTTAGTTTTCTAAATGTCTGTCTTGCTCCTTACATTATGAATTCTTCTTTAATGTCCATGGTCCATGTCATAATAATTTTAGTGCATGCAATACTTGGCACAGGAGATGGCACATGGTAAATACTAATGACAGATGGGAAGGAAAAAAATGCTACATGAACAAAGCACTTCACTACAATGTTATCTCCAAGAACAAAAACCGGAAAACCACCTAAACATCCAATTGTAGAAGAACAATTTAGGGAAAATGGTCTATCACTCAAGCAAAAAGTATGCAAATATTAAAAATAACATGAAGGAGATGTAGAAACACAGAAAATATTCCTGGCAATGTTAAATTAAAAACATAGAACATAAAGTAGTATATATGCAATGGTTCTAGCCTCACAAAATACGTAAGGACTGTGGGAACAGAAAAATATTGATTGAATTAGGATAATAGTTTTCCTCTTCTCAAGCATTTTCTTTAATACTATTTCTATCACTTTATTATCATTTAAAATTTTATTTCAAAAGAAAAAACTAGGAGGGGGAAAGGAGCAAGTTTAGATATTTCTGTAAGCTCCTGCAATCCAAGAGATATGCTAAGATATTACTGATAGAGGACAAGAGGAGTGGGTGTCTGCAATATCACCAAAACCAAGGGTCCCTTAGCCTCAAATTTGCCTCAAAAAGAATACATCTCATGTCACAAGCCATACTAAATGTGAATTCTTTATTGGAAAACTTCAGAGGTAAGAACTTTTTCCAGACATCTGTGGAATCAGATTTAATGAGAGTGCCCTGGAGTTCATATATGCGCCTATGCCAGCAGAAACTTCTCAGCCAAGGCACTGCTGGGCACACTTCTTGATGAGATGTCTAAGCCTGAAGGCATCAAAAAAGTACATTTCCATATTGGGAACATAACTGGTTCCCTCTTGAAGACTTTTTCCACCACCTCCTGCCCATATTGTAATTCTCCTGTCTTCTCAAATGAATAGTTAACATATGTCAAGGATATACGGCATATACTGAGGCGCTTAGTGCCTATCTCTATTACTTGTAGAAGAACCAATCTCAGCAGAAAATTGGAATCTTCCCACCAAGTCGCCCCAAAAATGAAATGTAGTAAGCACCCAAAAAATGTTAAATACTTTTAATAAACATTTCTTGACACTGCATGATATTTTTCCTGGCTTAGTCTCTGAATTTTAGAAACGGCATCCATCTTAGTCTCTGAATTTTGGAAATGAAAAGAACCAGAAGTCATATCGCTCAGTCTCCTCATTTTACAAGCGATTGAAAAAAAATGATGTATAGAAAGGGAAAGTGACTTGTCCTGAGTCACCCAGATAAGTAATGATAAAAGTGGGATTAAAACCCAAATCTCCCAGATTCTCAGCCCCACTCAGTCTACCACATGAAGCGTTTTTATCCCTTGAAATCTCTGGAGCCCCGGTCTAAATAATTAGTACCACAGAATTTTAAAGCTAGAAGGGGCCTCAGAGAGAGTCGCGTACTTAATCCCCTCATTAGGCATATGAGGAAACTGAGGCCCAGGAAGATTAAGTGATTTGCTCTCAATATCTTGAATGGCAGGGAAAAAGTACAACTTAAGCTCAAAAATCTGCAAACCAATGCCCACAAGAGAGGAAGAGAATGTCTCAGCTGGGGAAAATTTTTCAAGGAAGGGAGATCATTTTAGACCAGGGGATCACAAAGTACAGCATCAGCATCACCTGGGATCTGGTTAGAAATGCAGAATCTAAAGTCCCACAGGAGACTGAATCAAACTCTAGGGATGGGGATGTTCAAATCAGACAATTTTGTTCCCTTATGTCCCTGAGAAGCAAACTTCAGTGGTCGTACTGAGTCTACTTTGTAAATGATAACTATAACCAAAGGCTCATAAGATGTATGTATTATTCAACATGTGGACTATACTTCAACTTTAAAAAGTTTTCAAATCTGAAAACAAAATGGAAAACTACCTCTGAGTGTTCAGCTGGTTTCAGTTCTGGCCCTGCTCCTTACTGGTTGTCTGGCTTTCGGCAGGCAGCTTGACCTCCCTAGGTTGAGTTTCCTTTCCTATAATACAGGCATGCTGCCAACCTCAGAAGGCATGTTGAGAATTAAATGTGATAACTTGTCTGAAAACACTTTGGTTCTGCATCTGGCATATAGCAGGCAGGCAGTATGGCACAGTGGTTAGGAGCTCCAACTATGAAGTAAGACTACCCGGGTACCCTGGACTTGCCTCTACCTAGCTAGATGCCTTAAGGTAGGTGCTCTTTTCTGTACCTCAGTTTCCTTATCTGTACAACAGGGATTAACAACAGTACCTTCCTCATAGGGTTGTTATGAGGATTTAGATAGATCATGCTGGTTAGTAAAGCATCTTTCATGTCTATAAAATGTTACTGTTTTCAAGGAGTTTTTTTGTTTGTTTGTTTTTTGTTTTTGAGACAGGGTCTTGCTCTGTCACCCAGGCTAGAGCACAGTGGCATGATCTTGGCTCAGTGTAACTTCTGCTTCCCAGGCTCAAGTAATCCTCCCTCCTCAGCCTCCTAAGTAGCTGGGACCACAGACACACACCACCATGCCCAGCTGATTTTTAAACTTTTTGTAGAGACAGGTTTTCACCATGTTGCCCAGGCTGGTCTGGAACTCCTGGACTCAAGAGATCCGCCTGCCTTGGCCTCCCAAAGTGCTGGGATTACAGGGGTGAACAACCACGCTTGGCCTCAAAGAACTTTTGCATCCATAAACTCATGACTTTCTGCAAGAGGATGGGTGCAACTGATTATGAACTACATTCCAGCCTTTACCATCTTTTAGGAACAGGAAGAGTGGACATGGATCTTACAAAAAGAAAACTGAATGAACAGAACACATGGGGAATGTACAGAGTTGGAAATAAGGAGACCAGGATTCTGAGATAAGGGCCAGGTGGTGTAAGGAAGCCAGGGCCTGAATAAGGTCCTGAGGTGGATTTTGGGACTGGTGCTGCTTTCCAAGCCTTAGACCATGATTCTGAATTTGGGTTCTGAAACTTAGCCTTGAATTGAGGATATTTCGCTGAGCAAAGGCCTAGAGCTGGTTTTTGGTGCCTAACGGGTGGGCCTCTCACCTCTCGAATGGTTCTAGCCGGCCAATTAACCAAAGTGGGGAACCTGCGATGGGGAAGGAGATGCTCCTGGCTGGCCAGCTGGACATGAGCATGCCCGCCCTAGGCTGGCGAGATCAAAGTGCTCTCCAGTAGCAGACTTAGGAGGTTTCAGCCCTGTTACTGGTTCAGTTCAGTGTTGTCAACCTGAATTAAATGAGTTCTAGTATTGTAGTTCCTTATTGTGCAACCAACATATTTGCATTTTAAAACTCTTAGATTGAACCCTCAGATACAATAGAAAATGTAAAGGCCAAGATCCAGGATAAGGAAGGCAAGTAATATTTTGCAGTTCAGGAAAATTAGCCTGTGGCAACCCCAATCTACCTGTAGGCGCTAGGCATATTTGCTCTTGGTGAGGGGGAAAGGGGTCAGATTGACAAAATGAAATACTTTTGGAATAACACAATAAACAAATGTTTATGATCACGAAGCAAAGCTACCTAGATTGGAATCCTTGAGGTACATTTCACTTGTGTGAATCTGGACACGTTTTTTATTCTCTATACCTATTCCCTCATCTTTAAAATGAAGGTTCCTATATTAACATATTAAGTACTGCCATTAAGATTAAATGTGGTAAGATGTGTAAACATTAAAAAATAATAATAAGGAGACCAGGATTCTAGTTTCAACTCTGGCCACCATCTTGGCCCACAACCTCAGGTGAGTCCCTTTATCAGACTAAGGTTCACTTTCATCCATGAACAAGTGGGTTGAATGAAGGTATCTACCGTATCTCTCAAAGTCAAGGTCTTTATCGTGGCCCACAAGGAAGGCCTACATAGTCTTGTCACATGCCTACATCTTCAGCTTTGTCACTTACCATTCCCCTGCTCACTTCCCGTTTCAGCTACATAGATCCTCTTTCTGGTCCCCTATGAGGCTGCACCAGCTTCTACCAATAGCCTATGTCCATACTTGCTGTTCTTGCTGCCTCCATCATTCTGCTCCCTTCACATGACTGGGTCCCTCTCAACCTTCAGTCCTTTAATGCCCATTCCTCTGTGTCCTTCCTCGACCACATTACATAAAGTAAAAGGTCCTGTCCCCAACTCCCAGGGGTTATTTTCGACAGGAGTGTTGTCCAATAAAAATACAACAAAAGCCACAAACAAAACACCTAACTTTACATTTTCTTTCTTTTTTTTTTTCTTTGAGAGAGAGTTTCGCTCTTGTTGCCCAGGCTGGAGTGCAATGGGATGATCTCAGCTCACTGCAACCTCTACCTCCCAGGTTCAAGCAATTCTCCTGCCTCAGCCTCCCAAGTAGCTGGGATTACAGGCATGCACCACCACGCCCGGCTAATTTTTTATATTTTTAGTAGAGACATGGTTTCTTCATGTTGGTCAGGCTGGTCTCAAACTCCCAACCTCAGGTGACCCACCCGCCTCAGCCTTCCAAAGTGCTGGGATTACAGGCATGAGCTACCACACCCGGCCCACTTTACATTTTCTAGTAGCCACATTTTAAAAGTTTTTTAAAAAGCAACATTAATTTTAATAATATATTTTCTTTAATCCAATATATCGTAAGTGTTATCATTTATTCAACATGTAATCAGCATAAAAGTTAAGGTACTGTACATTATTTTCACGTGGCCAGGGGCAGTGGCTCACGCCTGTAATCACAGCACTTTGGGAGGCCAAGGCTGGCAGATCACCTGAGGTTGGGAGTCAAGACCAGCCTGACCAACATGGAGAAACCCCATCTCTACTAAAAATACAAAAATTAGCCAGGCGTGGTGGCGCATGCCCGTAATCCCAGCTACTCAGGAGGCTGAGGCAGGAGAATCGCTTGAACCCAAGAGGCAGAGGTTGCAGTCAGCTGAGATCTCACCATTGCACTCCAGCCTGGGCAACAAGAGTGAAACTCCATCTCAAAAAAAAAAAAAAAAAAAAAAAAAGATATTGTACATTATTTTCATACTAAATCTTTGAAATCCAGTGTGTATTTTGCACATGTAGCAGATCTAAATTCGAAACTAGTCACATTTTAAGTATTCAATAATCACATGTGCCTAGTGGCTACTATACAAAGCAGTGCAATTTTATAGCATACTCTGCTATATTCCCTTCCCAGCACTTACCACAAACTGAATGCATTGTTTACTTATTATCTTGTAACTTCCCACCAGATGCTCCACAAAAGCAAGAATCTTGTCTTTTATTCAGTGTTGTATACCCAGTGGATAGACTGCCTTGCACACAGTAGGTGTTCAATATATATTTGTTGAGCAAATGAATGAAACTCTTCTAGCTTTAATGGGCTAGCCATTCTAGAAATTCCAAGCCGGCATACAATCACTGATTTAATAACTTGCCTATTTCCCTTCATCTTTCACTATCAATTAAACTGTCTTTAAAAGAAAAATCTCTTGGCTATATAGCTCCCCATTGCTGAACTGTTCTTTCCCATGATGTCTTAAGCGTCCAGGGTCAATTTCTTGTACTTTGGCTGAGGGAGTGGTATGAAAATAACTGCTAATATTTACTGAATGTTTACTCTTTGGCAAGCATTGTCTAAGGACTTTCCATTTCTCAACAGCTTCACAACAGCCCTGTGAGGCAGCTACCGTCACTGTCCCCCATTTACAGATGAAGAAACCAAGGCAGAGAGAAATTAAGTATTTTGTTCAAGGTTACAGCAGCCAGTTAGTAGCAAAACAGAGACTGCCAGCAACCTAGGGGTCCAGACTCATGGCTCTTAATCACCTATTCTTGACTGCAGGGCTGTCTAACAAAAATATAAGCTGAACTATATATGTTGTTTTAAATTTTCTAGTAAACACATTAAAATGTCAAGAGGGGCAGTTAAAATTGGTTTTAAACATATTTTATTGGCTGAGTGTGGTGTGTGGTGGCTCATACCTGTAATCCCAGCACTTTGGGAGGCCAAGTGGGAAGACTGCTTGAGGCTAGGAGTTTGAGACCATCTTGGGCAACATAGCAAGACCCTGTCTCTACAAAAAATTTAAAAATCAGCCAAGCATAGTGATGCCTGCCTGCAGTCCTAGCTACTTGGGAGGATACCTTAGACCTAGGAGTTTAAGGCTACTGTGAGCAATGATTGTGCCACTGCACTCCAGCATGGGCGACAGAGCAAGATCCTGTCTCTAAATAACAATAAAATAAAATTTTAAAAATTAATTAAGTATATTTTATTTCACCCATTATCCAAAATATGATCATTTAATCAATATGACCAATAACCAATGTAATTGATATAATCAGTACGATCATGTAATCAATATAAAAATTTCACTTTTTCCATACTAGTCTCCAACCCAAATGTGTCTTTATACTTACAGTATTTCTCAATTCAGACTAGTCACATTTCAAGCAATCAACAGCCTATGTGGCTAGTGGCTACGACATTCGGCAGTGCAGCTCTACTGCTCCTCGCAATGACCCTCCTATGGAATCAAAGTGGGGGAAAAACTTTGGGGTGGAAGTCAGTACGCCTGAGCTCAAATTCCAGCTCCTTGTTTCTGAGTGACTTTGGACAAGCCCTTTCTGCTCTCTAGGTCCCATACAGTTTCCCCACAAGTTTCCTAGGCAAGGGGGACCCTGAGCAAGATTCCTAGAAACTCATTCCATGCTAGAATTCCCAACATCTCCTGCAAATCGCAGTAAACACAAGCACAGCTTTCCACACTTTAAAACCAGCTTTCATACATATCAGTTGGTACAGTCCTCAAACAACCCTACTAAGGCAGTTATTAGTGTCTCCACTATATAGATACAAAAACTTGGTTCAAAGAGGGGGGGAATGACTTGTCCAAAAGCCACATAGCCAGTCAGTGGAGAAGCTGGAGATCAAATCCAAGTGAGACCAGTGCACTCCCACCGCCGCCACCACCATCACCTCAATGACTGGGGGGACATGAGAGCTGAGAGGACATGGTTGTGAAAAAAAGGATAGTCTGGGGTTTCAGAGGAGTTTCAGGGAACCAGGCCCCAGGGTGAGGAAGAGGAGGTGAAGGGCTCAGGTCTTGAGAAGGGATGAATCGAAAGGGCCCAGGAGGGCTTCGGAGAGCAAAGTAAAACGAGGGGCTGAGACCCCGGGTGGCATGAGAAGTTAGAGGGCCCGGGAGTGAGGCGAGAGGAGGTGAGATGAAAGGGCTCTGGCTCCTGCGACCCCTGCCCAGGTGAGAACGCGGTCGCTCGGCCCTCCCTGCCCCTCATACCTGGTAGCTCAGAAGTTCGCCCACGTCCATGGTACCCGGCCCAGCAAATACTCCACTTCCCTGCACTCACGCCCAGACCGCGGGCCCGTCAGCCGCGGCTCCAGCCACACTGCCGTAAAGTGCGGCGAGCGGAGCCGCAGAGCCAATAGGGCAAAAGTGCGAGCGACAAGCGAGCCGGCCACACCGCGGTAAAAGGACGCGCCGCCGTAAAGCGCGCTGCATTTGGAACAGGGTTGCTTCCGCCTGGAGCCTGAGGGGGCGGGGAAAGGGGGCGGAGACTTAGAGGAGGGGCGGGAGGGGAGAGCAGGGACCAGAAGAAACCAAACTTGATTGCGCGTCCCTAGTGTCCAGGGCGGAGTGCCGGGTGTTTCGTGTGCGCTCTCACGAGCTTCCAGTGATTTATCCTCATTTCACAGAAAAGGAAACTGACGCTCCCAACTGCACCATCCAATACTTTACTCACTAGCCACATATGGCTACCGAGCGCTTGAGATATGGCTACTCCGAAGTGAGATGTGCCATAAGTGTAAATAAAATACACACCAGATTTCTAAGACTTACATTGATTACAGGTTGAAATGATATTTTGGATATACTGGGTCAAATTCATATATTATAAAATGAATTTTACCTGTTTCTCTTTACTTCTTAAATGTGGTTAGTAGAAAGTTTTAAATTACACATGTGGCTCTCATTTGTGGTTCCCATTAATTTCTATCAGATAGTGCTGGCTCAAAAAGTGACTTGTTCCAAGGCTGTACAACTATTACTGGCTGAGAAACTATTGGTGATCACATGTCCCTCTCTAGGCTTGTGTCTGCTCATCTATGCGAAGTCTAACGGTCACTAGATGATCCCCTTGCTACCCAGGTGATATAAAAAGGTTTCTGGAGGAGAAAGTTGCCCATAATTGGAAGAGAATCATTCAGAGTGCATCTGATCTTAAACAAGATCAGAATGCACCTGGGACTTAAGGCTCCATCTTCAAAGGAAATTAAACCTCCTTCCATAAGCCCCTGTCCTTTATATTTATAATTATATTTATGTATTATATTATATTTATATGCCCTTCATATTTATAATTTTGGTCCCCATCCCATCTGCACTGGCTCCAATTATACAGAAATTATTCTTATTCCTCAGAATGACAAATCCTCTCCCCTTCTGCCTGGCCATCAGCACCATACCTCATCCAATTCTCTCATCTTTCGGGTCTCAAATGTCACTTTCTTACAAGGGCTTCTTCAACTCACCCTGGTCCAGGTAATCAACCTCTCTCCTCATTATTCTTTTTCCAAGTACCTGCTCCACTACGTATATATCTCATTCTGTAATTTTGTGCTTAATGGTTGACTATTTGTTTCTTGACAGCCTCATTTACTGGATTGCAAGCTCTATGCAAGCAGGACATGTGTGTGTCATGTTCACCACTGTATCCCCCAAGCCTAGTACAGTGCCTGGTAGAGGGAGAGGTTTCATAATGGGCCTTGTGTGCCATGGTAAAGAGATTAGATTTTGGCTAGGCGTGGCCGGGCGTGGTGGCTCACGCCTGTAAGCTCAGCACTTTAGGAGGCCAAGGCGGGCAGATCACTTGAAGTCAGGAGTTTGAGACCAGCCTGACCACCATGGTGAAACCTCGTCTCTACTAAAAATTACAAAAATTAGCTGGGCATGGTGGCACATGCCTCTACTTGGGAGGCTGAAGCAGGAGAATCGCTTGAACCCAGGAGGCAGAGGCTGTAGTGAGCTGAGATTCCACCACTGCACTCCAGCCTGGGTGACAGAGCAAGACTCTGTCTCAAAAAAAAAAAAAAAAAAAAGAGAGAGAGATTGGATTTTATGCTAACGGCATAAGGAAAGTTTTAAGCAAGGTAGTTTTGTGACTGGGCTTATGTTTTTAAAGGATCACCTATGCAATCTGCATTGAATTCAGTCTATTTGGGTGTCTTTCCCCCTCCTACTTATATAAGAATATGGACTGTGCCCGGCCGGGTGTGGTAGCTCACGCCTGTAATCCCAGCACTTTGGGAGGCCGAGGAGGGCAGATCACGAGGTCAGGAGATTGAGATCTTCCTGGCCCACATGGTGAAAACCCATCTCTACTAAAATACAAAAAATTAGCCAGGTGTGGTGGCACGTGCCTGTAGTCCCAGCTACTTGGGAGGCTGAGGCAGGGGAATCGCTTGAACCAGGGAGGTGGAGATTGTAGTGAGCCAAGATGGCACCACTGCACTCCAGCCTGGCGACAGAGCAAGACTACGTCTCAAAAAAAAAAAAAAAAAATAGAATATAGACTGTGCCTTGTTTGGGAAGACAGGAGAGAGTAATGGTGAGGGTGTACCCTTTGGACCCAGACCCCTGTGTTCTAGTTCATGGTATGTTGATGCCAGCTTGCACAGACAGGTCTACAAAAGCCCATGGTTAAATTTGTAGGAAACTTGCAAGCTGATTGACACCAGGTTGATAGCTTGAAATCAGCCATGCTAGGAGTATTTGTACAATGTAAATCAGCAAATGCTACAAATCAGGGTTGTTAATGTTGTTGTTTTTCCAGAGAGCTACTTGTAGGGTTTTTTTGTTTCTTTGTTTGCTTTTGAGACAAGCTCGGGCTCTATCACCCAGGCTGGAGTGCAGTGGCGGGATCTCAGCTCACTGCAACCTCCCCCTCCCGGGCTGAAGCCCACCTCAGCCTCCCAAATAGCTAGGACTACAGGCGTGCGCCACCATGCCTGGCTTATTTTGTTGTTGTTGTTGTTGTTGCTGTTGTTGTAGAAATAGAGTTTCACCATGCTGCCCAGGCTGGTCTCAAACTCATGAGCTCAAGCAATCCCCCCGCCTTGGCCTCACAAAGTGCTGGGATTACAGGCATGAGCCACTGCACCCAGCCGAGCCAGTTGTTAAACATCTACCCAACACACCCTGATTCTGGTTCTAGTGGAAGTTCCACCATATCTAGCCATGGGTCCTTGGGTAAGTTACTTTCTCTGTCCCTAAATTACACTTTCCTTATCTGTAACATGACTCATTCATTCATTCATTCATTCAACAAGTATTTACTGAGAGCCTACTCAATGCTAGGCACAATTCTGGGCTCTGAGGATATGGAAGTTTATAAAACAAAGCTCCTGCCTTCTGGAAACCTACATTCTAGTTTGGGTGAAAACCTCATGGAGAAAATGTTGATATGAGTCTTATTTTACAGATGTGGAAACAGTGGCAATGAACTTCACCTCTACATGCCTGATTTTCTCACCTGCAAAGTGGAGATTCAACCAAATCTACCTCATAAGGTTATGGAGGGTTTACATGAAATGCTGTATGCAAAGCACTTGGCACAGTGCCTGGCACAGAAAAGTGCTGTGTGTCTTATATTAATATTGTAAGGAGTTGGCAGCTGGGCACGGTGGCTCATGTCTGTAATCCCAGAGCTTTGGGAGACCAAGGCGGATCCCTTGAGCCCAGGAGTTCGAGACCAGCCTGGGCAACATAGTGAGACCCTGTCTCTACAAAAAAATAGAAAAAAAATTTAGCCAGATGTGGTGGCACGTGCCTGTAGTCTCGGCTACTCAGGAGGCTGAGGCTGGAGAATCACTTGAGCCCAGGAGGCAGAGGTTGCAGTGAGCCAGGATTGTGCCACTGCATCCTGGGTGACAGAGCAAGACCTTGTCTCTCAAAAAAAAAAAAAAAAAAAAGAAAGAAAAAGGAGTTGAGTGGGATAGGGGCAAGGGAGAGGGCAGGAAGAATGAGAGAATTCCTTATAACCTTTCCTTTTTAGGCAATCAGTCTTGTCTGTTTTTGTAGAGACCAGTTCTAAAACACAGAATTATAAGGCAAAATCCTATAAGAACCAGGTTTGGTGAGCACCCTGAACTGGGGCTAATGTGCTCTGCTAGAGGTTTCCCTGAGAACGTAACATCTGGACAGGGGTTTAAAGGGAAAGAAGAGTTTACCAAGAAGATACAGTGGGAGAATGGTGACCCAGGCAGAGGGAACAGCATGAGCAAAGACAAGGCAATTGGACCCTTCCTTGTGGACAGAGCTTCAAATGTGTGGAAGAAAAGGTGGAGAGGCTGGCTGGAGAAGATCACGAAGAGGGTTAACAGATTTAGCAAATAAAAATACAGGACACCCAGTTAAATCTGAATTTCAGACAAATAATGAATTTTTTATAAATTTGTCTCATGCAATATTTAATAACATACTAAAAATGTTTTCTGTCTGAAATTCAGAATTAAATGGGCATTATTTATTTTATCTGGCAACCCTAATCTTGGAGAAACTTGAATGCCAGATTAAGATATTTTCATTTTATCTTGATGAGAGGGTCCATTAATAATTCTTTGGGAACCCCCAGGAATGAGACTTGGGGCGCTCACCCTTCAGGTCTCAGCTTAATTGCACACATCAGAGGAATCTTTCCTGACCACAAGATTTAAGACAGTTCCTCCCCTTCAAGATTCTCTATCAGCATTCCTGACCATTATTATCTTCAGAACACTTATTGTTTTTGTTTTTATATTTGTTTGCTTTTTACCCATTTGTGGACTGCTTTCCCTTCCAGATTCTAAGCTCCAGAAGAGCAAAGATTGCTGTATCATTTACCACAGTAAACTCAGAACCTAACACAGTACCTGGCACTTAATTGTTACTCACTAAATAGTTGTTGATTTAATAAATGAACCAACTAATCTACTGATTGATTGATTCATTAATTCCTGGTCATAACAATCTCAAATACCTTCAAATTCTCACCCAAAGGCCAGGTGTGATGCCTCCTACCTATATAATCCCAGCACTGTGGGAGACCAAGACAGGAGGATCCCTTGAGGCCAGGAGTTTGAAACCAGCCTGAGAAACAAAGTAAGACCCTGCCTCTACAAAATAAAAATAAAAATATTAGCTGGGTATGGTGGCATGTGCCTGGAATCCCAGCTACTCAGGAGGCTGAGGTGGGAGGATCACTTGAGCCAATGATGTTGGGGCTGCAGTAAGCCAAGATCACACCACTGCACTCCAGCCTGGGCAACAGAGCAAGATCCTGTCTCAGAAAAAAATTTTTTTTTTACTTCTCACCCAAAATCCTAACAATGTGACTATTTCAATTTTAAAGACAAAAAAAGGAATGCTCAGAAGAGCTATGTGCTATGCACCAAGCAGAATGAAATTGTGACGATAATGATTTCAGAGTGGCATCCAGGAGGGAGTTAGGAGAAGAGCACCATTCAAGAGACCAACTGCTGGGCTGTAACCTTTAAAAAAAATGTGGAAGAATTACCCCTTCCAGAAAGCTTTTAAATAGCCATGGGCTGCCTAGGTTCCTTAAACTTCACACTTTAGATGCTCCAAAGTGTAATCAGAGTCACCTTCTCCATTTTTCATTGCCCAGTAAATTATTTATTGGAAGAGCCTTTAAGAAAATATTCTCAAAAACACACTTATAAAATATATTTATCATCAATATTGAGCTCCTACCCTACAATCTTGGGTTGATTTGAAACATACGAGACTGCTGAAGAAATCCTGACTCTTCCAATCAGTACCTGAATGGGTGGGGAAGAGTTACAGAGTGGGCAATGGAAAGGGGAACCTGTTTTCTGGGGAGCAGAATGCAATTTCTGGGGCTCAGGAAGAGTCTGTTCCCTCTGCTTCTTATTCCCAACATCCAGGTCCATGGGTCCCCTGTACTGTCATATTTTTAAATAATTGTGAAAACTGAGATCTGGAGTTTAGCTCCTTGCCCACAGTCATAGTTAGTAACTGGCAAGACTCCAAACCAAGTCTGTCTGACTACGTGTTTCACAGTAGGGATTTGGGCTCAGTTAACCTTTCAAATAGTACTGACACTTATGATCCAGGCACAGGAGATTATTGACTGCTAACGAGTAATTATCTCTCCCAGCAGGCACAGGTCTCAATTAGACACAAGGAGAATTTATGTTCCTAGACAGACTGTGAGCCAAGTAAAAACTCGATAGTCATGGATATGCAACGAAAAGGAATTATTTGGTGTGGGAGGGAAAAAGAGTCTGAGGTATGATAAAGGAATTGTGATTGTGTTAAGAGTCCTCATCTTTTTAAGATACATACTAAAATTTATGTATGAAATAATGTGATGACTAGAATTTGTTTCAAAACTGTCAGAGGTGGGAGAGGTATGGATTTGAGTGGAAGTATAGATGAAAGAATTATTGGTGAGTTGTAATTGCTGAAGGTGGGTGACAGATACATTGGAGCTCATTTTACTATTCTTCTGGAAATAGGATGGCAGCAGCAATTCCAAGAACAACAACAGCAAGAAGAATAAGAGAGATCATCTTTTCCTGGGGCTCTCTCTTAGAAAGAAGGGAAAAGGAATGCTGGTAAGGACCAACTATGTCCATTGCACAAAGAAAGTATTCCATGGCCAAGAATGTTGAGCTGTAGAGCAGCCTGGGAAGCATGACAAAACCCCATCTCTACAAAAAATACCAAAATTAGCCAGACGTGGTGGTGCCTACCTGTAGTCTCAGCTACTTGAGAGGCTGAGTAGGAGAGGTGGAGGCTGCAGTGAGCTGTGATTGTACCACTGCACTACAGCCTGGGCGATGGAGACCCTATCTCAAAAAAAAAAAAAAAAAATGTTAGGCTGTCAACCCCGAGAAAGCCAATTTTGAAAAAGAAATTTAAAAAAAAGATGTTGAGCTGGAAAAACCATGAAACCAGACTCACAATGACTCATAAGAATCAAACAAATTTCATAAACCCTAATTCTGAGAAGTGCCAGTCATCAATGCCCCATACCAATGACCCTCATGAGTCAGACCTTTCAGAGATGCTTTAGTATGAAAGGATAGGGAGAACTATTTGTGCTATTACCATTTGGGGTCAGTCAAAGGACATTGGTCAAGACCACTTTTGGCTTGGGAAGTAAGCAGATTCCTTAGCTAGTGAGCTGAATCGGCTGTTTATTACACAGCCTTGGCACTAAGTATGTGTATTAGTTATCTATTGCTGTGTAACAAGTTATCCCAAAATTTAGTGGCTTAAAATAACTAAGAACATGTATTATGTTACAAAATTTTGGTGAATCAGGAATTTAGAAGCAGCTTAGCAGGATAGTTCTGGCTTAGGGTCTCTCATAAAGTTGTAGTCACGATGTCATTCACTTCCAGGATGGCTCATTCACATGGCAAGTAAGTTGTACTGGTTGTTGGCTGGAGACCTCAATTCCTTGATGCATAGGTCTCCTTACCAGGCTGGCTGAGTGTTCTCATGTGGTGGCTGACTTCCTCCAGAGCAGGTGATCCAAGAGAGAACAGGACAGAAGTCAGTGTCTTTTGTGATCTAGCCTCAGAATTCACAGTCCATCATTTCTATGATATCCTATGGAGTGTTCATTACACTCAATGAACTCAGGCCTGTTCATTATGGGAGGGAACCACACAGGGCATGAATACCAGGAGGTGAGATTCACTGGGACCATCCTGGAAGTGGAGGCTTCAACTCCAGTCAAGCCTTCAGGTGACTGCAACCTCATGAGACATACGAAACCAGAATCACCCATCTAAGCCGTCCCTAAATCCCTAATCCACAGAAACGGTGAGATAATAAATGCTTTTTGTTGTTTTTAACCTCCTATGTTTTTAGGCAATTCATTGTGCAGGAAGAGATATACAAAGTCCAAGCAGGTTAGGTACCAAAAAGTGACATTTCTGTCTTGGTAGCCGCTGTGACCTATTGATAAACAGAGCAATTGATAAACACCAATTAGATGCCCTGAATCATTCCCAGCAGCTATCAGTGAAATTAACACCAGCAACAATGAAAGCAAAGAATGTTCCTGCGCCTCAGATTGGGAAGAGGGGCAGCTGTTAAACTCACATCTTCTCATGGAGACTCATTATGCACATGAATATATGAGAAGCTCTGTGCAGTCTTGTAGGAAGAAAACTGTTTAACTGTTTCACCCAATGTTTTCCAAGTCCATTTGATAACAGAAGCCATTTTTCATCTAACACCTGTTAGCATCCTGTGGAACTAGTGTTATGAAAGACACATCTTAAGAAAAACCCATCTACCTCAACCTCAGAAGTTTCAGAAAATTGTGCATCTTTTCCTGTTCTTTCATTTTATTAAAAATAAACCTGACATTGAAAACATAGAAATCACAAGTTTTTGTTTAGAAAAAAATTAGCCAGGTGTGGTGGTGCACACATGTAGTCCCAGCTACTCGGGAGGCTGAGGTAGGAGGATGGCTTGAGCCTGAAAGTCAAGGTTACAGCTAGCAGTGCCACTGCACTCCAGCCTGGGCAACAGAGTGAGACCTTGTCTCTAAAGTAATTAATTAAATGCCTATGTATATATTTAAAAGATCTAAATTTTTCCAAGCCTGACATTCTGAGCACTTACATGATGCTACCTTGATGTTCATTAACTTTCTCTGACCCAAGAGCTTCCACATGCACCAGTAAAATAATCTCAGCCCAGCTGTCATGAACAACCGTGTTCTTTCTGCATGTGCTTAAGCTCATGTATACTCCTGTCTTATGTATACTCCTCTCCAGGGCCCTCTGCTCAGGCGCTGCGTTGGCATCTGCAGCCCCCATGTCACTTGAAAGGGGAGCCTCACCCTTGCCACTGCTGCCTTACCTAGGGCACTGCTCCCAGGCACTTCAGTAGCTGCAGGACCCTGAAGGGGCATGGCCTTCTGCTTGGGTGCCCCTAGCAGCAGAGTCATACTGTGCCCTGTAGAAACATGGGGTACAGGCAGCCATCCTCAGTGCTGAGTTACAGTTGTCTGGGCACCAAGGCAGTTCTGCTTCTATCCTGTTTCTCACCTCTTCTGTCCACAACATTTCACCCTAGGACTGTTAGATTTCATCCCTGAATCAGACCAGGCAGCAGATACTGTCTGGTCCTCTCAATTCCCAATTTACCCTCATATGCCTCAAAGGCACACACACAAGCCTCAAAGATTCTTTCTGTTCCCATCATTACCTTCTCCCTCTTCCTTCCCTTCCTCCTCCTCCTCTTCTTCCTCCTGTACTCCTTTTCCTTCTCTTCCTCTTCTTCATCATCCCCCATTACCTAGTGGGGGAGCATTAATCCATCAGACCCCAAGCCCTGCTCCAAGCCCTGCTGGGAACCCCTCTCCAAATCTTGAGTAAAGAAAATCAAAAGGCCGGGTGTGAAGGCTCATGCCTGTAATCCCAGCATTTTTGGAGGCTGAGGCAGGAGGATCGCTACCATCCTGGGCAATATGGCAAAACCCCGTCTCTACAAAAAAATACAAAAATTTTACCCCCTATCCAAATTTCACCTAAAGAAGTTAGTGGTGATGATCTCTGACTAGTGAAATATAGATGGCTTTTATTTTGTTCCTTTTTGCTTATTTGTATTTCCTCAATTTCTACCATGAACAAGTATTAGAGAAATAAATAATAAAAGAAATACATTAAATCTATACCTATAAAAGAGTAAATAATGAAAATAATTTTTGGCCAGATGTGGTAGTTTACGCCTGTAATCCCAATACTTTGGGAGGCCGAGGCGGGTGGATTGCTTGAGCCCAGCAGTTCCACACCAGGCTGGGCAACATGGCAAAACCCCGTCTCTACTAAAAATGGAAAAAATTAACCAGGCATCATGGCACGCACCAGTAGTCCCAGCTACTGGGGAGGCTAAGGTGGGAGGATCACCTGAGCCCAGGAAGTTGAGGCTGCAGTGAGCCGCGATCGCACCACTACACTCCAGCCTGACTGATGGGTGTGAGACCCTGCCTCAAGATAAATAAATAAATAAATAATGAAGTAGGAAAAAAATAATTTTTTTATCTCCATGGTATTTCTTAAAGTGATCTGTAATGCTTACACTTTGGGTTTCGTAAAATCACACACATCAGCCCCCACAGGATGCACATTTCCCCCCAACACATCTCTAATCATCTTATTTCTTTCTGCAAAAAAACAAGCACTGTTGATATTTTAGGAACAGGTTTTTATAGAGCTTGTTACATTTTATATTTATTTATATTTATGTTGTATGTTTTTATTTATACCACCACATTATTCCAGAAAGAATTTAAGATTGCTGACAAAGATACATAAAGCACAAAAAGGTGGCATAAATGAAAACAATATATAAGAAAAAGAAAAGCTGGTCAGGCTCAGTGCCTCACACCTGTAAGCACCTGGGAGGCCGAGGCAGTGGATCACCTGAGGCCAGGAGTTCAAGACCAGCCTGGCCAACATGGTGAAACCCCATCTCTACTAAAAATACAAAAATTAGCTGGGTGTGGTGGCGGGTGCCTATAGTCCCAGCTACTCAGGAGGCTGAGGCAGGAGAATCGCTTGAACCCGGGAGGCAGAGGTTGCAGCGAGCTGACATTGAGCCACTGCACTCCAGTCTGGATGACAGAGTGAGACACTATATCAAAAAAGAAAAAAAGGCTGGGCACGGTGGCTCAAGCTTGTAATCCCAGCACTTTGGGAGGCCGAGACGGGTGGAACACCTGAGGTCAGGAGTTCGAGACCAGCCTGGCCAACATGGCGAAACCCCATCTCTACTAAACATACAAAAATTAGCCGGGCGTGGTGGCATGCGCCTGTACTCAGGACGCTGAGGTGAGAGAATTGCTTGAACCTGGGAGGCAGAAGTTGCAGTGAGCCAAGATCACACCACTGCACTCCAGCCTGGGTGAAAGAGCGAAACTTCCTCTAAAACAAAACAAAACAAACACCCAAATAACTTGAGTCTTTACTCCAAAGAGCAGAGGGAAGCCATCAGCGGGCTTTAAGTCAAAGACTGTGTCTAATAGAAGAGATGCTGCCAGCGCCTCGTCGCCCACACCCCCGACCCTCACAATTAAGTGTGCACTGGGCAGACTTCCAATTGCCAGCACTGCGTCTTTTTTTTTTTTTTTTTTTTTTTTTTTTATTTTAAGACAGAGTCTTACTCTGTCACCCAGGCTGGAGTGTAGTGGCGCAATCTCGGCTCACTGCAACCTCTGCCTCCCTGGTTCAGGTGATTCTCCTGCCTTAGCCTCCCAAGGAGCTGGGATTACAGGCACCCACCACCACTCCCAGCTGATTTTTGTATTTTTAATAGAGACGGGGTTTCACCATGTTGGTCAGGCTGGTCTTGAACTCCTGACCTCAGGTGATCCACCTGCTTTGGCCTCCCAAAGTGTTGGGATTACAGGCGTGAGCCACTGTGCCCAGCCCACTGTGTCTCTTTACCTAAAGACTTTCTTTAACAACTCTGGAGCACACTCTTCCCGCCTGTGAAGCAGGTCAGAGGTGCCTGAGAATGAACACCCCTGCCCCCATAGGACCTAGTAGATAAATACCCTGCTCCCCAACTCCGCAGGCAGGAGAACTCCGAGGTGTTATTCATGGGCTCCCAGAGGTCTGGTGGAATCAAGCCCCCGTTATCCACAGTGTAACCTGCTCGATAACCCTTTTCCTGGCTGCCTACCCCTCCCTGTCTTCCTTTCCCACTCCCCTACTTCCAAGTGTTTCCTGGGATGGCCATGCAAATAAATTCTGTACATCCAATTCCTTATCTCAGGCTTTTAGGTGAACTCAAATAAGAGAGTCTGTAAGAAGAAGAATGAGTTTGCTGGCGCAGTGGCTCAAGCCTGTAATCCCAGCACTTTGGGAGGCCAAGGCGGGCACATCACCTGAGGTCAAGAGTTGAAGACCAGCCTGGCCAATATGGTGAAACCCTTTATCTCTACTAAATATACAAAAATTAGCTGGGTGTGGTGGCGCACGCTGTAATCCCAGCTACTTGGGAGGCTGAGGCAAGAGAACCACTTGAACCTGGGAGGCGGAGGTTGCAGTGAGCTGAGATCACGCCATTGCACTCCAGCCTGGGCATCAAGAGTCTGTCTCAAAAAAAAAAAAGAAGGAGGAGTTTGAGAGCAGCAGGGGAGGATGGGGTAGAATAACTGTCGAGGCAGGAAATGCTTGGGGACTTGGACTGAGTAACGTTGGACATAGAGGAAACGGCAGGTGAAATCAGTAGGACCAAGGGATGTAGCGGATGTGCAGGGAAAGGAAGAGGATGATGCGACAGCTGCCTCCTGGGCTTTTGTCCTCCCTAGAAGAGAGGGGAAGAAGAAGGGTCAATAATACATATGTTAATTTTTTTGTGCGTGTCACAGAACAGCTTGTAACCACCAGATTTTCTGGAACTCTCTTCTGTCTTCTCGCCCTGCCTTGACTCATCAGACTCTAGAACAACGTAGCTGCCATCATCTGGGGAAGCCTGCATTTTCTCCTGCAGGGCAGGATCCAATAACAGTGTTCTCATCCAATAAAGGAGGCTGGCGCACAGGGACAAAATATTGAATTAAAAACAATACCAGAGTCGCTGAGCTTGCGCCACCCCTGAACTGCCTGTGCATGCCTTTGCTCTGCAAATTGGTAATGGGAGCCCCAGGGAAATACTGTTCAGGAGAGGGGGTGGAAGACAGGTACACAGAGCAGGGAAGCAAAGTCAACTCTTAGCCACAGTTGGCTGAGCCAATGCCAGGGAGTACAGCATGAATTCAGCAACCAGAAATCCAACCCTGAGCTCTGGGCCCTGGCCTTGGTGCTGGCTCCGTGAATCTGCCTTCCAGAGGCAGGAGGATGCAACGGTTACACACACAGCTCTGAGCTCAGGCCTGAGATGCAGCCTGCTTCCACCACACTGGTTGACTCTGTGACCTTGACTAACTCCTTAGACACTCGAATCTTAATTAATTAATTAATTAATTATTTTATTATTTTATTTTTTTGAGATGGAGTCTCACTCTGTCACCCAGGCTGGAGTGCAGTGGCCTGATCTCAGCTCACTGCAAACTCTGCCTCCCAGGTTCAAGCAATTATCTGCCTCAGCCTCCCAAGTAGCTGGGATTACAGGTGCCTGCCACCATACCCGCCTAATTTTTTGTATTTATAGTAGAGGTGGGGTTTCACCATCTTGGCCATGCTGGCCTTGAACTCCTGAACTTGTGATCCACTTGCCTTGGCCTCCCAAAGTGCTGGGATTACAGGTGTGAGCCACCACGCCTGGCCTCAAATCTCAATTTTTTGTGGTTGTTCCACATGCTAGTGCTACTCTCAGCACTTATTTAATCCTAACATCCTCTCTATTTCCATTTTACAGATGATGGAGCCAAGGCTCAGAGGAGTTAAGTAACTTGTCTGGGTCACACAGCCAGGTGTAGTCAGATTTCGGACCAAGGCAATGTGACCGATACACATGCCCTCCGCTGTGGTCCAAATGTTTGTGTCCCCTGAAATTCATATGTTGAAACCTTATCCCCAGTGTGATGGTATTAAGAGGTGGGGGCCTTTAGGAGGCTTGACACCCTCTTTATTTCTTCTATCAGCCAGAATACTTTAGGCTGCAAAAATGAAACCACCAATCCAGCTGGTTAACAGTGAGAAAAATGTATCAACTCAAAGATTAAGTTCTGTGGTATGGTGGCTGTAGCAGTCATTCATTCAGAGGTTTAATGATGTCCTTCCTATCTTCCCACTGAGTCATCACCCATGTATTAGTTCCATCATGTAGTCACAAGACGGCTGCCACACTTCCAGGCATCGTGCATGCATGTGACCATGTCCTGCAAAAGAGGAGGGGCTTTCTCTTTCAGAAAACAAACCAAAAAAGCTGGGCACAATTGCTCATGCCTGTAATCCCAGCACTTCGGGAGGCTGAGGTAGGCAGATTGCTTCAGACTAGGATTTTGAGACCAGCCTGGGCAATATGACAAACCCCACCCCCCACAAAAAAAAATACAATAAATTTGCTGGGTGTGGAGGTGCACACCTTTAGTCCCAGCTACTCAGGAGGCTGAGGGGGGAGCATCACCTGCATCCGGGAGTTGAGGCTGCAGTGAACAGTGATTGTGCCTCTGCAGCACTGGGTGACAGAGTGAGATCCTGTTTAAAAAAAAAGAAAACAAACAAACAAAAAGTCTTTTCCAGAAGCCCCTGAGCAAACATTCCTCTTATTTCATTCAGCAGAATTGTTCTCATTCCTGTTTCCAAACCAGCCACTCACAAGGGAATTAGAACCTCATGAATGGCTTGGTAAAGCCCATGGCTCTTTGTAGAAGGATAGATTACCACCTCCCCCAAAATGGTGGCTCTATTAGAAAGGAGAGGCCAAGTGCAGTGGCTCATGCCTGTAATCCCAGCATTCTGAGAGGCTGAGGAGGGCAGATCGCCTGAGGACAAGAGTTCCAGACCAGCCTGGCCACATGGTGAAACCCCATCTCTACTAAAAATGCAAAGATTAGCCAGGTATGGTGGCAGGCGCCTGTAATCCCGGCTACTTGGGAGGCTGAGGCAGGAGAATTACTTGAGCCTAGGAGGCAGAGGTTGCAGTGAGCTGAGATTGCACCATTGCACTCCAGCGTGGGTGACAAGAGCAAAACTGTCACACTGTCACACACAGGAAAAAAAAAATAGAAAGGAGAAAGGGGACAGTGTCTGGTTTTGGGTAAGCAAACAAAAATGTATGCAAATCCTCTCTATTTCTCTTCTCACTCCCAAAACCCTCTCTTCCTAAATTGTTGCCTTATTTTTCTATCATTTAACATTTTACTCCCCCTTTCAGGACCAACTGAAATGTCACCTCTGACAGGCAGCCTTCCCTGACTTCCTCCTGTCGGATTAATTGCTGTCTTCACTGTGCTTCCAGGGAACATGGCACATGCTGCTACTTCTGTGGCTTTTCTTTTTTTTTTTTTTTTTTTTTTTTTTTTTTTTTTTTTTTTTTGAGATAGAGTTTCGCTCTTTTTGCCCAGGCTGGAGTGCAATGGTGTGATCTCGGCTCACTGCAACCTCCGCCTCCCGGGTTCAAGTGATTCTCCTGTCTCAGCCTCCCGAGTAGCTAGGATTACAGGTGTGCACCACCATGCCCGGCTAATTTTGTATTTTTAGTAGAGATGGGGTTTCACCATGTTGGCCAGGCTGGTCTCGAACTTCTGACCTCAGGTGATCTGCCCGCCTTGGCCTCCCAAAGTGCTCAGATTGCAGGCGTGAGCCACCATGCCCAGCCCTGTGGCCTTTTTATCACTTGATTGTGGAGAGAGGTCAGGCTTTAGAGCAACTGGACCCAGGTTCAACTCCCAGGTCTTTCACTTACTTCATGGGGCACTTGGATATGTCATTTCTCCTCTTCAAGCTTCGGTTTCCTCCTCTGTAAAAATGTATGTTCTTTTTAGGGCAGTTTGGAGAATCAAGGTAGACAGTGTGTCTGTGATTATTGTCAAGGGAGAGAGGGAAGCAAGAAGGAAGGAAAGAAATGATCAGACTGTCCCAGAAAAAAGTCAACTCTCAGCAAAAAAAAAAAAAAAAAAAGCAAAAGTCACTCCAAGGTGCTGACCAGACAGCCCCCTCACCCTGAATGAAGTTCCCCTCCCCCGGGTTCTCCCAAGAAAGTCATTTTTCATCCCCAAAGTCATTTGGCTTAGAGACAGGGGAGAGAGGCAGTGGCAGGGTCTGTATTGTGCCTGCCCTGCCACCATCCATCACCCAGCCGACAGAAACTCACCTCCCACAAATAAAGTTATGACAAGCGTCCCCAACCCATTCTTTCAGCCGTCGCCTCCCTGTTTCCATCATCTTTGACATTATAAGCCATCAGCCAAGCTGTTTGTCATGCCTCTGACAGGGCCTTGGCGATGTGGGCAGGAGGGCTGTGCTGAGGTATGGCTGGACTCCAGGGTGCATGTCCTACCCTCGCCCGACATTGGTGATCTTGAACTATGTCACAGGTGCTTTCAAAAAGGGTTTCTCCCCTGTGGGGCAGGAGTCCAGAGGTGGAGCAGAACTGGAAGGGAATATTTGTTCATTGATTCATTCAGCAAACATTAGTGAACACCCGTACTGTGCCTGAACCTGTGCAAGGCACAGCTGCAGCCACAAAGAGGGGCCAAACACAGTCTTTGCCCTTGCAGAGTGCCCAGTCCAGTGGGGAAGTAGAGAGCAAGCCATGTCAACAGACAGTGCCAGCACGTCTGTGGCACGGGCAGTCCAGGAAACTGGGAGCACAGAGAAGGGTAGAAAATCAGGGAAGGCTTCTTGGAGGAGGTGCCATTTGAGCTGAGAGCCACAGGACAAGGAGGAGGCAGTAAGAGCAATTCTTTGAAAATGTCTCCTTTCTTCTCTGCAGATATGTCCACTTACAAGCACCAAAGGGCAAAGTTGAGAAACTGTTTGGGAAAGAGAAGAGCATCATGTTCCAGGCAATGGAACAGCATACACTAAGCCTCTGGACTTGTTTCCCAGGGCTGCAGTCACAAATTACCACAAACTTGGGGGCCTAAGACAACAGTCGTGTATTCTCTCACAGTTCTACAGGCCAGAAGTCTAAAATCAAGAGATCAGCAGGGTTGGTTTTCTGGAGGCCCTGAGGGAGAATCAGTTTCATGCCTCTTTCCCAGCTTCCAGCGGCTGTGGGCAAGCCTAGGTGTTCCCTGGCTTGCAGATACATCTCTCCTGTCTCAGCCTCTGCTCCCTATATTCACATGGCCTTTCTCTGTGTCTGTGTCTCAACTCTCTCTCCTTTCTCTGATAAGAACACCCGTCATTGGATTGCGAGCTCATCCTAAATCCAGGATGATTTCAACTTGAGATTCTCGACTTAATCACATCATTAAAGACCCCATTTCCAAATAAGATCACATTCACAAGTACCTGGGATTAGGACTCTGACCATTCTCTCTCTCTCTCTCTCTCTCTCTCTCTCTCTCTCTCTCTCTCACAGGGTCTCACTCTGTCGCCCAGGCTGGAGTGCAGTGGCGCAATCTTGGCTTATGAGAGCCCAATCTGTGATAGATGCCAAATGCTTAACCCAGCACTTGGCATGCAGGATGAAGTGGTGAAAGTTTACTGAGTGAAAATTGGCTCCTTGAGTGAGGAAAGGAAAAAAGGAAAGAGGGGCAGGTGAGGGAAGTTGGTGTGAGGACTGGCAGGCGCTAAGCAACTGTTGTCATGAAAAGGGCCTGCAGGCTGGCACAGCAGCTCCAGTCTCAGAGGGGAGAGGAAGGTCTCTCAGGGGGCATCCTCTCCACCTCCACACACCTGCAGCCCCCTGCTTGCCAAGCAACTGTATCTGTTCTGCGTGAGGCTTCATCCGCCGCGGTAGACCTGAAGATGGGCTGATTTTAGTTTTCCACCAGGTTGGTTCCCAACCCACGGTGCTTGCCTGGGGTCCTGAGGCCAGGTGGCCCCTGGAGAGGCAGCAGAGACAGCTCAAGTCCTGAAGCAGAGGCTCTCTCCACTGTTTGTAGAATCTCAGAGTTCTAGAATCTTGGAAGTGAGAATCAGCATTCCAGGACCAGCCATGAACACAAAACTGCGAACAACTCTAGAGTCTTGGATCGAGGGAGTCTCTTGTTTAAAGGATCTCAGTGTTTTCAGGCTAGAAAGGGCCAGGCAGCCTCTTCATTTGAGCTTCTGTCTCCCTGAACTCTGACCCTAACTATGTGGCCTGGATGCAATGACCATTTTCGTCTAAACAGGGCGGACAAACCCCCAGGCTGCCAGGTCCCAGGCGTGGAGTCAAGAGCACACAGGAAGAATCCAGGAGGACTTAGGAGGCGAGGTTTCCTGGGCAGAAGAAATGGCAGGAGCACAGGTGTCACAGATGGAAAGAGCAGTGTGTGTGTAGGAATGGGATAAGGAGCAGTAGTTATGGTGGGAGGGACTGTATTAAAGTACGTAAGAGCTTCCAATGAAATAATACACACGTGAAGCACCTGACAGGTGCATTGCAGATACTCAATAAATGCTACTTCCCTTCCCCTTCTCTTCTGCTCACAAATCTCTATTTCCTGCATTTCTGCGTTACCCACATTTATACTGAGGAGTTCTGAGAAATGAAAAGATTTTCTGGAAGGGAGACACAGGACCAATTTCCCCCACCCAGAGACAATCACCTATCACAATGGATAGGGGCTGTGTCCTCAATATAGGCCAAGACTCTCTGCAGGGAGGATGGCTGACTGATTGCAGAGAGAAGCCCAGGAACAGGATATTTGAACTGGGTTTTGAGAGTAGGAGAGGAGTTTCCCCCGCAGAGAAGGTGGTGGTGAGAAGAAAGGAATTCTATGCAGTTTCTGTGACTGTTAAATGAATGAATTGCTAAGATCTCTGGACTTTCTAGTTTATACTTTAGAAATAATTCAAGCAACTACCCAACTTTGCAAATGGAAAAACTGATGGACATGGGCATATACATGCAATTTCACACTTTATCTCCCATTACCAAAATCCCCAAGCTGAGAAAACAAAGAGAATAACAATGTGTCCTGAGCCCTCAAGGTAGACCTTGAGATGGAGAGAAATTTCCAAGAGTTTGGGGACAAAATGAAGAAAAGAAGAGGGTTTTTAATAAAGCTAAATTTATTTCACTTAAAAGACTGTCTTTATTCTGAGGTCATGTTCTTCCTACTCTGGGAGTGTTTTAAATGTCCTTTCATTTATGAAATCATGGAGATAGTAAATGGCCATTCATAGTTGAATTGTTTTTTGTTTTTATTTGGCAAAATAGTTAGCAACCCTATATTAGTTCTCAAAAAAAAATTTTATATTGTATAGTCCCTGAAACCTCACATTTTCAGAACCACTGAGTCACAAGGCATTGGTGGCAGAAGATGTGTATATTCCTTCTCAACAATTTGGGCTGTGCTCAGGGGTCACCTATCAAGAGTGACCCTCCCTGATGGCCCTGCCTAAAGCAGGTCCCCTCCTTTTCCCTATGTTTTCTTTCTATTCCATCTCCCTTGTATTAGTCCACTGTCATGCTGCTAATAAAGACATATTCGAGGCTGGTTGTGATGGCTCATGCCTGTATTCCCAGCACTTTGGGAGGCCGAGGCGGGAGGATCACAAGGTCAGGAGTTCGAGACCACCCTAACCAACATGGCGAAACTCCGTCTCTACTAAAAATACAAAAATTAGTTGGGTATGGTGGCACGTGCCTGTAATGCCAGCTACTCAAGAGGTTGAGGCAGGAGAATTGCTTGAACCCAGGAGGCAGAGGTTGCAGTGAGCCGAGATCGCACCATTGCACTCCAGCCTGGGCGACAGAGCGAAACTCCTTCTCAAACAAAAACAAAAGTAAAAGACATATTCTAGACTGAGTAATTTATAAAGGAAAGATGTTTAATTGACTCACAGTTCAGCATGGCTGGGGAGGTCTCAGGAAACTTACAATCATGGCAGAAGGGGAAGCAAACATGTCCTTCACATGGTGGCAGGAAGGAGAAAATGAGAGCAAGCAGGGAAATTGCCAGACGTTTATAAAACCATCAGATCTCATGAGATTCACTCATTATGAGAAGAGCATGGGGGAAACCACGCCCGTGATTCAATTACCTCCACCTGGTCCCATCCTTGACAAGTGGGGATTATTACAATTCAAGGTGAGATTTGGGTGGGGACACAGAGCCAAACCATATCACCCCTGTTTCTTTCTTTTAGAACACTTATCACTCTCTGAAGGCATCTTACTAATTTGCACCTACGTTTATTTATTTCTGCCTTCTGAATTTGAATATAAGCAGCGTGTGGTTAGGGGCCATGTTTGTCTTGCTCACACACTCTTCCTGGCACCTAGCACAATTCTTGGCACAGAGTAGGTGCTCGGGAAGTGTTTGTTGAGTGAATAAAGGAAGGAAAGAATGGCCATGGAGCTTGAGGACTCAGGCTGTGTGCAGCAGGGATAGTAGAGTGCAGTAGATGCTGTGAGTGCCACCATGCTACAGCCTTGTGCCCCACCTCTGACCTCAACTGCAGCTGGGCTACACAGCTCCCATGCATGCTGGCAGATTCCCACCTCAAGTGCCTGCCTAGTCTCTCAGCTTTGCAGCCTCAAGGCTGTCTTGGAAGTCCTGGTCCCTGGTTCTGTGACCCATAGGCACAGCTCAGAGGTGTGGAAAGTTAATGACCTACCTCGGGTAATGCTTATCCCTTGGGGGAATAGCAGTTAGAGGATAAATGCCCCAGCCTTCTATCCTCTGGGTGAACAATTCTGAGATGACTTCTGCATAATACTCAGAGGCTATTTGCACAATCAAATCCCAATTATCCACTGCAGCAACCAGCTCCTTCCTTGTCTTGCTCTCTTGGTTCCCTCGCTTCTACTTCCTATGAGCATCTCCCAGATAAAATATGTACCCAAGCATGTACTCAAGTCTTTGTTTTAGTCTCTGCTTTTCAGGGAACCCAACCTAAGACAGGCTGCGCCAGTTCCTTGCATCTCTAAAATTCCCTTTCACTCATTCTCCTCTCCGAATCCCACAATCCACCCATCCTGCTGTTCCCATTTGACTTCTAGAGAAATGCCCCCTCCCACAGCCCTCTGAACTTCTCTGGCAGACAGGCTGGCAGGCCTTCATTGTCTTCCAACACAGCCCCAGTTCTGGGAACTTGTCTGGGCACTTGAGGGTCCAGGTGCTTTGGAGGCAGGAAGGGAGGGAAGGGGCCTCTCTAAATGAGTCTGTAATGATTAAACCATCTGCTGTCCCCTGCGCTCCTCTCTGCCTTTTGATCTTGGGCTGAGACATGGCCCCCAATCCATTATCTTCTCTTTTATCTCTTGGCCTCCCACTCTGCAGCCACCTCAGCAGAAACACTGATATGGGCTGAAACAGGAAAATCCAATGTGGATGCTGAATTTTACAGTCTACAAAGAAGCTTACAGGCTTAGCATTATTTAGAAAGCATTTTCTTATTTACACATCATTTCTTTAGTATTATTATTATTGATGTTGTTTCTTTTCTTTCTTTCTTTTTTTTTTTTTTTTTTTGAGATGGAGTCTTGCTGTGTCACCCAGGCTAGAGTGCAGTGGCGTGGTCTCGGCCCACTGCAACCTCTACCTCCCGGGTTCAAGCGATTCTTCTACCTCAGCCTTCCTGAGACTACAGGTGCATGCCATCACGCCTGGCTAATTTTTGTATTTTTAGTAGAGATGGGGTGTCACTATATTGGCCAGGCTGGTCTCGAACTCCTGACCCCGTGATCCGCCCACCTCAGCCTCCCAAAGTGCTGGGATTATAGGCGTGAGCCACTGCGCCTGGCCTAATGTTGTTTCATACAAACATTTGTTAACCCCAGGGAGCAATTCATTCCCTTATGCCTCTTCTCTTTTGCTAAATGAGAGTAGAATCTGGCTAGACAAGCCATGTAATCAAAAGACATTCATTCATTCATTAACCTTTGGGCAGCTTCTCTGTATCCAAGCCCTGGGGATACAAGGCAGGGCCCTTCCCAACAGGAAGCTTGTCGCCTGGTAGGGAAGTGTATGGGTCAGTGTCTAACCAGGAAACACTTGAGTATTTACAAAAGAGGAACTTTAATCCAGGGAATGGAAGGTGGCAGAAGGTCTGAGAAGACAACTGGACATGGCAAAGCAGCCCAAAGACGAGTAATAGCAAGAGGCTGCCACCACCCCAGCCCAGGAGGAGGGTCACTTGGTGGAATATGGGACCACGGTGGAGCTCCAGGAGAGCTAGAGACATGGAGGAGACACAGCCACTGCTGGAGATGCTGCCCAAGATGGAGAGGAGAAATACCTGGACTTCTCCCTTCCTTCTGCCCTGTAGCCCCCCACCGGCGCCTCCCATTGGCCAAACCCAGCCCCCTGGAATACAGAGCAGAGGGGCAGAAGGGTAAGAACCAGGGATAGGTGGGTAAGCAGATGATACTACATGAGAAGGCTGAGGACTGGGTAGGAGCACAGTGCTGGAGAACACAAGGAAAGAATTGTGGCTTTGCCAAGAGATGTCAGAATACTGGACAATCAAGTCATTTGGCGCTGGGCTTTGAAGGATGAGTAGGAGTTTGCTGAGCATCAAGGTAGAAGGGTGTAGTCCAAGTAGTAGGGGTAACATACACAAAGTGTATCAACTGAGGATGCTTTGGCTGTAACAGAAAATCCCCACTGCCAGGTCTATACCTTTGCTGGTTCCTCTTCGTAGGATGCTCCGCCCCCTCACTCTGGCCCAAATTCTTCTTCTTGCCCCAAATGCCACCCCTTCAGTCACCTGTTCCTAAACCTCAGAGCTGGAAGCCACGGTTCCAATGTACCCTCACAGCCTTGGCATTTGCTGATGTGCCAGTGAGGGCCTTCCTGACTCACTTTTTCTATCAGCCGGGAGCTCCAATCTGAGGGAGCTGTGCTTTCTGCACCTCTCTGCTCCCTGTCAGAGCCTAGCACTGGGGCAGGCACCTGGTAAGGGCTAATGAATGCATGCTGAATCCATAACCAAATACATTAGTAAGTGAATCAATAGATAAATACATTCATGCTATTCCCTCTGCCTGGACTCACCACATCTGCCGTAACAGTACCCCTTTTCATTAAGTTCATGTATCAGCTTCCATGCTAAATTGCACGAGGGACCTTACTGAATCTTCCCTAGCAATCCAATAGGCGGCTGCCATTATTATTTTCATTTTACGGAGGAGGAAACTGAGGCTCAGAAAAGTTAAACAACTTGCTAAGGTCATCCAATGCTTAAAAGGATAAGCAGGATGGAGGCTTGACCTTACTAGCTGTGTGAACTTGGGAAAGGCATTTCAAGACTTTGAATCTCAGAGTCTCAAGACTCAGAAGAGCTCCCTCCAAGCCCAGCCTCCTCTGGGTCTACCTAGGCCTCCCACAGTTAACTTGTCTGTGCTCCACCACCATCAGAAATAACAGTAATAATAATAGCATCTTATGTGAACTGGGTGTTTATCGTGGGTCAGGGACTGAGCTCAACACTTTACACCGACATCCTCTGCATCCTCTTTACATGGAAAACACTGAGTCCCCACGGCAATCCTACAAGATGAATGTTCTTAGCTTCATTTTGCAGATAAGGAAACAGAGGCTTGAGAATCAGGAGTCAATAGTAGAATCAATCAGTCAAGAAGTTAACAAATACTGTTGAGCATCTCTGTGCTGGGCATTGCTAGATGCTAGGAACACGTGACCAGGACAGCCATGGGACCTACTCCCACGGAACTGACTATTGGGAGAAACAGACCCTGAACAACTAATTAGAAACCATTGTGTGAACACCCACAGTGGGCAAGGTGCTATGACCAAGCCCATCCTGGTTGTAACAGAAGGTGTGTGTAATAGGAGAAGCTAACCTTGTCTGGGGACCAGGAAAGGCTTCTTGGAGGAGGTGACAGTTAAGCGGGGGTTCGAGGATGAGCAGGTGTTATTTAGACCCCATGTCACAAACTCTCACCTCCACAGGGCCTGTGATCAAAAGTCTGTCCACACTGCATGTCCAGGTTGGGCCAATACCCCAGCATCTCCTGAACACCCTAACTCTGGCTGGCCATGCTCTTGGCTGGGACGGTGCAACTGGCCCACTGCTGGGCCTTGCGATAACTCCAAGGCTACTGTTGATGAGAGATTCCTGCCGGGGCCAGAGCATCTGGAACACATTCAGCCCCTCACGAGCCAGTTCCTTCAGGAGCTGCCCGGCGGGCACGGAGCCTTGTCCTCTAAGCCCTGCTGGCTGCCTGGAGCGTTGGCACACGGTCAGGAAGAGGCGGCTGGGAGGGGAGGACGAAGAGAATTCGATTTTCATTTTGCTCTTGGTTCCCTGTTTCCAGTCCAGATGCCTCCAGATCTAATTCCGAATAAATAATTGTACTGAGTAACCCGGGTCCCTTGGTGATTAAGTAAACACGCTGAGGCGGGTGGAAATTGAATTAGTGCGGTGTGCTCAGCCGTTATTACCCGCCCCTTCTCATGAATATTAATGAGGGGTTATTAAGAAATGTAAATGCTGCCTCAGGGGGTTGGGAGATGGGGAGGGGGTCAGGGTTAGAGGACAGACCGTTCAGAAGTCAGCGTGATTGAAGGCATTTTAAAAATTATGTCAGATCTTTCTCTTCTGCACCGTGGCAATGTTTCCGGATGCTTCATTTTTATTAAAACGAGGGTAAGGGAACAAATTTTAATTCGAGGATAAAATTAGCATTTTCCAAGCAGCCTTGTCAGCGGCAAGGACATATTTTGCCAGAAAATGGACATTTGGGGCGGGGCGGTGCGAGGTTGGGGGAGCCTGCGCTGATGGACGATTAGTTCCCTCGGTTCATCTCCAGGCAAGGGAGTAAACAAATTAATCTCTGAGCAGAGAGCAGCCTGGAAGATGATGGAAGCCTGTAGGATCCAGAAGTGTCTTTGCTAGGAAGCCAGGGGGTGTCACCAAGAGCTAAGATGGCCTTACTGCTGCTCAGAGAGGTTAAGCACTTGTCTGAGGTCACACAGAGGTGGGTGCTCCGGCTGGGTTTTGTGGGCAAGGTGAACGTAGAGAATGAGGCTACTTCTCCCAGGCGAGCTCTAGACAGAGATGCAGCCTCTGCTTCCCCATCTCTCTCACTTGACCTTTAGGCTCCCTGGATAGCTCACCTCTCTGGCTCCAGCTTCTGCCCTCACAGCCCCTTCCCAATCTCTGCTGCCAGGCTCACTTCCCCACTTTCACCACAGCTTGTTTCTGCTCCACCGCAGGCTTTAGTGACTCACTATTGCCCCTAGGCTGAAGATCAGACTCCCTCTGACATTCAAGTCCCCCCAGGATCTGACCACACCTCCTTTTCCTGTGTAAGCTCCTGCCACTCCTTGCAGCTGCAACCAGATGTACCAAGGAAGGATGAGAAGAAAGTGAGAAGAAGGGGAATAAAAGAAGGTGAGAAGACAGGGAAAAAGGAGGAAGGAAGAAAAGGAGGGAGAAAGGTAGGGAGAAAGGAAGAGGAAACAAATGTTAAGTACCAAAATATCCCAGATTTGCTCAATATTTTATATTGTAATGATGTGGTGATGTGATAATGATGATAATGACAATTGCTGCCATCCACTGAGTGCTCAGCCTGTGTTAGCCACTGGCTCAGCGCTCTTTCATCCTCCTGCACTGTCCCTAGAAAGTAGATGTTATCTCCACTTTACAGAGGAGGAAACTGAGAGTCCTGTAGGTAAAATGATTTGCTCCAGGTCCTACACATTATAAATTATAAATGATAGAACCAGCCTGTTGGACATCAAAACCTGATTTTTTTTTTTTTTTTTTTGAGATGGAGTCTTGCCCTGTCACCCAGGCTGGAGTGCAGTGGTTCAATGTCAGCTCACTGCAACCTCCACCTCCCAGGTTCAAGCAATTCTCCTGCCTCGGCCTCCCAAATAGCTGGGACTACAGGTGTGAGCCACCATGCCCAGCTAAATTTTGTATTTTTAGTAGAGAGGGGTTTCGCCATGTTGGCCAGGTTGGCCTTGAACTCATGATCTCAGGTGATCCGCCTGCCTTGGCCTCCCAAAGTGCTGGGACTATAGGCGTGAGCCACTGCTCCGGGCCCAAAACCTGAATTCTTCACTACTGCTCCTCCCACCTCATGTGGGCAGTTATTATTATCCCTATTTTACAGATGAAGACAAAGAGGCTGGAAGAAATAAGCAGCAGCAAGAGGAATCAAAATTCTCTAAACTCGCCTTATTCCATCTTTATAAGCACCTCTTCCAGAGAATACAGGGAAAATTCACTGAACAACCTCATCCCTGCTTCCTGCAGTGGATGATGTCAGACACCCCAGGAGAAACTCACAGGATCTCGGAGACCCAGCCCCCGGTAGTGTCCACCAGATGAAGCCTGCAGGTTGCCACCGCTGGTTCCCATAGGCCTCCTCACCCTAGGCCATGAGCCCCAGGCCTGTCAAATGAAGCTCAGATGTGGGACCCAGGGACTTAGCCCCCTATGCTCCGGACAGGAAAGAGTGAATATGATCAAACTCATGCATTTTAATGACTTCTTCAGCACGCCTCGCTCCACCCGCTCTCAGTCTCAGGAATAAAGGCTGACAGGTGCAGCTGAGTTAATCAGGGTGGATAATAGAGGGAAAGACAGGAATCACTGGCCAAATTGCAGCAGAGAAAAATGGGGCAAAATCAGCCAGGTGCGATGGCTCACACCTGTAATCCCAGCACTTTGGGAGGCTGAGGCGGGCAGATCATGAGGTCAAGAGATCGAGACCATCCTGGCCAACATGGTGAAACCCCATCTCTACTAAAAATACAAAAATTAGCGGGGCGTGGTGGTGCACGCCTGTAGTCCCAGCTATTCCAGAGGCTGAGGCAAGAGAATTGCTTGAACCCAGGAGGCAGAGGTTGCAGTGAGCCAAGATCATGCCACTGCACTCCAGCCTGTTAACACAGCGAGACTCCGTCTCAAAAAAAAAAAGGGTTGGGGGGCAAAATTATGAGATGCAAGTCAAAAGTGTCCAATTAAAGTGTGATGGTGTTTAAAGGGCAAGAACCACGTTCTCAGACCCTAGGAAGTTCTAAAGCAACGCTTACCACAGGGGATGCATGGTCAAGTGGTACGTGGGATCATTTCTGGTGGTACCCAGATGACTGTCTTTTTAAATTTGAATAGACATTTTTAATGTGCATGAAAAATATGTAACTACAAAAATGTTAGCCAGGTGTCATGGCAGGCACCTGTAATCCCATCTACTTGGGAGGCTGGGGCAGGAGAATTGCTTGAACCCAGGAGGCAAAGGTTGCAGTAAGTTGAGATCACACCACTGCACTTCGGCCTGGATGACAGAGCGAGACTCCATCTAAAAAAAAAACATATATATATACAGTATCTAACACCTGTGGTTTGATGTATATTATTGCCTAGAATTAGTCTAAATTTTACCCAAAGATGGGATTTAATTGCTAGTTAATTAAAAGAAAAATATATTTTTAATTGCATAGACGAAAGATGAATATGGCAAAAAAATATGAAATTGGCTCTTATGTGAATGAAGCTTAGGAAACAATATTCTGGTTCCTTGTTACTCAAAGTGGGTCCATAGACCAGCGGCATTAATATTACCCAAGAGCTTGTGAGAGATGCAGAATCTAGATCTACAGAATGAGCATCTGCATTTAAGAGTCCGTGGTGATTCATACACAGTTCATGTGCGCACTGTTTTAAAAGCACTGGTCTCTCTTATTTATCAGCAGGACATTGAAGACCCTTTCAGACTTGATCCGAGGGAAAGAGCCCCGGACTGGGAATACATGCTAGCTATAAAACTCTATAAATTGGGAACAGCTTGTGAGAACAGAAAGAAAAAAAAAGACTAATTTTGCAGAGCTTACAATCTCATAATTACAGAAGAGGAGACTGAAGTCCAGAGAATACGAATTCAAAATTGCACCATGAGATTGTGTTAACACAGGTTCAGGTCCACTCCAGGTCTTCTAACATCTTGGCCAGTGCGGGAGGGAACTGCGGATAACAAACAAAATTGCCATCAACAGTATGATGTGTTCACAGCCAAAGAAATGAAATGAAATAAAATTTCCAAAAATAAAGAAAATCAACTGTAAAAAAAAGATAGTATGATGTGGCTTTATAAAAATGATGATTAAAGACATTGCAAGGCAAGAAAACTACAGACTAATTTCTTTATTGAAATAAAGATGGAATATACATGGAAAACTCCTCAACAAAGTACTAGCAACACAAATCTAGCAACATACAAAAAGGATAAGACACTATAACCAAGTGGGATTTATTCCAGGAATGCAAAGTTGGCTTAATGTATGAAAATCCATTGATGTAATATATCATATCAATAGGACAAAGGATGAAAAACCATGATCATCTCAATAAATGCAGGAAAAGCATTTGACAAAATTTAATACCCTTTCATGATAAAAAAAAAAAAAACATTCAATAAACTAGGAACAGAAGGGAACTCCAGGCCGAGTGCAGTGGCTCATGCCTGTTATTCCAGCACTTTGGGAGGCCAAGGTAGGCAGATCACCTGAGGTCAGGAGTTTAAGACCAGCCTGGCCAACATGATGAAATACTTTCTCTACTAAAAATAAAAAAATTAGCCAGGCGTGGTGGTGCGCACCTGTAATCCCAGCTATTCGGGAGGCTGAGGCAGGAAAATCATTTGAACCCAAGGGGCAGAGGTGCAATGAGACAAGATCATGTCACAGCACTCCAACCTGGGTGACAGAGCCAGCCTCTGTCTCAAGTTAAAAAACGAAGGGCACTTACTCGATCTGATAAAGGCTATCTCAAAAAAAAAAAAAAAACCCACACCCAAAATATTTAATGTGACTAAAGGCATTTTTCTCCTAAGATCAGGAACAAGACAAGGATGTTTCATCACTTCTGTTGAAGATTGTATGGGAGGTCCTAGCCATAGCAATCAAGAAAAAGAAAAGACATCTGGACTGGAAAGGAAGAAGTAAAACTATCTCTATTTGCAGGTGACATGATCTTGTATATAGAAAATCCTAAGAAATCTAAAAACAAACAAAAACAAAAACCTATTAGAACTAATACGTGGACCAAGGGATGGTGGCTCATACCTGTAATCCCAGCACTTTGGGAGGCCAAGGCAGGAGGATCACCTGAGGCCAGGAGTTTGAGATCAGCATCATAGCAAGACCTCATCCCTACAAAAAATAAAAAATAGAACTAATAAATGAATTCAGTAAGGTTGCAGGATACAAAATCAATATAAAAAATCAATTGTATTTCTGTACTCTAGCAATGAACAGTACAAAATGAGATTTTAAAAAAATCCATTTACAGTAGCATCAGAAAGAATAAAATCCTTAGGAATAACTTTAACAAAAGAACTACAAAACTTGTAGAACTACAAAACTTATATTTCAACAATACAAAATATTGTTAAAAAAATTAAATAATACCCGTATAAGTGGAAACATATCCCATGTTCATGGATCAAAAGACTTAATATTGTTAAGATGGTAATATTCCCCAAATGGATCTACAGATTCAATACAATTTCTATCAAAATTCCAGCTGGATTTTTTTTTCCAGAAAATGACAAGCTGATCCTAAAATTCATATGGAATTGCAAATTGTCCCAAATCACCAAAAGAATTTTGAAAAAGAAGAACAAAATTAGAGAACTCACACCTTCTGATTTCAAATAATAGATTAACAGAACAGAATCAATAGTCCAGAAATAAACTCTTACTTTTATGATCAATTGATTTTCAACAAAAGTGCCAGTGAAGATATAATCACCTTTTTCACAAAGGGTGCTGGAACAACTGGATATGCACATCTAAAGAATGAAATTGGACCCCTAACTCATACCATATGCAAAATTAACTCAAAGTGAATGATACGGTTTGGCTGTGTCCCCACCCAAATCTCATCTTGAATTCCCATGTGTTGTGGGAGTGAGCTGGTGGGAGATAATTGAATCATGGGACAAGTCTTTCCCGTGCTGTTCTCGTGAAAGTGAATAACTCTTATGAGATCTGATGGTTTTATAAAGAGGAGTTCCCCTGCATAAGTTCTCTCTCTTTGCCTGCTGCCATCCATGTAAGACGTCACTTGCTCCTCCTTGCCTTCCGCCATGATTGTGAGGCCTCCTCAGCCATGTGAAACCATTAAACCTCTTTCTTTAGTAAATTGCCCAGTTTTGGGTATGTCTTTATCAGCAGCATGAAAACAGACTAATACAATGGATCATAGCCATAAGTGTAAAAGCTAAAACTATAAAAACTCTTAGAAAAAAATCACAGGAGTAAATCTTTATCACTTTGGGTTAAGCAATGGGCCCATAGATACCTAAAAGCACAAATGACAAAAGAAAAAATAGATACATTTAACTTCCTCAAAACTAAAAAACATTTGTAATACAAATGACATTATCAAGAAAGTGAAAAAGGCCAGGCACAGTGGCTCATGGCTGTAATCCCAGTACTCTGGGAGTCCGAGGCAAGCAGATCACCTGAGCTCAGGAGTTCAAGACCAGCCTGGCCAACATAGTGAAACCCTGTCTCTACTAAAAAGTACAAAAGTTAACCAGGCGTGGTGGCAGGCACCTGTAATCCCAGCTACTCGAGAGGATGAGGCAGGGCGAATTGCTTGAAACTGGGAGGTGGAGGTTGAGCTGAGATGCACCACTGCATTCTGGCCTAGGCGACAGAGCACAACTCCGTCTCAAAAAACAAAAAAAGAAAAAGAAAAAGAAAGTGAAAAGACACCCCATAGAACGGGGGAAAATATTTGCAACTCATACATCTGATAAGGAACTTGTATCTGTCAGAAGCGTGTGAACCAGAGCAACTCCATCTTAAACAGGAGCTGGGTAAAATGAGGCTGAAACCTAATGGGCTGCATTCCCAGATGGTTAAGGCATTCTAAGTCACAGGATGAGATAGGAAGTCAGCACAAAATACAGGTCATAAAGACCTTGCTGATAAAACAGTTTTCAGTAAAGGAGCTAGCCAAAACCCTCCAAAACCAAAATGGCCATGAGAGTGAACTCTGGTTGTCCTCACTGCTACACTCCCACCAGCACCATGACAGTTTACGAATGCCATGACAACATCAGGAAGTACCTTATATGGTCTGAAAATGGAGGGATGAATAATCCACCCCTTGTTTAGCATATCATCAAGAAATAACTATAAAAATGGGCAAGCAGCAGCCCTTGAGGCTGCTCTGTCTATGGAATAGCCATTCTTTTATTCCGTGACTTTCTTAATAAACTTGCTTTCACTTTGCACAGCAGACTCACCCTGGATTCTTTCTTGTGTGAAATCCAAGAACCCTCTCTTGGGATCTGGATCGGGACCCCTTTCCTGTAACATATCCAGAATATATGAAGAATTCTTACAACTCAATAATAAAATAACCAACTCAGTTTTTTAAATGGGTAAGGGATCTGAATAGGCAGTTCTCCAAAGAAGATATGCAAATGACTAAGCACATGAAAAGATGCTCAACTTCCTTAATCATGAGGAAAATGCAAATCGATGCCACGAGATACCACTTCACACCCACTAGGATGGTTATAAGTAAAAAAATTAAAAAATAAAAAAACAGATAGCAAGTGTTTACATGGTTATGAAGAAATTGGATCCCTCATTCACTGCTGGTGGGAATGTAAAATTGTGCATCCACTTTAAAAAATAGTGTGGTGGTTCCTCAAAATATTAAACATAACATTACCATATGACCCAGCAATTCCAATCCTAGGTGTACACCTAAGAGAAATGAAAACAGGCAGGGCGCAGTGGCTCACACCTGTAATCCCAGCATTTTGGGAGGCTGAGGCAGGTGGATCATCTGAGGTCAGGAGTTCGAGACCAGTCTGGCCAATATGGTGAAACCCCGTCTCTGCTAAAAATGCAAAAATTAGCCAGGCATGGTGGTGTGCACCTGTAATTCCAGCTACTCAGGAGGCTGAGACAGGAGAATCACTTGGACCTGGGAGGCAGAGGTTGCAGTGAGCCGAGATCGCGCCACTGCACTCCAGCATAGGTGACAAAAGCAAAACTCCGTCTCAAAAAAAAAAGAAAGAAAAAGAAAAGAAAAGAAATGAAAACATATGCTCACACAAAAATTTGTACACAAATGTTTATAGGACTATTACAATAGTCAAAAAGTGGGAACAACCCATTTGTCTATCAATGATGAATGGATAAATAAAATGTGATATATGCATACAGTGGAATATTATTGGCAATAAAAAGGGATACAGTGCTGCTACATGATACAACATTATGCTAAGTGAAAGAAGCCAGTCACAAAGAACTGCATATGTATGATTCCATTCATATGAAATGCCTGGCATAGGCAAGTCTATGAGGTAGAAAGTAGACTATCAGCTGCCTAAGGCTGGGGGAGGTGGGAGGAAATAGGAGTGGCTGCTAATCGCTGCATGTCTCTTTTCCAGGTGATGAAAATGTTCTAAACCTGATCGTGTTGGTTGCCAGCAACCCTGTGAATATATTAAAAATCATTGAATTGTACATTTTACGTGAATGAATTGTGTGATGTGGTAGACAGAATAATGTCCCCTTAAAGATGTCTATGTCCTGAACTTCAGAGCCTGTGAATATGTTAGCATACCTGGCAAAGAAGAATTAAGTTTGCAGATGAAATTAATTCAGTTGCTAATTAGCTGACTTTAAGACAGGAAGTTTAGCCTGGATTACCCAGGTAAGCCCAATGTAATCACAAACGACCTTAAAAGTAGAAGATGGAATATGAAGAGAGAACCAGAGAGGCAGCATCTTGAGAAAGACTCAGCCCAGTGTTGCTGGCCTTGAAGATGGAGGAAGGGAGCCACGAGCCGAGGAGGGCAGGTGGCCTCTAGAAGCTGGGAAGGGCAAGGAAATCCATTCTCCCCTAGGACCTTCAGAAAGAAACTCAGCCCTGCCAATACCTCGATCTTTGTCCAGTGAGATTTGTGTCACGCTTCTGATCCATGGAACAAGATAGTAAATTTGTGTTACTTTAAGTCACTAAGTGTGTGGTAATTTGTTGCAGCGTCAGTAGAAAACTAATATATACGGTATGTGAGTTATATGTAAATAAAGCTGTTTAAAAAAATGATTGTTTTCTTAGGTGGCATAAATAGAAGTATGACGTCTGGAAGGGTGGAGGTGATAGTCTCTTTGCAATCTAAGTGAGGCAGACTCCATCTGGAGCTCAGCTCTGAATGCCACACTGTAAGAGGAATGTGAAAAAAAACTGGGCAGGTCCCAAGAAAGGTCACCGTGATAGACGGTAAAAAGATTTGAAATGATGTTGGGTGAGAAACCATCAGAGAACCTGGGGGTGGTCAGCTTGGAGAAAGGAAGGCCTGTAGGTTGCCATCTGCCTGATCTTAATGGTTATGGTGGGACACCGAAGTGGGGATGAGTTTTTTGGGGACACCAGGGGGCAGACCTAGGGGCAATAGGGAGTGTTACCTGCAGACAGGATGCAGCTTGGGATAAAGACGAGCTTTATCCTTTGGTTTAAAAAATATTTTCCCCAAAATACGTGTTCATAAAAAATTAGGAAATATACAGAAGCAAAAAGAAAAAAACAAGCGAAACGCAGTGGCTCACGCCTGTAATCCCACCATTTTGAGAGGCCGAGGCCGGTGGATCACTTGAGGTCAGGGGTTTAAGACCAGCCTGGTCAACATGGTGAAACCTCGTCTCTACTAAAAATACAAAAATTAGCTGGCCGTGTTGGTGGGCACCTGTAATCCCAGCTACTCAGGAGACTGAGGCAGAAAAATCTCTTGAACTAGGGAGGCAGAGGTTGTAGTGAGCCAAAAGCGCACCACTGCACTCCAGCCTGGACGACAGAGCAAGACTCCGTCTCAAAAAAACAAAACAAGAAGAAAAAACAAATAATCACACACCACTGTGTTGTAAGTTATTCATGTTTCTAGCTGCCCTGCTCTGGGAAGGTAAAAACCATGTCTTTCTTCTTCATTGTTATATTCTCAGAGTCTGGCTCATGGTAGGTGATCATGGAATGCTTGTTGAATGAATACGCAATGCACACACCCACACTGACATTTTTAATTTATGAAAATGGGATTCTACTGTATATATTGATTGATAACTTGCTTCCCCCACCTCCATTACTAATATATTATGAGCCTCTTTCCAGTTCAATAAATATACATTTATATCAGGGATGTAATAGATACTGCCAGACTGCAAATAGAACTCTGGGGTCTGTAAACTTGAATGGGAAAAAATTATACCCTCATTTTCACTAAATTCTAACTGAAATTTCTCATTTCCTTCCATTTGAATATAAGCAACAAGCTACAGTAGCATTAACAGTATCTGTGACTTCACTACCATAGTGATTGTAGATATTTTTGTATCAAATTATCATTGTTGCAGCTATCTTGAAATACTGTTTACACTCATCACCGCTTTGAAATTACAGTGGTTATTACACCTGCCACTGCATCTTGTTAATGAATATATTAATAAGAAGCATGTATATTTCTACATAAGAAATTTTAAAATATTTTGATAACTGTGTTTTAAGATAATTGGTCTTCTCGGAAATCTTAAACATCTTATTTTATATGTTTAAAACTATTATTCCGAGAAAAGTTTCATGGGCTTCATCCAAAAGGCCCATGGCACGGCAAAGGTTAAGAAGTCCTGATCTATACCGTCATCTTTACTTTAAACTTTTTGTTTTGAAATAATTTTAAATTTATAGAAAAGCTACAGCCAGGTGCTTTGGCTCATGCCTATAATCCCAGCAGTTTGGGAGGCCGGGGCGGGCAGATCACCTGAAGTCAGGAGTTTAAGACCACCCTGGCCAACATGGTGAATGCCCGTCTCTACTAAAAATAACAAAAATTAGCTGGGCGTTGTGGTGAACACCTGTTAATCCCAGCTACTCGGGAGGCTGAGGCAGAAGATTCGCTTGAACCCAGGAGGCAGAGGTTGCAGTGAGCCGTGATTGTGCCATTGCACACCAGGCTGGGCGACAAGAGTGAAACTTCGTCAAAAAAACAAACTAAAAATAAAAATAAAAAAGACAGAGAGCTCCCATGTATTCCTCACTCAGCTTCCCCTAATGTCAACATGTTATATAACCATGGAATAGTCATCAAAGCCAGAAAATTAACATTAGTACAATATCATTAAGCAATCTTCAGATCTAATTGGAATTTTGCTTGTTTTTGCCCAACTGTTCTCTTTCTGTTCCAGGAGCCAGTCCAGGATCCTACGCTGTATTTCATTGTCATGTCTCCATGCTCTCCTCCAATCTGTGATAATTCCTCAGACTTTCCTTGTCTTTCATGACCTTGACACTTTTGAAAAGTACTGGTCAGTTAATTTGTAGTGTCCATCAATTTGAGTTTGTCTGATTTTCTCACAATTAGATTAAGCTTATGCCTTTTTGGCAAGCATAACCCAAGAGTGATATTATTCCCATCTCAGGGTGTCATATTAGGGACACGTCATGTTAATACATCTTATTCCTGTCCATAACGGCTGTAGAGCATCCATTGTATATTTAATAGGATGTAACATGTAATTTACTTCATCAGTCCCTTCCAGTGGACTTTTAGCTTCTTTTCTTTCTTTCTTTTTTTTTTTTTGAGATGGAGTCTCACTCTGTCACCCAGGCTAGAGTGCAGGGGCACGATCTTAGCTCACTGCAACCTCCACCTCCCTGGTTCAAGCGATTCTCCTGCCTCAGCCTCCCAAGTAGCTGGGATTACAGGTGTGTGCAATCACACCCAGCTAATTTTTATATTTTTAGTAGAGATGGGGTTTCACCATGTTGGCCAGGCTGGTCTCGAACTCCTGACCTAAAGTGATCCGCCCGTCTCGGCCTCTCAAAGTGCTGGGATTACAGGCGTGAGCCACCGTGCCCAGTATTTTAGCTTATTTTCACCTTAGGACTGTTACAAACAGTACTACATTGAACAGGATATTGTGTGATGGGCAGAGCTGCCTGGAGAAGCAAACAGCAACCAGGAGTGATGGTGCCCCTCTTGAGGCATACATCAGCAGGGTGGCACCAGATGCTGCTCCCGTTTCCTCACTGAAGAGCATCTGGTGACCCAAAACACTAACACAGTGCACATGGTCAGTAGTAAAGGATGCTTTCGTCCTCTAGCTCTCCACTCAGCCTCTCCATCTGCAAGGCAGGGCCTCAGCCCAGGCAGAGGGAAAAAAATGCTCTCCCAGCTAGGCCAGATCTGGTTAGTATTCTGAGCTCCTTGCTCTACTGAGGGCTAATTGCCCCTAAGAGCTGAGATCATTGGAGGGGAAAATGCAAAGTGACCTAACCTTTGCTGGGCTCAGCAAGCCAGCCAGCCTCTCAGCAGAAAGCGTTGGACTACCCTCACTGAGCCCCTTCTCCCTGCTATGATTGCTAATGGAGCAGGGTAGCTCAGCGTCCCAGCACCTGGTGGAAGTATGGCTATGGGGACTTCAATCTCAGCAAGGCTGGAGCTGCAGGGGAGTCAGCACTGAACCTTCTGGCTGCTGGGATCCTAGAATGCATGAAGTACAACCATTTAGGAAAACTGTCTGGCAGTATTTAGGAAAGCTAACCACATGCCCACTGAATGACCCAACCACTTCAGTCCTGGGTATATGCCCAAGAGAAATACGTGCCTATGTCTACCAAAAGAATGTTCACAGAAGCTTTATTCATAATTGACAAAACCTGGAAACGGCTCAAGTGCCCATCAACAGAATGGATATAAACAAATTGTGATATATTCATACACTGGAATACTATGTGGCATTTAAAAAACAAGCTACTGCTCCATGCAGCAACATGATGACTCCAGATTTTGTGTTGAGTGAGAGAAGCCAGACACAAGAGGTCATTCTGAACGAGTCCATGAATATGAAGTTCAAAACTAGGCAACTTTAAACTATGGTCATAGAAATGAGAATAATTGTTTCCCTTGGGAGGGGGATGGTATTGACTAGAAGGGGTCCATTATGAAGGATCCCTTCTAAGATGCTAGAAAGGTTCTACATCCTGATCTAGGTGGGTGTTCTGTGAGTGTATACCTAAGCAAAAATCCACCAAACTGTGCACTTGAGATTTTATGGTACTTAAGTTCTACTCTAATTTAACAATGACCAGCACAGAATGATGCGTGAGAGCCAGAGGCAGGCTCTGCTGGCATCGGGAGGTGGAAAGGGGGAAGGAAGGGAGTGATAGGTTCCAGCTCAGCCATGATTGGTACATGACCTGAGCAATCAGATCAACTTCTCCTTCTCCAAGTTCTTTTTTTTTTTTAATTTTCCCCCAAGATGGAGTTTCACTCTTGTCACTCAAGCTGGAGTTAGTGGCCAGTGGCATGATCTCAGCTCACTGCAACCTATGCCTCCCGGGTTCAAGCAATTCTCCTGCCTCAGCCTTCTGAGTAACTGGGACTACAGGCATGTGCCACCATGCCCAGCTAGTTTTGTATTTTTAGTAGAGATGGGGTTTCACCATATTGGCCAGGCTGGTCTTGAACTCCTGACCTCAGGTGATCTGCCCGCCTCGACCTCCCAAAGTGTTGGGATTATAGGCATGAGCCACCATGCTTGGTCAACTTCTCCAAGTTCTTCAGCTGAGGAGGGCACTGATGACACCTTGCTCCCTTGCTGATATTGTGAGAAACAAATGAGAAGATGCATGAGAAGTCACATTCTGAATTGGATGGTTCATATATTGATTCAGCCAACACGTGTTAAGCACGTGCATGTGCCTAGCACTGGACTGGGCACCTAGATCATGCAGACAGGTTAGACCTAGCCTTGTCTAACTCTCAACCTAAGCGGGGAGAAAGACAATCGACCCACAAACAAAGGAGCAATTGTGAACCATGATGAGGGTTACAGAGGAACCAACAGGTGCAGAGATGGCAAATAACCAAGGAGTGGAAGTCAGGAACCCATTGGGGTAGAGTCTGGGGAAGGCCATTCAGCAGAAACCCAAAGGACAGGGAGAAATCTGGCCCACAGAAGTTCATTGCATGTAGAAGAATCAGCAAACGTGAAGACCCCACAGCTGGAAAGAGCTGGGAGCGCTCAAAGAACTGAAGGAAGCTCTGTGTGGCTGGAGAGGACTCCAGCGCAGCTGGTCCATGGTGTGGGTAGGACATGCATAGTTTAGCGGGCAGGGAGAGTGCTTGGGATTCTACTTGAAGCTTACTGAGAAGACATTGGAAGGCTCTTAATCAAGACACGACACGATCTGATTTGTGTTTTTAGAAGATGACTTCAATACCTCACCAACAGCCAAACACAAACAATTACATTCAGGATGACTATTCATAGGAGATCCAAAATCTCACAAAACTAACCTGTGGTGAGAGATGTCAAAATATTAGTTAACTTTCAGGGTTGTGGCCTTGGATGGGGAGTGAGGGAGTAAGAGGGCCTGGAAATGTTTCATACATTGATCTGCATGGGATGTACAAAAATGTAAAAAGTCTTCAAGATGTATACACAAGATTGGGGCTCTTTATGGTGTAGTGTACTATTTGTACACCATACCTCAATTTAAAAAGCAAAATAAATTTTAAAATTAGGCTGTGTACAGTGGCTTACGTCTGTAATCCCAGCACTTTGGGAGGCCGAGGTTGGGAGATTCCTTGAGTCCAGGAGTTCGAGACTAGCCTGCAACATAGTGAAACCCAGTCTGTACAAAAAAATTACAAAAAATTAGCCAGGCATTGTGTCATGCGCCTATGGTCCCACCTCCTCAGGAGGCTGAGGTGGGAGGATGGCTTGAGACTGGATGGCAGAGGTTGCAGTGAGCTAAGATTGTACCATTGTGCTCCAGCCTGGGTGACAGAGTGAGACTCTGTTGATATGGTTAGGCTTTGTGTCCCCACCTAAATCTCATCTTGAATTATAACTCCCATAATTTCTATATATCAAGGGAGTGACCAGGTGGAAGTAATTAGATCATGGGGACGGCTTCCCCCATGCTGTTCTCTTGATAATGAGTGAGTTCTCACAAGATCTGATGGTTTTATAAGTGTTTGGCAGTTCCTCCTGCATAGATTATCCTTCCTGTGACTTGTGAAGAAGGTATCTTGATTCCTTCACCTTTCGCCATGAATGTAAGTTTCCTGAGGCCTCCCAATCCATGTGGAACTGTGAGTCAATTAAACCTCTTTCCTTTATAAATTACCCAGTCTCAGGCAGTTCTTTATAGCAGTGTGAGAACAAACTAATACAGTAAATTTGTACCTCAGAGAGTGGGGTTCTGCTATAAAGATACCTGAAAATGTGGAAGCAACTTTGGAACTGGGTAACAGGCAGAGGTTGAAACAATTTGGAAGGCTCAGAAGAGGATAGAAAGATGTGGAAAAGTTTGGAACTTCCTAGAGACTTGTTGAATGGTTTTGACCAAAATGTTGTTAGTGATATTGACAATGAAGTCCAGGCTGAAGTGGTCCCAGATGGAGATGAGGAACTCATTGGGAACTAGAGCAAAGGTCACTCTTGCTATGCTTCATTTTGCTGCTGACCTAGAGATCTGTGGAACTTTGAACTTGAGAGAGATGACTTAGGGTATCTGGCAGAAGAAATTTCTAAGCAGCAAAGTGTTCAAGAGGTGACTTGCATCCTCTTAAAAGCATTTGGTTTCATGCATTCACAAAAAGATGGTTTGGAATTGGAACTTAGGTTTAAAAGGGAAGCAGAGCATAAAAGTTTGGAAATTTTGCAGCCTGATGATGTGATAGAAAAGAAAAACCATTTTCTGAGGAGAAATTCAAGCAGGCTACAGAAACTTGCATAAATAATGAAGAGCCAAATGTTAATTACCAAGACAATGGGGAAAATGTCTCCAGGACGTGTCAGAGATCTTCACAGCAACCCCTCCCATCACAGGCCTGGAGGCCTAGGAGCTAAAAATGGTTTCATGGGCCAGGCCCAGGGTCTTGCTCCTTTGTGCAGTCTCAGGACTTGGTGCCCTACATCCCAGCCATGGCTAAAAGGGGCCAATGTACAGCTCAGGCTGTTGCTTCAGAGAGTGCAAGTCCAAAGCCTTGGTGGCTTACAGGTGGTATTGGGACTGTGGATACTCAGAAGTCAAGAATTGAGGTTTGGGAATCTCTGCCTAGATTTCAGAGGTTGTATGGAAATACCTGGGCATCCAGGCAGAGGTTTGCTGCAGGGATGGAGCTCTCATGGAGAACCTCTGCTAGGGCAGTGTGGAGGGGAAATGTGAAGTCAGAACCCCCACATAGAGTCCCCACTGGTGCACTACCTAGTAGAGCTGTGAGAAGAGGGCCACTGTTCTCCAGACCCCAGAATGGTAGATGCATGGACAGCTTGCACCATGCACCTGGAAAAGCCACAGACACTCAATACCAGCCCATGAAAGCAGCTGGGAGGGGGGCTGTACCCTGCACAGCCACAGGGATGGAGTTGCCAAAGGCTGTAGGAACCCATCTCTTGCATCAGTGTGACCTGGATGTGAGGCATGGAGTCAAAGGAGATAATTTTGGAGCTTTAACATTTGTCTGCCCCACTGGATTTTAGACTTGAATGGGCCTGTAGCCTCTTTGTTTTGGCCAATTTCTCCCATTTGGAATGGGTGTATTTACCCAATGTCTGTATCCCCATTGTATCTAGGAAGTAACTAACTTGCTTTTGATTTTACTCATAGGCAGAAGGGACTCGCCTTGTCTCAGGTGAAACTTTGGACATGGAGTTTTGGGTTAATGCTGGAATAAATTAAGACTTTGGGGGACTGTTGGGAAGGCATGACTGGTTTCAAAAAGTGAACAGAACATGAGATTTGGGAGGAGCCACGGGCAGAATGATGTAGTGGAAGGAACCAGGGGCAGAATGATATGGTTAGGCTTTGTGTCCCCCACCCACATCTCATCTTGAATTGTAATCCATATAATCCCCACGTGTCAAGGGAAAGACCAGGTGGACGTAATTGAATCATGGGGGTGGTTCCCCCATGCTGTTCCTGTGATACTGAGTGAATTCTCCTGTGATCTGATGGTTTTATAAGGGGCTTTTCCCCCTTCGCTTGGCACTTCTCCTTCTGCTGCCCTGTGAGGAAGGTGGCTTGCTTCCTCTTCATCTTCTGCAATGATTGTAAGATTCCTGAGGCCTCTCCTGCCATGCTGAACTGTGAGCCAATTAAACCTCTTTCCTTTATAAATTACCCAGGCTTGGGCAGTTCTTTATAGCAGTATGAAAATGGACTAATAACCCCTGTCTAAAAAAAAATTAAAATTAACTGACAGTTTTACTGGCTAGCATTATTTTTTAAAGTAAGGTTTACTGGGATGTAATTTCCATACAATAAGATTCATCCTTTTAAAGTGTGCACTTGGGTGAGTTTTGAAAGACATAGTTACCAGTATACTCACCGCCACAATCAAGATATTGAATATTTGGCTGGGTGCAGAGGCTCACGCCTGTAATCCCAGCTACTCGGGAGGCTGAGGCAGGAGAATAGCTTGAGCCCAGGAAGTGGATGTTGCAGTGAGCTGAGATCGTGCCACTGCCCTCCTGCCTGCACTTGAGCCCAGGAGTTCGAGACCAGCCTCGGCAACATGGCAAGACCCCATCTCTAGACACAACAACAACAAAAAGATATTGAACATTTCTCTAGCCCCAGAAAGTTGCCTGTGCCCCTTTGCAGTGGATCCCCTCCCCGTTCCCTAGCCCCTGGCAACCACTGATTTCATTTCTGTGCCTGCAGTTTGGCTTTTTCCAGGTTGTCATTAAACAGAATCACCTGGTATTTAGCCATTGGAGTCTGCTTCCCTCACTTTACAGAATGCTTTTGAAATTAATTCATGTCATTGTGGACATCAGTCGTAGGTTTCTTTTCCCTGCACCTAGTATTCCAACATATGGTCGAACTGCAATTTATTGATCTATTCGCCAGTTGATGGACCTTTGGGTTGTTTCTAGTTCAGGGCAATTATGAATAAAGCTGTTATGGCCGGGCGTGATGGCTCACACCTGTAATCCCAGCACTTTGGGAGGCCGAGGCGGGAGAATTGCTTGAACCCAGGAGGCAGAGGTTGCAGTGAGCCAAGATCATGCCACCGCACCACAGCCTGGGCGAGAGAATGAAACTCTCTCTCAAAAAAAATAAATAAAATAAATCTGTTGCAAACATTTGTACACAGATCTTTGATAGACATGTGTTTTTATTTCTCTCGACTAAATAAGTGCACATTTAAGGTTAGAAGAAACTGCCACCATGTTTTTCAAAGTGGTTGCCAGGCACTAAATACATTATCTCATTTTATTCTCAGAATAGAGGAGGTAAGTGAGGCTAAGAGAGCCTAAGCAACTTTCCCACAGCCCCCTGGTTAGTGAGAGGATCCCAGAAACCCTCACTACCAAGCTCCTCCAGAGACCATGCACATGAGCAGGGCTAGGCTCAGACAAGTCCTAGATGAAAAATTAGGACCATGATGGAGGAGACAGTGGTGGGCCACATTACCCTTCCAAGTAAGATCAAATGAAAGAAGAAGAAGAAGAAAGAGCCAGGTGACATGAAAGTGGAGAAAATTACCAGTTACAAGCAAAGCATTAATTCACTAGAAGCCAGCCGTTCTCTTCTGCTCCCAACATCCCTCGGTCCCATGGCAAGTTTTCAAATTAAAGTGCTGAAGGCCCCCTCTCTCCTCTTCCTTCCAGGTGGCCAAGGTTGGCAGGACTGGATGTTGTGGCATGAATATTGTCTGGAACCAGCAAACCAGTAGCCCCACCCACCGCTAGCCCCAGACAGCCCTGGAGCCTGCCAACTGGGAGGTGGCACCGCCACCCTGAGACAGGTCTGACCCCTGCAGGCCCACCAGGAGAATGGAGGTTAATGAGATTTTGATGAACCCGCAGTTTCCATTTTGTGAGGGAAAAGGCTCTGAGCCCTGCTCATTAAAGGGAACTGACCTGTAAAATGAGCCTGGGGATAGATGGCAGGGTAGCAAGGCCAGCCAAGAGAGGAAGGGGGAGAGATGGGACCCCAGCAGCCTTGTTGAAGCATTCTAGCTGGATGGAGAGAGCAGGCCCAGAGAATGGAAGAGATTTTTGCCCAAGGACACACAGCAAATCAGATTAGACCTGGGTCCTGGAAGGGGTAAGGGGATTGGAGGAGAAAACCTGAGAAACAGGGAGATGGGTAAAGAGACAGACAGAGGGAAATCCACTGACTGTGTATTACATAATAATGTCTACCATTCACTGAAGGCCTACTCCATGCCAGGCACTGGGCTTAGTATTTGTCATCCCATTGTCTCATTTGATCTTCACAACTCTAGGAGCTAGGGATTGTTACCCCCATATGGAGAAACAGGTTCAGAGAAGTTAAGTGACTTGCCCAAGGGCACTAAGCCAGCCAGGTCTACCTGATTCCATGCTCTTGATCACCTGCCCCAAGCTTGGGGTGACCCTAGGTTCCATTTGACACATGCCATCCTGGAAGAGTGCCACTTTCACCGTCCAAAGTGACTCAGTTTAGGAAAAATATTGTATGACTGCCCTACCTAGCCTGCATCTTATAAATTGCTTCCTGTGTGGCACGTGTAGCCCAAGATGCAACACACAGCGTGTGCTCAACAAATAGTCAAACCTAGATAAGATGCCATTTTTGTTACATCTCAAAATTGAGGCAGTAGAGCACAGTGGTAAGAGACTTGGGCTCTGGAGGTAGCCAAACCTGGGCTCAGCCCCACCTGCTTGACCTTGGACTAGTCACTTGGCCTCTCTGAGCCTCAGTGCACTCATCTGTAAAGTGAGGATAACCAAGGATTCTTCCCAAGGTTACAGGGATGCCATGAAAAGAGGGGTAGAAGGTACCAACATAGGTTTGCTCTGACTACCCGGCAGATACAGGATTTTAGCCTCCATTTTTTCTGGAGCACAGCATGGATTTCCACGGCATGTACCCAATCTGTGTTTGCCCTGGGATAAAGCCTGTTCCTTTGTTGACTTCGATGACTTACTTTGCAGTTGCCTGCTCTAGTGCCTTTGCACAGGCTGGGGCTTTTTGTTTGCTTACAATAGTGCTGTCCAGGCACCATTGTAGCATATTATCTATGTAAACCCACTTAATCCTCACAATAATCCTCTGTTTACAAATGAGAAAATTAAGGCACAGAGAGGTTAGTTAACTTGTTCCAGGATCACTCAGCTGGCTAGTGACAGAGCTGGAATTTGAACCCAATCAGTCTTGCTTAAGAGTCTAGCCTTTCCAGCACCTCCCTCTGTCCTGGGGGTGCTATCCCACTCCCACCACTGACCCCACCTCTGCCTTTGCCTGGATAACTCCTACCCACCCTTTGTGCCTTTGTTGTAATACCATCTCCTCCAGGAGACCCTCCCTGACTGCTCAGCCTAAATCACAATTCCCACCCATGCCTATAGAATAATTGCTCACCCCACTCTCCCCGTTTCTTCAGAGCTAAATTCAGTGTGTTATTCTCTATTTATCTGATGATTTGCCTTCCCTGCTAGACAGTGCATTCCAGGAGGGCAGGAGCTATTTGTATATTCTGAAACAGTAGCAGACACATTGCAGATGCTCAATAAATATTGGTTGAAGGAGGGAAGGAATGAATGAAAGAGGAAGAGGAGGAGGGGAGGAACTAGAAGCCCCTAGTTCCCAGGCCCTAGGAGCTGCATCTGACGGTGTTTCATTGTTCTGGGATCCCGGCCAAGGATCTGCGTGGTACATGGTGGGACCCTCGTACTTATGACTGACTGCATCAGTAGCCCGGCAGACCCAACCCCCCAAGCCCTGGGGCTCAGGGAGGCCCAATTGGGCAAGGCCTAGTGGCAGGCCCAGGGCAGGTAGGGACCAAGCCCTCGATAGCCACAGCCTTTCCTCTCTGGCTAAATCCTCCATCCCCCAACCCAACCCGAGCCCTCCCTTCTCCCTTCTTCTTTTCCTTTCTGAGATGAAGCAGTGAAATGATTTTTCTACTTGAACAGTTTTCAATTAAGATTAAGAAAAATGTGGTCTGCAGTCACTCGGCAAGAGGCCCTGGCAGCCCTGTCCCTTCAGGGACTGGGGTTTTCTAAGCCATTGACAGAGCTGATTCTGGAATGAAGGGAGTTTGAAAGAGACTTCTCACACCCTCTGCCTTCCCCCGACCCAACCCTCAGCCTCATGACTTGGCCTCCTACTATCTTTCTGGGTAAGGGCCTGGGATCTGGAATCAGACAGATCTGGGTGGGTTCAGGCTCTATCCCGTGCAAACTGTTTAACCTCACGCAGGTCCTCTACCTCTCTGAGCCTTCTTTCTTCATCTATAAAGTAGGTCAATGGCAAACCCTCTCAAATGGTCCCTGCTTCCCACCCAGATCAAAGGGTCCCCTCCTGGTCTCCCAGACTGTGGAAGAATAAACAGCAAGGGTGACACAAAGATGTTTAGCTGGGGTAGGACAAGGTGGGCCGAGCCTCCGAAACCCCAGGGCCAGGGCAGAAAAGAGGAGACAGAGGCTGAGAGTGAGGGAGGCTTAACTGATACAAGAATACAAGAATAGATGGAAGTGGGCTGGGCGCAGTGGCTCACACCTGTAATCCCAGCACTCCAGCCTGGGAGACAGAGCAAGACTCCATCTCAAAAAAAAAAAAGAAAAAACAATAGATGGAAGTGTCCAGGGTGACTCTCAAAGGCTTGACTCAGAGGTCAATCAAGGCCAAAGAGAAGGGCAGGGCTTCTATGTGTGTCATTGGGCAGAGGAGGAAGGAGACAGAACTCTGAGGCCACTTAATTCCCTTCTAATTCTGAAATCTTTATGACTAGGGTAGATTCTATGCTGTTTGAGAATGTTGCTTTTCAAAATGGAAGTCGCTTTTTTTTATGCAGATGAATGAAAGGCATGTACCAATTGTAGTTAATCCCGGGGTCAGGCACACCCGGGTCTCTTTTCCTTCATCTCCCGTCAGTAGTTTTTTGATCCTGGGCAAGTTACTCAACTTCTCTGAGCCTCTCCAAAATAATGTATAATTTTCATACTCCTGTAAAAAATTCTTTTGTAAATCGGCTTTATTGGAGTGTAATTTACATATGATAAAACTCATTCATTTAAAGTGTACATTTCAGTGAGTTTTGAAATTTATACAACCATGGAACTACCACCATGATCAAGAAAATAAGCTTTTTAAAAATTTTTTTGAGACCGAGTCTCACTCTATCACCCAGGCTGGAGTGCAGTGGTGCAATCTCGGCTCACTGCAACCTCTGCCTCCTGGTTTCAAGCAATTCTCCTACCTCAGCCTCCCAATTAGCTGGGATTACAGGCACCTGCCACCATGCCCAGCTAATTTTTGTATTTTTACTAGAGATGAGGTCTCGCCTTGTTGGCCAGGCTGGTCTTGAACTCCTGACCTCAAGTGATCCACCTGCCTTGGCCTCCGAAAGTGCTGGGATTACAGGCATGAGCCACCGTGCCCAGCCTACGAAAGTGAACATTTTAATCATCCTAAAACATGCTCTTGTGCCCCTTCCCAGTCCTTCTGTTTCTTTTAATATAAAAACAATAAGTTATTCAGCCCCCATGACAACAAATTTCGGCAACAAATAAGCATCCAGGAAGGTGTTCAGTGCATACTGTGACTTTGCCCATCTGCTCCCTGCCCCCTGCTCACACAGAGACACTGTTATGTGGGCCCAGTGACACAACTGTCCCTTGTTAGGAGGTATAGCATGTGATGGTTCCCCCAACACCAACTGCCAGTGGTGAGCCACTAGACAGCCTGTCTTTCCCCACAGGGACAATAGCAGCTGGCACGGGGCTCCCTAGACCACTCACTGCATGTCTTCCTATCCCAACACCTCCATGAGGCTGTCAGCCTCTCCAGGGAGGACCTGTGTCTGCCTCGTATCATTCACTATTGACTCCTCAGTGCCCAACAGGTGCCTAGCACACAGTAGGTGCTCAATAAGGGGGTATGGAATGAATGAATGAGAAGGGGGCTGCCAGCCAGAGGACCCCGATGAAGTGTGAGGAACATCAAATGCCTCATGGGAGGTGAAAGTCCCACTTTGCCAAATGTCCCACCTGGCTACTGTTATTTAATATTCTTTAAATTAGCTCAACTAGTTTTTATTCTCTCTACCTTTGCCTCACCTTAAGAAATCAGATCCGTCTGTAACCCTAGCACTTTGGGAGGCCAAGGCGGGCAGATTGCTGAGGTCAAGAGTTCCAGACCAGCCTGGCCAACATGGCAAAACCCCGTCTCTACTAAAAATACAAAAATCAGCCAGGGGTGTTGGCACATGCCTGTAATCCCAGCTACTCAGGAGGCTGAGGCAGGAGAATTGCTTGAACCCAGGAGGTGGAGGTTGCAGGGAGCCGAGACCCAGGCCTGCCAATTGTATGCATTCTGCCATGTTTGTTTTATCATTCTCTCTCTCTTGCTCTCTCTCTATATTTGTACTATATATATGTATAGTTATTTTTTTTTTTTTTTTTGGAGATAGAGTCTCATTCTGTTGCCCAGGCTGGAGCAAAGTGGCAAAATCTCAGCTCACTACAACCTCTGCCTCCCATGTTCAAGCGATTCTCCTGTCTCAGCCTCCCAAGTAGCTGGAACTACAGGTGTTTGCCACCATGCCCAACTAATTTTTGTATTTTTAGTAGAGATGGGGTTTCATCATGTTGGCCAGGCTGGTCTCAAACTCCTGAACTCAAATGATCCTCCCACCTTGGCTTCCCAGAGTGCTGGGATTATAGGCATGAGCCAACATGCCCCATAGTTAGACAGAGTCTCACTCTGTTGCTGAGGCTGGAGTGCAGTGGCTCTGCCTTATCTCACTGCAACCTCTGCCTCCCAGGTTCAAGCGATTCTCATGTCTCAACCTCCCAAGTAGCTGGGATTACAGGTGTGTGCCACCACATCCAGCTAATTTTTGTATTTTTAGTAGAGACAGGGGTTTCTCCATGTTGGCCAGGCTGGTCTCAAACTCCTGACCTCAGGTGATCCACCCACCTCGGCCTCCCAAAGTTCTGGAATTACAGGCCTATTTTTCTAATATGCATGAAAATCAATACTGCACTAGATTGTATAATTATTCAACAATACTCACGGCCCCTCCTTACCAGGTGCCTCCCTGCAAAGGTGTATGCTTCCCACCTCGTCACCATCAGATCTGGCCATATGACTTGCTTTGGCCAATGAAATTGAGCACAACTGTTGGATGCCACTTCTGAATGGGAGCTTTAAGAGCCATTGTGGGGTTCTGCTGTTGTTCCTTCTGCTGCCGTGTTACTAGCACGCTCTAGGCAGGGCCACCCCTTCAAATTGGTTCCCAGAATGACAACGTGGAGCAGAATCAAGGCAGACCCAAAGCTATCTGATGGCCAAGTAGCATGTGCAAAAAATAAATCCTTATTGTTGAAAGTCATTGAGATTTAAGGGAAGGTCATTTGATACCCAGCATAAGTTTATTTAAGTTGATGGATAAAAAAGTTTCACTCTTAAAATAAAAATTTTATGTACCACCTGCAAATATACAGCAAATTTGAGAAACATAGCATTAGCCATGGTGACCCAAAAATGTATAGTTGAGTATCCCCATTTAATAGAGGAGGAACCTGAGGCTTATAATGGTTAAGTAGTTTGCCCAAAGCCTCTCTGCTAGACAAGGCAGCAGAGATGATTCAGGGTACCATTCTCTAGGGGTCTCAGTCTAGTGGACAGGTAATGGAATTTTCCTTTGGCAAAATAGCTCTGTCAGAGATGTCTCTCCTGGACAGTCTTTTCTTCTCTCATAGCCCCCTTGTGCTCCAAGACCACCAAGAGCCCCTCCTGGCCCCATTCCTGAAAGTTCTTCTCGCAGATGAATGCCAGATGATTCCCGTTAAGGAGTTAGCTGCTAACTACAGGTGTTAACTGCTAATGAAAGTGCCAGCACTAAGATATTAGCTAATAAGGATTAACACCTTTCAGAGTGTTGGTATATTAATAAGGGACCTAGGAGGACCAAAACGATTTCAAAAGCCAGAGGAACAGAACCCAAAAGGTGGCAGAAGAATTTGGTTCAACAATTCTTTCTGCCCCTACTGCGAACTGGGTCTTGAGCCAAGACATGCAGCCAACGTGTTGCATATACATAGAGCTTTGCAGTCTACAGCACTCAGCAGCTTACAAAGCACTTCCTCATCCATCACCTCCCCTGCTCTTCACATCAGCCCAGTGAGGTAAGCTCTGCTAGCCCCAGTTCACTGATGAGAAAGCTGAGGCTCAGAGAGAGGGAGTGAGTTACTCAAGGTCGCATGGTAGTGGGTGACAGACACTGGACTTGCTCCCCGGGCTGCCTGACTCCCAGCCCAGTGCTCCTTTCATGACCCCCCAAGCCCCCAGCACAAGTAGAGAAGAAACCACTGGGGGCCAGACCATCTTCTCCCTTCTTGGACCTAAAATTGACTCTGACCCTAAGGAGTCAGGGCCAAGAACAGTGAATACCCATTTCTACAGGGCTCCCTTTCCTAGCTAAACTTCCATTCACCTTTTTAGACTCAACTCAGATAGCGCCTCTTCCTGGAAGCCCTCCCAGATGGTCATAGGCGGCCTCTTTTGGGGCTGCCACAATATACAGGGCGTATCTTGATCCTACACATTGCCTTAGAATCACTGTGTCCCCAGTGCCACGCAGGCAGCACAGAATGACAGAAGCTGCTGTAAATGCTTGTTGAGTGGATCAATTAATTAATGACTCCGTATTTTTCAGAACAAACTCATCAAAGTGAATTCCACTTACTACCCTCCAAGACAAGATTTATACAAAATGTGGTCACTTTAAAATGAAACAAGAGATGAGCTATTCCCATTTCTTCAAAGCCCTATTAATATTTCATTAGCTACCAGAAGTAGTTGATATTTGTATCTTTGTGTGTCTCTGTGTATAAGTATGTGTATAGACCGTATCTGCCCACCTAGCATTTCTAAAATATGTTCTTTGGACCAGTGAGTGCTGCAGCATAGGAATAGGGTACTATTGGGGGGAAAAGAGGCAGATTTCATGGCCAGATATGTTTGGAAAGCCCTGGATTTAAGATGTATCCATTGCAGGACTTCTCAGAGCCTTTAAGGGTGGCATTTATTGGGCATTTACTATATTCCAGGCAGTGTGCTAAGCACTTTACATTCATTACCTCATTAGCTTATATTCCTCTAGAATGTAAGCTTCTTGAGGACTGACACCATGTCTGTCTTGTTCACCAGCATATCCCTGGAGACTGACACACTGTATCTACTCAATTAATGAATAAATTAACAAATGAATAAATGGCCCTGTAAAGTACATATTGTTACTATTCCCATTTGATAGAGGAGGGAACTGAGTCTGACTACAGAGCCTGGGCTTTTTAACTCTGTTGCTGCTCGTCTTCACTGTAGTAACATGCCTGGCAGATCTGCGGGACAGAGTTCTTGCCTACAGCATTTCCAAGCCTGATTTGCCTAAAAACCTTTTTCTGAAGAAGTATCTTGCAGAATAGGATCATGAGGAACATACCCTAGGAAATGATCCTCTGGGCTCTGCAAGCTGGGTGAGCAGGCCTCCTTGTCTCTGATTTGTCTCCCTAGATGACAGTGCATACAGACTGCAGGGCAGGAGGGAGGGAGAAGCAGGGTATTTTTCTGCTCCCTCTACTCAGGGCAAGGTCTCCACTAGCTGCATCTCCTCCCTGGTTTCTAGTCTTTGGAAAGGCAGCCTCTCCCTCTGTGGTTCCAACTCCTTCTAGGTAGCCCCAACTCCTGGGCTCTTTCTTGTAACGTTGCTTCCTCTTTTGGCCAGGTACGGAGGCTCACGCCTGTGAGCACTTTGGGAGGCCGAGGTAGGAGGATTGCTTGAGCCCAGGAGTTTGAGACCAGCCTGGGCATATGGAGAAACCCCATCTCTACAAAAAATACAAAAAACTAGCCGGGCGTGGTGGTGCATGCCTGTAGTCCCAGCTGTTCAGGAGGCTGAGGTGAGAGGATCGCTTGAACCTGGAGGTGGAGGCAGCAGTGAACTGTGATCACGCCACTGCACTCCAGCCTGGGTGACATAAGGAGACCTGTCTTGAAAAAAAATCACTCCTGTCTTTGTTCCTCCAGTCTTGGGGTTCTTTCTCTCACAGCATCCCATTTACTTGTGCAGCACCCACTAGTCCAAAGAGGATGCCTTCGTCAAATGGTGAATATGGTCTGTAGCATCTTTTCTGCTATTGATAATCTCCAGCCACTGCACTTTCAACTCTTCCAAACCACTGTCACGATTTTGCTAGATTCATGCTCTCCACTGAGCTGCCTGATGCAACACTGACTAATACAACCACCTAAAACAGTAATAGCAATAATTTCACAAACATTCACTCAGCATCATGAATGTGTTAGCTCATTTGATCCTTGTAACAATCCCATGAGAGGTATTCTAATTGCCATCACCGTACTATGGATGAGTAAACTGAGTCCTTGGGAGGTGAAGTAACCTGTTCCAGGTCATACAGTTCATGAATGGGAAGCTGGGATGTGAGCCAAACACACTGGGTCCAGAGCACTATTCCTACCCCCAACCCCCCAGATAACAGTAATAGACAGTTCCTGGGGGTCAGGAAGATCAAACAGAGCCCTTTGTGCCTTTCAGTTCCTGGAGCACAGTAGAGTTCTAGAGGCCTTTCTCCTTGTCTGGTAGTGAGCTTTTCAGCCCTGGAGGTGTGCAAGAAGGGATTGCAGCACTTCTTCACATGGTATTTAAAGGGAACCTCCTTTCATTTGGTCCCCTTCACTAAACCAAAATGAAAAATATTAAATTTGAAAAAAAAATGGAAGCAAACCTCCTAGCAGTGGTCATCCAGGTGAACCAGATGGTGTTTAAGGCTCCCCAGGCTTCTCTTCCCAGTCCCCTGAAAGATGAAGCCACTTGTAATGTCATCAAGACAGGGTCTTTCGAGATCCTGATGAAATACCACCTCTGCTATGAAGCTGCCCCAGGGGCCCCAGCAGAAAGGAGAATTCCCTTTCTGTCACTCAGCATGGCTTTTTATCTCTGCTGTATAGAGCCAAGCTTGCATTATCAGGTTTGTGTTTGGGTCTTCTATGGCCTGCTGGACTGGAAGCTCAGGGAAGATAGAAACTGACGCCAATGCATAGACCTCCTTCTATAGCCCAATCCAGTACCTTGTATGCTATAGACACTCAATAAGTGAATAAGTGTTGGGTGAATAGATAGACAGATAGATGGAAGGATGAGAAAATTTTAAAAAGGAAGAAAGAAGGAAGGAGAGAGAGAGAAATGGGATAGGTGGATGGGGGAGGAGGGATGAGCAAATATGGATGGATGGATGGACAGATGGATGATGAAAGTATGGATCAATGGGTGGATGAAAAGATGGATAGATAGAAGAATGTATGTATGGATGTATGGATGGATGGAAGGATGGGAAATGCATATAGATGGCTAGACAATAGATTGATTGATAGATGTGAGAAGGTGATGGATAGAATGAGTGGATAGATGGATGGATGGGAAGATGGATAGATGAAAGGATGCATGGATGGATAAATGAAGGGATGCATGGATGGATGGATGGATGGATGGATGGATGGATGGATGGACTGGGTAGATAGTTAGATAAACGTATTTATAGAGACTGTGAGGTGTTGTGCAGTAGACACTCTAGAATTTCTATGTGGGGCCCACAATCTGCCTAGAAGGTGGGCTTGCCACCATATTTGCAGAACACTTTACATAAGATTGAGAAACTAGCTATTGCCCATGTGAATGAAATGAGAAAGAAGTGACAGAGATTATGGAAGCCTAAAACCCCTGCAGCTGCCACTGCAGGTGTGACCATAATCACCTAAAATAGTAAGATTCTGAAAATCTGTGGCCCTAAGAAGATTCAAAGGTTTTAAAGTTCTGTGTCTCTAAAACTTAGACTTGAAGATTCTGTGTCTTTAAGAACTCTATATCTACCAATATGAGCAACATGCTCTGTGCCGGGCATTGTTCTAAGCACTTTAGATACAAAGATTAGTTCCTATAATCCCCACGGCCACCCGTGGTCTAGACACTATTACACTATTACCACCCTCATAATGAGGCACAGAGATGCTGAGGTGTTTGCCTTAGATAACACAGCTAGTAAGTGGCAGAACTGGGATGTCAACCCAATCAGGTTAGGCGGGATCCAGAGTCCCCGCTTTTAACCACCACACAATCCTGCCTCAAGGAATGAAGGATTGTACGCATCTAAGTTTCGAAGATTCAGTGCTCAAGACTTGAAGAGTCTGCAATTCTGAGGCTCTAAGCGTCTCCACACCCAGGACTCTTCAGACGCTGAGGGAGAGAAAAGGAGAGAGAGTCTGGCTGGCTCCTACGAACACCAGCCCTGCTGATGTCAGGCACCTGGCTGTCACTCTTCCTGTTAACCTTGGGGAGAAAAACACATTTGTGGCAGATAACAGGCATGAGGGTGTGCCGGCCCTCCACTCACTCCCGGGCCTGATGGATGGGCTACATGGGCCCCCCCGACCTGTGTGTGTACTGTTATCTGCTCAGCCAAGGGAAGCTGTTCATCATGCCGACAGCTTGGCGAGGCACACCTGCTGGGACTGCGTCAACCAGAGCCACCAGCATCCTGGGAGGAAGAAGGGGAGGTGATGGGGGGCAGTAGGGCAGGGGAGACACAGAGAAAAGGGCCAAGGGCTCAGTATCAGTACCAGAGGGTGGCACTAAATTCTGGGTACCATGGATGTGCTGTGTGACCACAGACTAGTCACTTAACCTCTCTGAGCTGTAAAATAAGATTAAGCTTTGCCAGAAACCTGGGGGTTGTACTTTCCTCCTTCTCATGCTCCACATCCAATCACCAGGTTCTGTCCATTCTACCTCCCAGTCTGTCGTGATCCTACCCATTTCTTACCAACAACTCTACCGAAACCACCTTGGTCCAGGCCACCATCATCTCTGCCTGGATGATGCTACAGCCTTCTCCCTGGGTTCCCTCCTTCCTGCCCACTATATTCCATTCTTCACATTTTACAGTTCAGAGAGGTTAAGTGACTAGCCTCTGGTCACACAGCACATTCATGGTACTGCCAGGAACGGAAGTCTGGCATCACGCCCAGAAGTCAGTGCCACGGCAGCCAGAGGATCTCTATTACAAAATGAGATCACATCACTCTCCTGCTTAAAACCCTCTAATAGCTCCCTGTCACACTTAGAAATAAGTCCAAACTCCTTGCCAGAGCCCTGCAAAACCTGGCCTCTCCCGCCCTGTCCATCCTTATGTCACACCTGCCAGCCCCCTTGCGTACCAAGTTTCAACCATGCCACCCATCCCTTTTCCACCTCTTAGCCTTTGCACATGCTGTTCCCTCGGATGCGAACACTCTTCCCCAGCCCTTTGCGTGGCTGGCCAGCTCCCTCTCATCTGCAGCTCTCAGCTCAATTGCCACCCCCTCAGAAAGGTCTTGCCAGCCTGAAGTACTACTCCAGTTCCCAATCTCACTCTGTCACGGCACCCAGTGTATTCCCTTTCTGGGACTGATTGCAACCTGAAATTGTGTTGTTTGTTTCTTTGTGTGTTTATTGTCTGTCTCTCCCACTAGAATGGAAGCTCCAAACGTTATGGGTTGTTGTCTTACTCACTACTGTGTCCCTGAGTGCTTCCTCAGTACAAAACCACACATTCTTTCCACCCCAGGGCCTTTGTGCCAGCTGTCCCTTTGCCTGGAACTCTCTTCTCTGCTTATTTAACGCCTACTCACCCTTCAGATCTATGGCAGGGCATATTTTGCAAAGATAGGCACAACAGCATCTTTTATCTTACGTGTTCTTTATAAAATATGACCTTGAGACTTGTCCTGGGAAGAAGTGGGGCCCGTGTTCCCTTCCCTTGATTTGGGGCAGGCTATGACTTGTTTGTGGCCAATAGGATGCCATGTAAGTGACACTGGGACACTTCTGGAAGGAGGTCAAGGACATTGGCTCTGGAGCCCTAAGCTACATTTAAGCAGCATGACTGTCCTGAGGATGCCATGCTATGAGGAAGCCCAAGCCGGCCTCTGCAGAAAGACCACATGGAGAATCCCTGAGATCACCTACAGAGAAGGAAAGAGATGTCCAGCATCTTCCAGCTGCTCCAGCTCCAGCCATCATCTAACTGAAACCTCATGAGAGACCCTGAGTCAGAGCTGCACAGCAGAGCCCTTCTGAATCCCTGATCCACAGAAACCACAAGCATCAACAAAAATTGTAGTTTTAAGCTACTAGGTTCATTTGTTATACAGCAATAAATAATCAGAACAAGATCTCAGTTCATGTGCCACCTTCCCAGGAAGCCCTCCATAACTAGGAGCACTAGGTCAGGACCCTGTACTTCCATTTTATTTTATTTTATTTTACTTTATTTAGATACAGTGTCCTACTCTGTTTCCCAGGCTGGAGTGCAGTGTCATGATTGCAACTCGCGGCAGCCACCATTCCCCAACTTAAGCGATCCTCCCACCTCAGCCTCCTGAGTAACTGGGACTTCAGGTGTAAACCACATGGCCAGCTAATTTTTTAGTTTTTGTAAAGACGGGATCTCCCCATGTTGCCCACGATGGTCTAGCACTCCTGGGCTCGCACTCCTGGGCTCAAGTGATCCTCCCACCTTCGCCTCCCAAAGTGCTGGAATTACAGGTGTGAGCCATCATGCCTAGCCTACTTTTTCTTTATAACATATAGCACGGTTGGTAATTATGTAGTTATTTATGTGATGGCTGATTTTTGTCTCTCTCTCTCTCACTTAAATATAAGCTCTGGGAAGGGGGAGAATAATCCTTATCTTGTTCACCATTGTATCCCCAACAGTGAATAGTGCCTGGCACATAATAAGTGTTCAGCGAATACCACTGATTCAATAATTTCACTAAGTTACTACAACCACCCTGTAATGCTGGCTGTATTACCTCCATTTTTCAGACAAGGAAACTGAGTGAGATTCAGAGATGTTCTGTTCTTGCTCAAGGCCACACAGCAGAGCAGGATCCTAGCCTGTTTCTCTCTGACTTGAAAGCCAGAGCCCACCTCCTGACAGGTGGAGGGATGGGGTACTAGCCTGAGGTCCTCTAAGTGGTAGCTGAGAAGGGCCACAGGTGTCCTTTTATGTAAACTTCTGTCTTACCCTTGCAGAGAAAGAGGCCCAGAGAGGGGAAGGGACTGGCCCAAGGTCACACAGCTCATCAATGTTCAAGCTGGGACAAGACCCGGGGCCCTACATTCTTTACCCAGAGCTCCTCTCACTGCACCCTCAAACCTGCCTTCAACACCTGCCATGCACGGAGCCCAGGACTAGACTCCAGGAGGGACAGACACAAGAAAATCAATGGTCCCTTTGTGGAGAGAACTCAAATGTCTACATAGTAAAGGGGACAAGCAGAACAATTATTTATGAAAATCAACTGTGTTCCAGACAAGCCTAAAAGACACTTTTCATGACAAGCCTGTAAGATACTCTCACAAGATATCCTTTCACAAGAGGAAGCTGAGGCTCAGAGAGATTCGAGGACTAACCCAAGGTCACCAGACTTATAATTGCCAGCTCAGAATTTGAATCCAGAGTTGTCTGTCTCCAGGATGCCCTCCAGTGTGCCAGGCTGTCTCACCAGAGCTAAGGGAGCCTCGAGGCCATGGAGAATGGGCTGGGCACGGTGGCTCATGCCTGTAGTCCCAGCACCTTGCGAGGCCAAGGCGGGTGGATCACTTGAGCCTAGGAGTTGGAGACCAACCTGGGCAACACGCTGAAACCCAGCTCTACTAAAAACATAAAAATTAGCCAGGCATAGTGTTACGTGCCTGTAGTCCCAGTTACTTGGGAGGCTGAGGTGGGAGAATCACCTGAGCCTAGGAGGTAGAGGTTGCAGTGAGCTGTGATTGCATCACTGCACGCCAGCCTGAGTGATAGAGGCCCCATTTCAAAATAAAATAAAAAAATAAGGACTGGGGGCTGGACACGGTGGCTCACGCCTGTAATCCCAGCACTTTGGGAGGCCGAGACGGGCAGATCACGAGGTCAGGAGATCGAGACCATCCTGGCTGACACGGCGAAACCCCGTCTCTACTAAAAATACAAAAAATTAGCCGGGCGTGGTGATGGGCGCCTGTAGTCCCAGCTACTCGAGAGGCTGAGGCAGGAGAATAGCGTGAACTCGGGAGGCGGAGCTTGCAGTGAGCCAAGATCGCACCACTGCACTCCAGCCTGGGCAACAGAGTGACACTCTGTCTCAAAAAAATAATAAAATAAAATAAAATAAAATAAAATAAAATAAAAATAAGGATTGGGAATTAAGGAAAGCTGCATGGAGAACCCAGCACCAAGGAGCAACCTGAGTTAGTCCCTGAAAGAAGTAGTGTGGTTTCCAAAGACTGAGCTGGGGAGAGCGTGTTCCAGGCAGAGGCAGGGCGTGTGGGCAAAAGTCTAGAGGTGGACAGGGCCAGCAAGTCTGGTGGCCCAAGCTGGAGGCATGCGAGTTGAGGCTTGGAGGGGCGGACTGTGCTGTTCCTGCCCCTCACTGCCTCTGCAGCCCCCAGTCACCTTCCCTGGCAGCCCACCCATCCCCCATCCACCAGAGCAACGAGTGGAAAATGAATGAGTCTGTTTATGAAGCCCATAATGTTGCCAGCAACACAAGGCACTCAGCGGAGCCGCTCGGCGCCTCTAATGGGATATTATTTATGTCATTTTCCTCCTGGCGCTGGAGCCATTACCACCCGGAATGGTGCTCCGTCACCCTCCACTCCCCCAGTGATGTGCCAATGTCATGCTGAAGGATGAGCGCTGCAGTTGTCATGGGCAGCACCTCACTGCCAGCCTCTGGACCTGAGCTTCGGAGAAGTGGCAGGGCAGGGGGGTGACGGGCAGCCCCCTACACCCTGCCAATATGAGGCCACTGGGCGCACGCCCGCCAGTGGGATCTAGCTTCTCTTGGGTTGCCGTTGGTGCCAGCCACCCTGCCAGGTGCTGAGAATCCTCCCATGGCTCCTCATTACCCTGCAGACAGAGCCCCATATTTCCATCTGTCAATAAGCCCTCTGGACTTTGGCCCCTGCCCACCTTCCCAGCCTTAGCTTGGCCTCTTGCGTGTAAGTTCTGTAATCAGACAGGCCTGGTCTCGTGTATCGTCCCAGATTGACTCGATCCACCTGTCCCCTCTTGCTCAATGAAGAGCCCGGCTGCTGTCTTTGGCTCTTCTTCTAGTCCAGCTGCCTCAGTTTCCCCCGGGTGAGGACTAGCCTTCTGCAGACACCCCATCAAGCCTGTCAAGCTGCAGCAGCTGACCCCCTGGGTCCAACTCGATCTGAGGGAGGCTCTTTCCACCACTTTCACATTCAGATAAAGCACCATGCTTAGGGCAGGGGATCAGGCTTCCCTAGTGGCTTCCTGGAGGGGCTGAGTAACAGCACTCCTTGCAGCAAATCAGGAACATTGACAACCATGAACCAGGAAGGAGCCGCAGACAAATGGACTATTCCAAAAATGGGAGGTTCCACATGGCTTGCGTATCTGCCACTCCAAGTGACCCAGCACCCAGTTGCATTGGCTCAAAAAGGTATGTTTCTACGGCCAGCTCAGAAACATAGCTCTTTGTGTTTGCTTCCTATTCTTCTCTATCTGCCACCCTGTCCCCCTTATTCTTGCTGCCTAAGAATTGCACCTGCCATAAAATATGTACACTTTGCTCCAGACTTTGTGTTTTAGGAAACCCAGGCTAAGCCATCTGGTTCAATCCCAACTTCATCACTTATTTGCTGAAAGATCTGAGACCAGTTAATGAACCTCTCTGAGCCTCAGTGTCCTCAGCTATAAAATGGAGGTGATCATCATCCTCACCTCACAAGGTTGTTGGAAGTACTCACTAAAATCAGGAATGCTTCCATTTCCTCCACTTCGACACAACTTCCCTTGCATCAAACACTGGCATGTACTATTTTCTTGGTCAAGAACACTCTCAATAACAATAACCTTGTTCATCCTCATGTTTACCTTACACACCTCCTTCTGGGGAACAGTCCCTCTCCCCAGGATGGGTCAGGGCACCTCTGCTAGACCCCACAATGCCCTCTGCTTCTGCCTTGATTTCACTGAACATTGTACTGTATTTACTCATGTATCTGCCTCTGTCGTTAGACTGAAAACTCCATGAGGGCAGGGCTGTGTGTTTTGCTCACTGTTATACCCCTTGTACTTAGCACAATGCCTGGAATATAGTATGCAAGCAAATGAATGAATGATCTTATTTAATTCTTGCCACAACTGTGTTGTAGGGATTATCTCCATTTTGTTTTCTGATTCATCAATTTCTGCTTTTGTCTTTTAAAATTCCTTCTCTCCGTTTTCTTTTAATTTACTTTGTTATATTTCTAGTATTTACTTTGTTATATTTCTAGTATCTTGAACTGAAATTTTAATTAATTTATATTTAATCACTCCTGCTTTCTCATAAGTGCATCAAAGGCTATAAATTTCCCTCTGAATACTACTATGCCTGCATGCCATCAGTTTGGAAATGACATACTCTCATTGCCTTTCACTTCTAAATGGCTAGTATTTTACCTCCTACAAATATTATTTCCTACAAATAAGGAGACTGAGAGTCAAAGGGGTGAAGTGACTTGCACAAGGTCATAGAGTGAGAAAGGAGCAGCACTGGGATTTGAGATCCCATGCACCCTTTACCCAGGTTCTCTGACTGGTAACGTCTTGCAAAACTATAGTACAGTATCACAACCAGGTTATTGACTGACTGCTGTAGTCAGTCTGGGCTGCTATAATAAAGTACCATAGACTAGGTAGCTTCAGCCACATTAATTTCTCGTAGTTCTGGAGGCTGGACGTCTGAGAATAGTGTGTCAGCGTGGCCGGGTTCTGGTGAGAGCCCTCTTCTGGGTTACAGACTGCTGATTTCCCATTGTGTCCTCATGTGATGGAAACAGCCAGCTAGCTTGGGCCAACCTGTGTCTTCGTCTCACAATTCATTAGTTTTGGAGTCCAGGTCAAGACATTTTCCTTCTCTGAGCCTCCATTTCCTCACTCATAAATTGTGCATTATTGCAAAATAATGAGAACTCAAACAGTAATGAGTGTGAAAATGCCTGGTGCCCAGTAAAGTTGCTCCAGCTACTGTTTCCCCTTCTGCAAAACCAGGAGGCAACACCAGAAGATCTCTTAGTGGAGGGTAAGGTCCAACCCTCAGCTCCCATGAGATCTGCTGAGGCTGACGGGTGGTTCAGGTGTTCTCAAGCCCTCTCAGGCAGGCTCCCAGCCTCATCCAAACTTGTGCCAGCAACGTGCAGAAAGAGGGGGTCAGCTCAGGGGTTGAAAGGTGCGCCACAGGAAAGTTTTGGAGATGCTGACCATCAGTTACCCAAGCACAGGGCTGTGTGCACAGCCTGTCTCTGCCCTGCGATTCCTCCCTCACTGACTGTGGCATCCTGGTGAGCTCGGCCAACAACCTCCCACGGAGGAAGAGCTTGGCCAGGGGATTCAGGCAGCTTGGGCTTTAATATGAGCCCTGCCCCCTGGAGCTGGCAGAACTTTGGGCCTTGTTTTCTGCATCTGTGAAATGGAGGTAATGAGTTGCAACTCACGGGGTCCAACATAAAGGTCAGAGAGAAGGAATATGAGAAATGTGGTACGTAGCAGGTATCTACAATCCCAGGTGGATCCTAGGGGCACTGTCTGCCTGTTCCCACACACACTTAGGGGAGGTACTTTGGAGAAGCCAATCACGGAAGAGGGTCCTGACTTCAGGAAACTCACACGACTGGGGAGGTGGCAAGGCTGGAGGGGAAACCCTTTGGGCTTGGACGCAATAGTCTTGGGTTCAAACCCTACGTGATCTTAGGAGAGTTGCTTAACTTCTCTAAACTTCAGTTTCCTCATCCATACAATGGAACCTAACATTCCTCTAAGACAGAGCTTCCAGTAAGATAATAGGGTTGAAGGTGCTGCATAAACTATAAAGTCCTGTTTATAAGATGTTGATCTCGTTGGCCAGGTATGCCAGAGCATCATTGAAAACAGAGCAGGTCCCCTTGAAGTGCTAAGATAAAAAGGCGGGAGGATGTTGACTGAACCCCCTCAGGGTACCAGGCTCCTTCTGGAGGTTTCACTTAGAATTTTTCCCCCTATGAGTGGCAGGGCTTGATACAGAGTAGGGACTCAGGGGTTATTCTCATCTCAGCCTTTTCCATGTTTTACATAAAGGAGCCTGCCCAGAAAGGTGAAGTGACTTGCCCAAGGTCACACCATTGGGTGGTAGAGGAGCTGGGATTTTCACCCATCAGGATAGGTGAATGGCTGGGGGATTTGAGGGTCAGAGATATTTCAGGAGGGACCAGGGACATAGGCCCTGAGTTTTCGTCCCCCTGCTCTTCCCTGGAACCCTCTTGGAGACCAGGGGTGGGCAAGACAGGCGGCCTCTGCCCATCAGCAGGGAGTGTGGGTCTGAGTGCCATGGTCAGCACCCAGTTCCCCCCTTGACATTCTGTATAAGCTTCAGCATCTCCCACCTGAAATATCAGCCCCCTTTTAGCTACCCTTTCCGCTTCCTGTCCCCACATCCAAGCCACCTCAGACAGACATGTTAAATCCCAGTGGGCCATGCCCCACCCCTGCTCGAAATCCTTCAGTGGCTCCCACACCTCTGGGACAGGGTTCAAATTCCTCCCTCCAGCATTTAAGTATCCCCTGATCTCACCCCCCTCCCTCCCCATCTCCTCTCCTTCCTCATCTCCTACCCTAGACCCACACACACACACACACACACACACACACACACACACAAGGATCCTGCAGCTCCTCCCACACCTTGTGCCTTTGCTTCTGCCATTTCCTCCACCAAGAACGCTGGAGCTCCAGGATGCCCAGCTCCTGTGCTGCTGCTTCTGAGACTGTGTCCTTGACCTTCCACAGCAGGATCACTTGCTCCTTTCCTGCGGACCCTCGGCACGTGGTTTCTTTCTCCATTAGAGCACTTGCTTACTTGCTTTCATTCTGGGCTGTGTTGTAGTAGTGATCGCAGTTCCGTGGCCATCGTCCATGGAGCTCCCCTGGTCGCCTGCGCTGTGCTAAAGCACATTTGAATGCAGGGTCTCCTTGCTCCTTGCAACCCCTTTGACCATCCCCACTTGACAGATTGAGAAACAGAGGCTTAGAGGTATAGAAATCTCTCCCAGGGTCACACACCAAGTAAACTCAGGCATCCTGACTCTGATCAGTAATCGTAATTCCACGATTGCACCACTTCACTGCAGATCCCCCCACTTCAAAGGGGAGGCTGTGCGGTTCATTTAGATTCCACCAGCACTTAACCCCATGCCCAGAACAGGTAGCTTCATTTATTCACCTCAATGTGTTTTGAATGAAATATTAGATAATAAGAGTGGATGAGTGGATAACCACATTCTGTACTTTATTGAGCACCTACTACGTGCTGGGCACTGTTTTAGGTGCTAGGAATAGAGCAGTAAACAAAACAGGTACAAATCTCTGCCCTCAGAGAGCCTAGTGTGGAGAATCAGTCTGCTGGAGAGAAACAGACAACAACAAAAAAGTAAGTAAATCAATTTTCAAGCATGTCAGAAGGTGACAAGAGCTCTGGAGAGAAATAGAGTGGGGATGGAAATGAGGGCAGGAATGTGAGCCTCAGGTGGAGTCCACAGTAGAGGGCGAAGGTCCTATTTTGGGGTCCTCAGGTGCAGTTCACAGTAGAGGGTGAAGGTCCTATTCTGGGGTCCACCGGGGAAGGTGATTGAAGAGGAGGCGCTCTCCAGCCAGCGGGTGAAAGGACAGAGTCGCAGAGTGGCTGGGTGGAGGGTGGGTGAGGCCAAGGTGAAGTCCCACTCCCTCCTCCCCTACTCTCCCTTACCCTCACTCTCCTTACCTCCCTGCCTGGTGTCTAACAGGCTCAGAAAAAATGGCCCAGGGGAGGAACCATCCAACCTCCCTGCCTCGGCACTAAAAGTAGCAGCGTGATGGGAAATGGTGGCGCCGCGGAATTACCGCTTTCTCATTGGCCTTGTTTATGGTCCTCACTGTCTTCACTCCTGCCCGCCAGCCCACGGCTGGGAGGGAGGGAGAGGGGGCTGCTGGCTGCCTGCCTGGCACATGAGGACCTTGGGGACAGCATCCCCGAGAAGTGGGGTGGGCTCTGGGACCTGGATCACTGGTTTTCATCTGGCAGCCCCAGTGCTAAGATCACCTCCTCTAGGAAGTTTCAAATATCCCAGATTTACTCAAGGGGAGTGGGTGTAGGAGAGGGGACTAACCTTTACTGAGACCTCTGTGCCAGGCATTTCATGCATCTAATTTCTTTCAATGCTCACAATCATCCTATTGCTCCACTTTAAAAATAAGGAAACTGAGGCTCAGAGAGGTTAATTAATGGACCCAAGGTCACGCAGCAAGTTAAAGAGATCAAGATCTGAACTCTGGTTAGTGTGATTCAAAGATCTTCACTTTTCCCTCCAGACCTCTGAGCTCCAAGGTCACTTTTTATCTCTCTTACATCTGTTAGCAAAGTCCAGCGCAAATCATCAGTAGCTGCAGGCAGGGTAGAGTAGTGGTTAATAGCTTGGGCTGTAAGACCAACCAAGCCTTAAGTCATACTTGTGGTTGTGCCTCATCATAGGTCTGAGACCTCACGCAAGTCTGTTTCCCTTTCTGGGCCCCAGTTTTCCCGGCTGAAAGGTGGACTAATAATAACCTTCTTGTTGATAAGGGTGGATGAGATTCCAGGCAAGAATGTCTTTGGAGAAGGCCCTGTTTAAAGACAGTGTAGTTGTGGCATAATCAAAATCCAGGAGAGGGTTAAGAAGAAAGAAGCTTTTATTGTTCCAGCAGCAGCAATGTCTTTGCAGCAAACTTCACCTGTTTACAGTCCATTAGAAGCCATTATTGCTGTGTCTGGGGCAGATGCACACCCCTGACCTTGACGCGTGTCTGACAGCTCCAGGCAGCAATCTACGGAGCAGGAGTCATTTTGGCAGCATTTAAAGGGCCACAAGGGGCTGAGGGCCTCTTCCAGAGCCCTTCTCCCTCCCAACTCCTGGGCCACGGCTTCTGCCAGCCAGAAGACTGAGGAAGGTGCTCAGCCTCGATTCCAGGTGCTCAGATATCCCCCAGCTCTCTTGGGGGTCTCCAGAACACCACCTTGAGTTTGCAACCTTAATAGGTTAACTGTGGTGAGGAAAAAACACATAGACAGCTAGGGCTGCAGGGACCTCAGAGGAGATGAATCCAATCTGGCCCTTGCATCCAGAGAAATGAAGGAACATGCCCAAGGTCAGAACAAGACAGCCAGAATAAGAATGGAGCTCCTAGGACACCCAGCCTAGGCTTTGGGACATTAATGATGGGAATTTCAGGCAATGAACAGTGGCTGTTGGCAGTAGGGTTGAGCAGAGAGAGAGTAGAGCTGGGCACTTAGTTCATGTTGCATAGGCAGCTGCTACCTCTGGCTTCAAAAAAGGCAGAGGCTGGACATGGCTGGCTCCAAGCCAAGCTTCTTCCCGCCAGCTCCAAGGTCTGTGAGAGACAGGGAGAGAGGCCCTGACAGAGGGAGGAGCGGTGGCTGCAAGATTCAAAATCAGCAAGTTTGTCTCAAAGCCCTTGTCTCCCCAACTCTTATTTTGGGCCATTTTATGGCTTTTCTCCAAAGCATTCAGTGCCCCTCAGGCTTTTTTCTTCATTCCCCTTCAACAAACTACTTGCAGGGAAAAAAAACTAAAATGTCATTTATACTCAAGGGTAAATGACCGACAACAGCTCTAAGGCAATACTCCCTGCCTTAGAGATGCTCTCTCACATTTTTTAGCAGGACTTCCAAAAGCAAGCAAGAAGAGAGCCACACATCTCTCCTTCCTATCCTAATTATCTCCCTTCTTTCACCAGTGAACTCTTACCCTTCATACCTTCACTCAAAAGTCTCCTCCTATGGGAAGCCCTCCTAAGTGCCCCAAGCTGAACTGAGTCCCTCTGCTATACACGCGCACAGAACTGAGTTCCTTCTCTTCAGAAACCTTTGTCTTTGAAGACAGATCATTTGATGAATATCTTCACCCTTACTAGACTATGAGCTCCCTAAAGATGCCATTTTTTTGCTCTCCAGTATCTCCAGGGCCTACTAAAGTCTCTGGAACAGAGTAGATGTTCAATGAAGATCTTTTGAATGAATACATGAATTATTGCATGAGTGAAAATGGAGATATCTATAAAGTCTGGGCTCTGCCTCCATTCCATGCAAAACAACCTCTCAGCCTCCTTAAAGCAGTAACTCTCTCAGGACTAGTAGATTCTGTTGACACCGCATTCAAACCCCCTCCCACTGGCAGGCACACCTGTCCCCCTGTTGCTGTAGGCTTCAATGCCCCCTCAATGGCTGCTCCCTTCTTTGTAGCATCAATCTCGGCTGATGAGGGTCACCTCTTCTGGGAGGTTACACCCTTGTTCACCCACCCTGCATCAGCCCATAGCCAGCTATGGCTGACAAGGGGGTACAGAAGGCAACTCCCTTGTTTCTAGGTAGGGACAACTCTGTGGTGTAACTTATGCTCCAAACCCCCCTTGGATTAGGCCAAGGACAGACTTTACCCTAAACAACATCCTTATTTGTCCCCTTCCCTCTCCTGCTTCCCTCTCTCCTTTCCTTGAGAGCACTTTCTCAATAAACCCTGTGCACAGAATTCCTCTGAGGCTCTGCTTCTAGGACCCTGACCTGAGATAGGGACTTCCCAAGTCTTCCATGGGCTCTAGATTAACAACTTTTCTCTACTGGGAAATTAATATTTATTAAGCTCCTACTGTGTCCCAGGGTACACAATGGATACTTTACATTTATCATTTAATGATGACATAGGTATTATTATTATCTCCAGGCTACAGAAGAAGAAACTGAGGGCCAGAGAGAATCCTACAACTTACTGAAGGTCATAGAGCTGAAAAATAATGGAACAGGGATTTGAACCCAATTCTAGCGAGTGAGGGAATGATGGCAACCTGTCACTGTAATACAGGGTGACTATAATTGTAACAGCACAGAAGAAAGTGAAATTGACATTGTCAGGAGTGGGGAAGATGGTAAGGAAGACTCTTCAAAGGAGAAACAATTTGAGCCTTGAATCTTGAAGAATGAATGCCTTTCAGGCAGAAAAAGGAGAGGAAGGTCCTGCAAGACAGAAGGAACAGCATGTGCAAATGCAAGGAGGCAGAAATAAGCATTTATTTCAGGTGCTTTTGGTAAAGATTGTGAGTAACATTGAGGGATACACTGAAACCAGATCCTTAAAGATTTTGATGCTATGGTAAGGAAACTGGACTTTGTCCTACAGGACATTGAATGCCTACAGGATGTTGGGTTTTAAGCAGAAGAGTGGCATGATATATTTCCATTTAGGAAAATTATTCTGATGAGCAGGATGAAAGATGAACTGGAGAAAAAGGCTGGAGCCCAGGTGGCTATTTAGGGGAAGGGGGTGAGGTTGTATTTTAACGCTATAGGGCTAAAAAAAAAAAAAGTAGGTGAATTGTGAATTTAAGAGAGAGTGGTTTAGGAGATAAAAATAGCAGGTGTGAGATGCTGGACTTGGGAGATGAGGGGGAAGGAGGAGTCTTGGATAATGCCCAGGTGTTTGCCTTGAGTGGTGTCACTTGCCATAGAGAGCAAAAAGGGCTTGCTTGGATATTCTAACCTAGACTAATTTTGGACATGCAGAATCTGAGGTTTTCTCCAGGGGATGCTCTTCAGGAGGCAGTAGATAAATGGTCCAGCTTTCCTGGGGCTCAGGAAGAGGTGGGAGTTGAGGTCCTGAATCAAAAACTCTGATTGGCTCTTTGTGACATCATAGAAATGGGGAGTAGTGTAGTAAAAGAAGCCTTTGACCATAAAAATATGGAAGGTAACTTGTCCAAACCAGTTTTTCATGTTGAACTTGCTGTCCCAGGTGAGCTTGCTAGAATTGAATTCTTTCAAACTAAGCTCTTTGGACTTTTAAAAAAATTATTTAGCATCATGAGCTTCATGTTGCCAGGCCCCATCAACCCTGTATCCACACCCCCACCACACACACATTGCCTTTCCAAAAAAAGAAAGAAAGGGGGAAAAAAAAAAAGGTGGAATGGATGATTTGGGAGCTGAAAACCTCCAAATGGGGAGGTTATATTCTCGAGACAGCAGCATCAATCACCACATTTTCATTATTAAGTAACATCGCGGTATGCTGGGCTGATTCTGCACCTTATCTGAACCTAGCAGCTGTGCCCTAAATTCCAGCCGTGGCGCCTGTCTGCAGGAATTCAGTTGCCTGTGTTTAAAATGAGTGTTAACATCTATCATTTCCCCACACCAAATGGTTTTGTGTCGGTGGTTGGCAGTGCTAATCTGTCACCAGGGTACTCCACTGCCCGGCTCGATACCCTCTTCTTCACTGTTGTGGGGAGAGGGACGGGAGGCCCCCAGGATAGGGGAAATGTCACTGTGAGGACAATTGCAACATTTGGGACTCTTTTACAGAAAAGGCAGGGGGGAGAGGGAAAGCCATCTGTGTCTGTTGCAGATTCTGACTTCCTATCCCACTGATTTTGGGCACTCAGTGGTCTTGCCTCGTTCATTCTTTGGGTCAGTGTAATAGTTGATGGGACTTTTCTGCAGAAGACGTCAGAGCGTGGCTCTGTCCGTGGTGCTGAATGGTATTGGCGCTGTCTGTGGTGCTTCTGCTCTAAGGGTGCAGAATCACAGCATGTGTGTGCTGAAGAGGACCTTAGACCATCTGGTCCGGTTATATCTCAGCCTCTTAGGCGAGTCATAAACCTTTTAGGATATAAACAATCTCATGGGTCTTTTACCAAGAAAAATATTTAAAACTCAAAATTTTGCTCATAAATACCAAAATTAGCCCTCTATTTCATGGGGTTCATGGACCCCTGGTTAAGAATCTCAGATATAACTTAATCTCCTTCTTTAACAGATGGAGAGTCTGAGCCTCAGGGAGGGGAGCTATTTGTCAAGATCTTGAGAGTGATAGGTGGAATTTGGGTTGGGGGAAGGGGTGAAGATATCAAAGGCAATGAGGTGTAGTTAAAAAATGAAGGAATTAAGAGCCAGGAAGACATGGGTTTGAATTAGCTCCACAACTTGCTTGGGGTAAGTTGATACACTCCAAAATTCAGTTTTTGACTGTGATAATAATATCTAGCTTGTAGGACTGCGATAAGGATTAGTGTTAATGGGAGTAGCATGCTATGGTGGGAACTGCAATGTACACCCAGATCCCCCTTCATAATAGAAGGGTTTATTCCACCATCTACTGGTAGCATCACTGGCAGGAAGCCATCAGCTGTCAGTCCCCTACAGGAGTTGCCTCAGCTGAAGAGAGTTGCTTGATTCAAGGTAACACCTCTTCCTGCGGTAGCCTGTATCCAACAACTGATTGATATGGCAATGTAAAGGCCCACTCCAACTCTGGACAACTCTGAAGTATCCCAGCTTCAGAACCATCTATAGGGATAGCTAAGGTCTCTATTGAGCTTGTATCACAACTCTACTTCTCCCTTTGCTCAGTCCCACTTCCTTCCCTCTCATCCGCAGGTATTGCGACTAACAGCATGCCATGATAAGCACCCCACATGCTAGTCTCCATCTCCAAGTCCACCTCCCAGGAAATCCAATCTGTGCTATATGACTAGAGCAGTTCCTGCTAGTTAGAAGGCTCTGGGGTGTCTTCCTGGTGTTCTTGCTTTACATTGATTTGAGTTTAGAAACCAGGACTTCTGACTCCCAATCAAGGGTTTTCCCAGGACAAAAAGCTATTCCTTCCAGTCTTTCCATGGCCCTAGTCTCTCCTCTTCATCTGCTGGCTTAGTCCCTCTCAGAAGGAGATGATACTTGGGCTGTCAGAAGTTTTTTAGTCCAATACTCTGCCTCTAGGTAGCAGAATACTTCAAACTAACAAGGCAGAAATTCATAGGCTACTTGACAAAGTGTCATTCAGGTAATCCTCCCCACCCCCGATTCCTGCTCCACCCTGGAGATGCCCCCTCCCCTTCAATATCCACTCAGTCCTCAAGAGATGCGTGTGCTGTAGCAGCAATACTGGACACGCAATACTTGCCGCTAGCAAACTCACATATTCAACATTCATTCAGTGGTTGGTGAGCAATACTGTATTGCTCATTGGTGAGCAAGGCTCTGTGTTCTGGGGAAATGGTATCTAGTCTTGTCTTAGGGGGCTCCAGGAATAGAAACTCTCACTCATTTAGTCAGCCACTCAACTAATACTTATGGACCCAGACCCTCTATTGTGCCCTGTGGAGATAATGGTAACCAAGAAAGATGTGATCTCTGCCCTAAAAAGATCACAGCCTGGCGCCTCCCATTCCGGTAGGTTTTCCCTAGTGTTTTATTCCCCCTCAGTTGTCAAGGAGATCTTCCTTCTACTAATCACAATCCCTCTGGCTTTGATTTAAATTCATCATATGGTTGTTTTCCCATTCAAGGTGGCTCTTATCTCACCTTTAAAATGGTTTCTACTTCTCTGGCCTTACATGTTTCTCAGCTTCTCCTTTTTTCAAACCAGAATCATTTTCTTAAGACAACTTTAGTTTGAATCAGGTGGACAGTAAAGAGGCCAAGGTCAGAAGGCCATTCACTCCATTGGTTCATTGGCATAACTTGGTGACCAGATGGTGCCTGCTCCTAATCTTTTCCATCTTCCAGGCCCAAACCTAGAGGGTGGGTGAGACTTCCCAGCTCTGGTTAGAAGCATCATTTTACTTTATGAGGTCCTGCTTTGCTTCATACCCCTCTGCAAAAAGTAATTGTACTTCCTATGTAAAGATAGGAAAACAGAAGCACAGAGCTGGGAAACGACTTGACCAAGGTCATACTACTCACCTGCAGTTGCAATTCTGCCACTTAAATAAAAGTGACAGATTGACACATACAAACATGCAGACAGGAAGAGCGAGTGGCAGATAAGAGAGGCAAAGACAGGGATAGAAAGAAATATTGGTAGGGGACAGAATGAAAGAGAGAGAGAGGAAATGAAAGAGAGAGAGAAAAAATTCAACCTAAATGATGACTTCTTTGCTTTCCTGAGGCATTTATCTTTCATTTGACCTTAGAAGAGTCTATTTGTGTAGAGATTTTAAATTGAGAATTTTTTTCTTTTTAAAAAACATCCCTGTGCAGTTAGCACAGTTTTATATTACTTTCTATTCATGCCAGTGGCTTCAGTATTTATTCTCCTCCAAAATCACTGAATTGGAAGGGACAGAGTGAAAGTCATTTGGCTTTTTGTGTTTGTTTGGATTCAGAGCCTGAGGCCCAAGGGGAAGGGTGGGGGCTGGGTCAGTGCATCGGGCTGAAAACTGGGGAGATGGGGGATGCCCAACAGTGTTGTGAAGCATCTGACTTCTGTCCAAACCATACTGCATCCTGGGTTGTCAGCTCTGAAGTCCTTGGGGGTGGGGAGGGAGGCTGGACAGGCCAGAGCCATGAATCTTCTGGCTCCCCAGAGCCATGAATTAGCCATTCAGCATCCTGGAGTTGGTGCCCAAACTGGATCTTGAAGTTTATGGCAAATTGAAAGTCACTGTGGCCAGGAGGTCTAGTTTGGGTCTGGGCATCTATGTGATTGCCTGGGTATGTGTCCCAACTTCACCACTTACTGGTTTCACGGCCTTAGACCAGTCCCTTTACCTCTCTGGGCCTCGGTTGTTCTCATCTGCAAAATGGGATTGGTAAGAATCATCATCTCCTAGGGCTGGTATGAAGATTAAGGAAGTCATTGCTCATGAAGAGGTTGGCACAGTGCCTGGCACTCAAGAAAATATCTGTGAGTTGAATGAATATAGTTCATGCACTTGCATGAGAATTCTGCAAGAAGCATCATGGAGAGGTGACTCCACAGGACATAGGCTCTGGAAACAGAGAGACCTAGGTTCAAATCTGTTGTTGATGCCTGAATTTGTATCCTAGCTTCACCAGTTACTAGCTGTGACTTGTATCAGTCAGTTTACTTTTCTGTTTATTCATATTTAAAAGAGATGATAATAATACCTACCTCATAGAGTTGCCAGGAAGACTAAACTAGAACACAGAGCTTAGCAAGGTGCCTGGCATAGTGTAAGAGCTCAGTGAATGTTAGGAAATGAAAGTTAGTTAAAAACAAGCCACAGCCCATGCATAGGAATTCACAAAGCAGAGAAATGCAGTGGCAGGCTTTGCAAACAGAGGGAATAGCAGGTGCAAAGACTCGGAGGCATGAACAGGCACAACATGATAAGACTGGAGCCAATAAGGCATGGCTGAAGCAAAGAGTGAGTGGTAGGAGCTGTACTGCAAGTGTGGACAGGAGGAAAGCCATGCAGAGCCTTGAATGCCAGCCTAGGGAGCTTCGACTTCTCTCTGAAAGCTATGGAGAGCCACTGAGTGTTTTAAGTAAGGGAGGGACATAGTCATATTTGGACAACCTGAGCTCTTAGTCCCTATGAAGGCTTTGGCAATCAGGGCCAGATGTTTCATTAAGTGGATGGTAAAACTGAGACCCCATATGGAGAAGGGCTTTCCTGGTGCCTAAATTGAGGCTTCAGCAGGTCCGAGGTCAGAATCCTGGGCTTGGCCCAACCATCTCTCTTCTAGTATTCCTGGGCTTGGGTGAAGGCAGAAAAGACCCAGATCCAGGGACCCCACTGGAGCAAAGAAATGAGTGCTACACACAGAACAGCCAGAAAAATCCCCGTGGTAAACAACAAGCAGCATTTAATTAACTTGTAAGTCTGTGGGTCAGCTGGGTTGGCTTGGCTGGGGTAGCTCAGCTCTGCCCCCTCCTCCTCCCAGGACCAGCAGGCTAGGCTGGGCATGTTCTTGTGGCAGTAGCTGAGGCACAAGCAGGCAAGCCCAACCACGGAAGTGCTTATCAAGCCCCTGCTCGATGCACCTCTGCTCTCATCCCATTGGCCAGAGCAAGTCCCATGGCTGAGCAACGTCCACTCAAGTTGCAATGGGAGGGCACTGCAAAATAACATGGTAAAGAGTGGGAACATACAATTGGGGGCATGCTGGGGAGGAAGTAAGGAGTTGGATTCATCGTCATAGCTACCATAGGTGCTCTTTAGAGGCTTCCCAGGCCTCCAGGCCCCCTTTCTGCCCTCAGAAGTCCATTTGTCACCCTAGCCATGGCCCCCAAGAAGGGGTGGGAAGAAAGGCCACCAGCATTTCCTGAGCACGCACACCAAGCACCGTGCTACGTGCTCTGCAAGCCCATGTTCCTGAATGCACATGTCTTCCCAACCTCTCCTGCCATGCCTCTCTCCCCCTTGCCTGGCACTCTCTGGCTGGACTGCTAACACCAACATTCAAAGCTCCCTGTGTGCTTCGCACCTCAGGACCTTTGCTCATGCTGTGCTCTCTGACCGACACATTCCCCTCTCTCTTCACCCCCTCCAAGGCAAACTCCTTCACATCTCCTCTGAAATACCTTCCCTGGCCACCCTGTCTCAGTATCTTTTTATTCTTCACCACGGAAGCTCTTGTTTGTTGTCTTCATAGCTCTTATCACTGTCTGCAGTGGTGCATTCATGTATATGTTTGATTCATATCTCTCTCTAAAGACTGTAAGTACCATAAGGGAACATATCTCTCGGACCTTGTGCAGGGCCTTCCACACTGTAGACACATAGTAAATATTTATCAGAAGGAAGGAAGAGAAAGAGAGGGAGGGAAGAAGGAAGAAATGGAAGGAGAGAGGGAAGGAGAGATGATGAGGTAAGAGTTCTTCATGCCCATTTTACAGATGAAAAGAGGTTCAAATGCATGAAGTCCCTTATCCATAGGCCCACAGTCACACCATTAGGAAGCTGCAATGTAAACTCAAGCCTAAGAGACCCCTCTCTACTCTCCCCTCTATTCGCCCCTCTAGACCACGAATTATAAAAAATGATCTTAACCATACAAAACATAGTCAATCAGCCGGGTGCGGTGGCTCTCGCCTGTAATTTCAACACTTTGGGAGGCCAAGGTGGGTGGATCACAAGGTCAGGAGTTCGAGACCAGCCTGACCAACATGGTGAAACCCCGTCTCTACTAAAAATGCAAAAATTAGCCGGGCATGATGGTGCACGCCTGTAATCCCAGCTACTCAGGAGGCTGAGGCAGGAGAATCATTTGAACCCAGGAGGCGGAGGTTGCAGTGAGCCAAGATCATGCCACTGCACTCCAGCCTGGGTGATAGACCATCTCAAAAACAAAACAAAACAAACAAACAAACAAACAAAAAATATATATAGAGAGAGAGAAAGTCAATCAGGCCAGCCACAGTGGCTCATGCCTGTAATCCCAGCACTTTGGGGGGCTGAAGGAGAAGGGAGTCCAGGAGTTTGAGAGCAGCCTGGGCAACATAGTGAGACCTCATCTGTACAAAAAAAATTTTTTTAATTAGCCAGCCATGGTGGCATGCACCTGTAGTACCAGCTACTCAGGACGCTGAGGTGGGAGGATAGCTTGAGCCTGGAAGGGAAAGGTTGCAATGAGTCTGCCTGGGTGACAGACTATATCTAAGAACAAGAAAATAGAGTTAATCACATAACAAATGCTCATCTTCCCAGCACACAGCTTAAGCACTAAAACATTATGAGGAACTCTGAGGGCTCCTGATCTCCCCTCCTGGACCTCATTCCTCCTTCCCTGCCTCCACAGAAGTGGCCATCACCCAAAATGGGCTGTTCGTCATTTTCTGTGACCCTCGGCATGCCCCATGCTTATTCTCACCTCAGTACCTTTGTTCATGCTGCCTGGTACACCCTCCCTTCCCTTCCTTAAATCCTACCCATCATTCAAGACCCAGCTCCAGTCCCACCTCCTCCATGACACCTTCTCTGATTGATCCAGCCTGAGATCATTTCTCCTGGACAGTTCATTCTCATCTGCGCATTGAGATAAGTAAAAGTTAGGCTTGTTCAAATGCTTGTCGCTGATAAGTTGAGGCTGAAGTCACTGCCTTAGTCTGAACTCTGATCTGCACAACCAACAGCTTGCTCAAATGTTCCTTGTGGACATTTTGCAGCAAGTCTCAAACAAAATGCCCCATCAGCCCTCAAAGCCTGTTGCTCTCCCTGTTTTCTGGGCTCTTGGGGATCAGCCCCACTATCCACCCTCCTACTAAGTCCAAAGCCTGACTCCTCAACACACCCTCCCCACCAGTCAAGATACCATTCATCCCACTCATCCCAGCACTTCTGTCTCCTACTTCCTCTCTATCACCATGTCCGATGCCCTAGTCCAGCTGCCATCCTCTCTCTCCTACAAGACAAAAACCACCTCTGTGGTCTCCCCGCTTCCACTCTCGCACTCTTACAATCCATTTTCCAGACATCAGCCAAATAATCTTTTAAGAATACAAACGTTATGTTAAGTGAAATAAGCCAGAAACAGAAAATTAAACACCATGTGTTATCACTCATATGTGGAAGCTAAAAAATGCTAATCTCATAGAAGTAAAAATTAGAACACAGGCTAGCAGAGGCTGGGCAGGGTTAAGGGAGTGGGGATAGGGAGAGTTTTGTTAAAGGATACAAAATTACAGCTAGATACCAGGAACAAGTTCTAGTGTTCTATACCAGTGTAGGATGACTAGGGTTAACAATAATGTATTAGTTTCAAATAACTGCAAGAAGGATATTGAATGTTCCCAACACAAAGAAATGATAAATATTTGAGATGACAGATATGCTAATTACTCTGATCTGATTGCTATACATTATATGTATCAAAACATCACTAATGCCCCATAAATATGCACAATTACTATGTGTCAGTTTAAAAAAATTGTTTAAAGAATACAAACCAGATCATGTTGCACCTGATTAAACCCCTATGCTGGCTTTCTAGTGCTCTTAGAAAGAAACTAAACTCCTTATCATGGCCTACGAGGTCCTGCATGTTCTGGGCTCTGCTCATCCTTTGGCCTTATTTATTGATTTATTTTTGTAGAGACAGGGTCTCGCTGTGTTGCTCAGGCTAGTCTCAAACTCCTGGCCTCACACAATCCTCCTGTCTTGGCCTCCCAAGTAGCTGGGAGTACAGACGTGAACCACTGCACCCAACACATGGCCTCATCTTCACCACTCCTCCTTGCCCTGCTCACATGTGCCCTGAACCCCCAACCCCCCACACCCAGTAGACCTTGGCCACCTATGTCCCCTGCCTAGACCACTCTCTCTGGCTCTTTGCCTAGTTATCTCCTACCACCTCCACCACTAGGTCTCCACTCAAAAGTTATCTTCTCAGGTCAATGCAAGTCAAACTCCCATTATTATGTGCTAAAAGCCCAAGGGACCTCTTCTGTAAGGCACTTATCATTGTTGAAATTTGACATTTCTTTGTGTGATTCTTGGATTAATGTCTATCTTTTTCTCTAGGATGTGAGTCCCAAGACGGCAGGGACTGTGTGTTGTTCACTGCTATATCCTAAGATCTCCATCCAGCAGCCAGTAGCAGGCTCAAAACTATTTGTTAAATCAATGAATGAATAGAACTGCAGTAAATATGTGTGCAGAGGCACACTGCGTGAGGATCACAAGATTATGGAGGGGCAATTGGCAGGAATGGGGTGCTGATTAGATGGGGAGGGAGAGCTGGCTCCCATTACCCTCAATGTTTGCTCAGCTTCCTATATGCAAACAATACCCCAACCATGATGACCATGACCATGGCTCCCCTACATCCATGGTCTCCAGCCAGGCTGCTGCCTTCTTGGTCCTGCTGCCTCCTCAGTCCCTGGTAATTCTGGCACCTCCAAGAGAGGGGAAGGAAAGGGAAAGGAGAAAGGGAGAGGAGAGGGGAGAAGAGGATAAGAGGAATAAGAAAAAGAAGAGGAAGAATCTTCCATTTTCTCTCTTTTTTATTATTTTGAGATGGGGTCTCACTCTGTTGTCCAGGCTGGAGTGCAGTGACACAATCTCGGCTCACTGCAACCTCCAACTCCTGGGCTCAAGTGATCCTCCTACCTCAGCATCCTGAGTAGCTGGGAGTACAGACACGCACCGCCATACCTGCTAATTTTTGTATTTTCTGTAGAGATGGGGTTTCACCATGTCATCCATGCTGGTCTCAAACTCCTGGACTCAAGTGATCTGCCTGCATTAGCCTCCATTCTCTCTTGAGCCCACTCCAATCAGGCTTAATCCCCTACCACCCCTCAAAAACTGACTTGGCCGAAATCCCCAATGACCTCCAGGCTGCTCACCCGATGGTGACTCCTCTGTTTTCATCTTACTGGCCCCTAAAGCAGCAATAGATACAATTGATCATGTTCTTCTGGAAACACTTTCTCCACATGCCTTTGCCTGGTGCTCCTCCCACCTCACCAGCAGCTTCTTCTCTGTACCCTTCCTTGGCTACCCCTTAACTTCCCACCTGTTCAGTCTGGGGCCCCAGGACTCAGTCCTTGGTCCTCCTCTCCTCTTCATCTACTTTCACTGCTTTGGTGATATTATCTAATCTATGACTTCAAATATTAATGTCAGGCCGGGTGCAGTGGCTCATGCCTGTAATCCCAACACTTTGGGAGGCTGAGGAGGGTGGATCACTTGAGGCCAGGAGTTCAAGACCAGCTGGCCAATATGGTGAAGCCACATCTCTACTAAAAATATAAAAAATTAGCTGAGCGTGGTGGCATGTGCTTGTAATCCCAGCTACTTGGGAGGCTGAGGCAGGCAAATCGCTTGAACCCAGGAGGCGGAGGTTGCAGTGAGCCGAGATCGTGCCACTGCACTCTAGCCTGGGTGACACAGCGCAACTCTGTCTCAAAAAAAAATTTTTAAATTAAAAAATAATATATTAATATCATCTGTGCCCTGATGTGTCCTAAATCATAGCCCCACCCAGAGCCCCTCCTGCAGACCTCTAGATCTGTCCTAGCAGATCCCAGCGACCCATGGCATCCCTAGGCTTGATGTTTCCCTCCAGTCTTCGCCTCCATCTTCACATGGTGTTAATGTCTTCACAGCATCTTCCCTCTGTGTATTTCTCTATGCTCAAATTTCCCTCTTCTTATAAGGACACCAGTCATTGGATTAGGACCCACCCTAATCCAGTCTGACCTCATGTTAACTTTATTATATCTGCAAAAACCTTCACAGGTTCTGGGTAAACACAAATTTTGGAGGGACACTATTTAACCTGTACAGCATCCCATCTCACATCTCCCTGTGGAATGCCTCATAACATTTCAAACTTAAAATACCCAAACCTGAACCCCTGATTTTCCCCTTTCTTCCCCACTAATCCACTCATCCTTACCCTTCTTTATCTCAGTAAATGACTCCTTCATCCTTCCAGCCATTCAGGCCCAAAACCTCAGAGTCAGCTTTGACCCCTCTTTCTTTCACACTCCACGTTTAATCCAACAGGAAGCATTGCTTGTTCTACCTGTAAAATGTGTCTAGAACCTGACTTCTTCTCACAACCACCCTGCTCCAAATCTCCATCATCTCTTACCTGGGTCATTTGTAACGACCTCTTCATGGGGCCTCTAGCTTCCACCATAACACCCCTCAGACTGTCTACCACACACTGGCCAGAGAGATCCACTTGAAATCCAAGTCAGACCATGTCACTCCTCTGCTCAAGACCCTCCCATGTTAGTTTGTCAGATAAAATACAAGATGCCCAGTTAAATTTGAAGTTCAGATAAACAGCACATAATTTTTATTATAAGCATATCCCATGCGACATTGGGGACATACTTAGACGAAAATTTTTTTGTGTGCTTTATCTGAAATTCAAATTTAACTGGGCACCCTTTTATGGATTTTTTTTTTTTTTTGAGATTAGGTCTCACATCATTGCCCAGGCTGGAGTGCAGTGGTGCAATCAAGACTCACTGCAGCCTCAACTTCCCAGGCTCAGGTGATTCTCTCATCGCAGCCTCCTGAGTAGCTGGGACTACAGGCACATGCGACCACATTCATATTTTTTGTAGGGGTGGAGTTTTGCCATGTTGCTAAGGCTGATCTTGAACTCCTGGGCTCAGGCAATCTGCCCACCTCAGCCTCCCAAAGATCTGCAATTACAGGCATGAGCCACCTCGCCTAGTCGTCATCCTGTATTTTTATTTGGCAAATTCAACACTCATACTCCTGTGGCTCCCATCTCATGCAGAGAAATACCCAGAGTTCTTACAATGGCCTACTTCATGTCTTTCTGCTTTCCTCCTTTCTAACCCAGCAGCAGCCATGCTGGCCTCCTTCCAAACCTGAAATATACCAAGCTTACACCTACCGCAGGACCTTTGCCTGGCATGCACATCCCCTGAATAGTCATATGACTTCCTCCTCACTTCTTTCTGGCCTTTGCTCAAATGCCCCTCCCTAAGGCTTTTTCTGACTACTCCATGTACCCATTCCCCCTGGGTCCCTTTCAATATCTTTTTCTGCTTTATTTTTCTCCACAGCCCTTGTCATCTTCTAATATACCATATATTTTACTCATTTCTCTTCTTTATTATCTATCCCTTGATTAGAATGCCATAGGGCAGGGATTTCCATCTGTCTTGCTCACTGCTGTCTATGCAGACCCTACAGCAGTAACTGCCTTACAAGAGGAGCTCAACAAATACTTGTTGAATGAATAGCTTTCAGTTTCTTCATCTTTAACGTGGAAATACCTCTGTAATCATGGAGAGGTATTATGAGGATCTTGTGAGTTAATAAAAGTAAGGCGGTGCTTATTAAATGCTCCCTTCTAAACTAGGTTCCCTGCCAACTCATAGATTTGATAGGTGTATAGTTATGTCTACCCTGAGTCGTCTACCTTTGAAGTTGCTGCTGTCCTCCTAGCGGCAACTGCTGGAATTACAGACATAGTGCCCAGGGAATTACCAACCTGTTACTAGGGACCAAGCCTAGCAAATCCCCTTTAAAGGCTGGCACACATAAGCCCAGGACACCTGAACAGAACTCCCAGGAACAGAGCAGCCACCAACTGTCTCAAGGACCCCTCCCATATACCCAGGCCCACAACTGCCTGCTGCAGGCTTCCATATTTCCCAGAACCTGCCTCTGTTCACTCCTGAGTCTGGCTTTCAATTCCGTCTCACTGTCTGCCTTTGCCTTCATTATCCTCCACCTGCCATGGAGGGGTTAGTTAAAGTGTCAGGAGCGATGTCATTTACAGCCTCCTGTTGCTAAGCAACAGACCCAGGTGAGCCCCTGAACTTTTTTCTCAGCAGCTGAAATGTATCTAGTGGAGTGATGGGGGCCCTGGCTGAACTAGTTCATCACTTGGGACAAGCTGCCAGCCTGGTGGCCCTGTCCCTCTTGGGACCCAGACAGGACTGATCCAGGGCTCTGGGCTCCACTGTTTTCAGATTTCCCTAATTAATCAGTGCTGCCCGGAGCCTCCTGGGTGTCCAGCCCCAGGGAGCACATTCAGGGTGGAGATAATCAGAACTGGGCCTCCCTGTCTCAGTGTGGAGAAAGATTCCCAAACAGGTCATTATAATCTGGGATGGGGTGTCACATGAGGGAGACAGACTTGCTCTGCTTGCCAGGGAAGCTCCCCAGAGTTTCAAAGGATGAACGGGAGTTAATCTGGGAGTTGGCCTGGGACAATTGAGGGGAAAGGGCTTTCCAGGTGGGGACACAGGACGTGAAAATATCTGGAAGCAGGAAAAGCCCTGGCTCCTCCTTTCAGCAAGGGCTCCTACCTTGGAATGGTGGGAACAGTGGAGGGGTCTAGACTCTAGCGCCCACCCTGTGGCTAACTCTCTCTGTGACTTCAGTTCTGTCCTTGTTCCTCTCTGGATCTGAGTTTACAATGGGATGCAGGGAGCAGGGATAGGATGAAATCAATGTTTAACGAAGTACAACATGCATGCTGCTGGGGATATGCCCTAGGTTTGGAGGCATTCCGGGATCCAACTTTTTTGTTTGAATACTTTGAATTTACTTTAAGTAGTGCTAGAAAGAAATATATAAGTAGGCCAGGAGTGGCGGCTCATGCCTGTAATACCAGCACTTTGGGAGGCTGAGGCAAGCAGATCACTTGAAGTCAGGAGTTCAAGACCAGCCTGGCCAAAATGGAGAAACCATGTCTGTACTAAAAATACAAAAATTAGCCAGGCATGGTGGCACACGCCTGTAGTCCCAGCTAGTCGGCAGGCTGAGGCAGGAGAATCACTTGGACCTGGGAGGTGGAGGTTGCAGTGAGCCAAGATCACACCACTGCACTCCAGCCTGGGCAATAGAGCAAGACTCCATCTCAAAAAAAAAAAAAAAAAAAAAAATATATATATATATATATATATATAAACTAGTACATCATAACAAGTAATGTTTCATATTCCTTTAAAATACTTTAAGTTATTTTAAAGAAATATATTAAGTAACTAATAGTACAGGTGGTAGCTAAGGGGTGATCTGGGAATGCCCAAGATTCCAGACACACTAAAATCAGTCTGTGAAGGCTCTTTCTGCTCTGCTAGCCATACAAGGACTAACGCTACCCACTGCTCTTTGTCACTTAGCCACAGCGCCTGGGGCACCCCAGGCAAGATTATCGCCTTCATTTCACTGATGGGTCACTGAGGCCCAGGGGAGTCACTCAGCAAGTTTGTGGCTTGGGGAGCTGGGCTTTGAGCCTGTGCTCATTCCCCTTGCCACACAGACATCACTCACTTGTCTCCCCCAACCCCTACTCCCAGCATGGGTGTAAACTGAATTTTCACTGAAAGCATCCAGGAGCATATCTGCAAGGTCAGCCATGCTGGAGACAGTCTACCATGAAACTTTGGGCAAGGGGCTTCCCTCTCTGGGCCTTGGTTTTGCCATCTGTACAGTGGGAGAGTGCCCAGTGAGATTGGGTGAGAATCAGGGTTTTCTCCAGCTATGTGTTCTTGGAGTCAGAGTTTCTGAGAGCCCCTGAATGTCCAAGAAGCTGGAGGGACAGACAGGTGGAGGAGGAGGCAGAAACAGCCTCTCAGGCTTCTTGTTGTACAAATTGCTCCAAACTTCAAAGGGCCCAAAGGCCCGGAAAGTTTCTTCTCAGCATTGTCTTGGGCAAGATTCCTCCATCTTTCTGAGAGATCTGGCTTTGTTCAGGCCTGATTTATGGGATCTTCTGAGAATACTGCTTCCTCCCTGCTGCCCAGTATAGGTGCCTGACTGAGAGGATAGCTGTATTAGTCCGTTTTCACATTGCTGTAAAGAAATACCTGAGACTGGGTAATTTATAAAGAAAGAAAGTTTAATTGGCTGACAGTTCTGAAAGCTGTACAGGAAGCATGATGCTGGCATCTGCTCGGCTTCTGGGAAACCTCAGGAAACTTACAATCATGGCAGAAGGCAAAGTGGAAGCAGGCATCTTTACATGGTGGGAGGAGAAGCAAAAGAGTGAGGGGAGAGGTACTACACACTTCTAAACAACCAGATCTCAAGAGAACTCACTCACTATCACAAGGACAGTACCAAGGGGGATGGCGCTCAACCATTCATGAGAAATATGCCCCCATGATCCAGTCACCTCCCACCAGGCCCCACCTCCAACATTGGGGATTACAGTTCACTATGAGATTTGGGAAGGGACACACATCCAAACGACATCCGTAACCAACCATCAGATTGGCCTAGGACAAACAGCTTCCTGGGATGTAAGACTTTAAGTTTGTTTTTCTGTTTGTTTGTTTGTTTGCTGAGATGGGGTCTCATTCTGTCACCCAGGCTGGAGTGCTGTAGTGAGATCTTGGCTCACTGCACCCTTGACCTCCCAGGCTCAAGTGATCCTCCCACCTCAGCCTCCTGAGTGGCTGGGACTACAGGCATGCACCATCATACCCAGCTAATATTTTAATAATTTGCAGAGATGAGGTGTCAGTATGTTGCCCAGGCTGGTCTTGAACTCCCGGACACAGGTGATCCTCCTGCCTCAGCCTTCCAAAGTGCTGGGGTTACACGCACGAGCTACCACAACCAGCCAAGAGTTTAAGTTTTAAAACTGGGATGATCCCAGCCAAACTGGGATGATCCCAGCCTAACTGGGATGAGTTATGGCCTACCACCTCATGCAAGGCCTTGCTAAGAGAGTTACTCTCATCTCCTCCTGGAGTCCTCACAACAACCCAGAAGGTAGGGCTCATTGTCCCATTCTCCAGATGAAAAAAGCAGAGGCTCAGATGAGAAATGACTTGCCAGGGCCACAGCTGCCAAGTGGTGGAGCTGATTTTCAAATCCAGGTCTGGGGTTATGGGAGGTAAACGCACTTGATACAAAACCTTCGGTGGTCCAGGATTCTCAGCATTTGGATAGGATAGAATGGAAGCAGAGAGGAGGTGGGTGACTCTGACTCAGTATCAAGGCCCTTCTCTCTGGGGTTCTCTGTGTCAAAAATAATATTGTCCTTCTTTTCCATGAAGGTTTGAGACTTGGGTTATGGTGTCAGCCCCGCCCCTAACTTGTTGGGTAACCTTGAACAAATCACTTGCTTCTCTGGGCCTCAGTTTTTCCTAACTAGAAAATGAGAACATTATCTTGGATCCCCTTTAAGACTACATTGCTATAAAGGAGGCTTAGAGAGCAAGAGGTTGAATTGACTCTTTGCTTTACAGATGAGGGAAATTGAGGCCCAGAGAGAGAGGACTAAGTCTTGCATTTGCACTTGACTATGATACAGGAGAATGTGGTCAAAACTGAAAGAGAACCAGAGCCAACATGAAAAAAGATACAGAGAGGCAAAGAGATATACACAGAGAGAAGGAGGATGAGTGAGAGTCAACTGTTGACTTTGTTTGGTTTCTGGATCCAGCCATGCCTGAAGTCTACTTGGACTTCCTAATAATTAAGTCAATACATTTCTTCTTTTGCTTAAGCTAGCTTGAGTTGGGTTTCTGTCACTTACAATCCTAAGAATTTATATCAGTTTCTATGTCCTTCCATTGAGGGATCCAGGGATACGTGTATTAAGTAATTAATTAATTCATCCATTCAACAAACATTTATTAGCATGCAGTCTGTAGTAGATAATGCACGAAGGGCACAATGTGGATATAGCGATAAACAAGATACATTAGGGCCTCAAAGGACTCACAATCCAGTTGGGGAGGCAGATAGGAAAATAAATGAGTGCGATGGAGTGAGATAGAAGTCTGCAGAGAGAAAGAGAGACAGAGAAACCATGTATCAGAGAACGAGAGGGCGAGACACCCTTAGGGTGGCCAAACAGGCCAGCAAAGAGATGGAAACAGCGGTGTACCTCTCAGAAATGATGTAAAATGCGTGGGCGGCGGGGTGGGAAGAGGTGAGGGGGCAGAAAGAGGAGGAGAGATCTGTGGTTGGGGCCACAGTGGATTCAAAGGTGGATTAGCACCTGCTGTGTGTTTAGTCCTGGGTGGACCGGGGTATTTCCATAGTGAAGAAGACACGAGAGCAAGTTCTCCATGAGTAGGACATCCCAGGTTGGTAGGTGGTGCCCAAAGCCCACAAATAAGGGCACTGGGATATGATGGGGGCTGGGGAGAAGTCTGTCTGTTGAGATCCTAAGGGAGTGGTCAATTCTAACTGGGAAAAAGGATGTCAGTGAAATTTTCTTATGAATATCTATGTAAGGCCGGGTGCGATGGTTCATGCCTGTAATCCCAGCACTTTGGGAGGCCAAGGCGGGTGGATCGCATGAGGTCAGGAGTTCGAGACCAGCCTGGCCAACATGGCCAAACCCCATCTCTGCTAAAAATTTAAAAAAAAAATTGTATTGTAATCCCAGCTACTCTGGAGGCTGAAATAGGAGAATCACTTGAACCCGGGAGGCAGAGGTTGCAGTGAGCCAAGATCGTGCCACTGCACTCCAGCCTGGGCGACAGAGCAAGACTCTGTCTCCAAAAAACACAAAAATCTAGGTAAGCAGGGTCTTTTAAACAGAGGAGGGTGGGCAGAGATGGGTGGGGTTTGGGGCAAGATGGACAGGAACATGAAGCCATTGGCACAGCCAGTCATGTCTGGATGTCTGGGCAGCAGAGTGGCCCCAGGCAGGCAGACTGGGTGCAAATTCCACTCTGCTGTTGCTTCCTGTTGGTTTTCCTCAAAACAGATCCTGTGACAAGGATTTGGGTGCACATGGTTTATCTGGGAGGTGGTCCCAGCACGTTGAAAGAGTGGGGAGGTGAGACTGGGAAGAGAAAGAGGTCAATACGGGTGTGTTCGTGAGCAGGTAACTGGAGCTTATCCGGCTGAGGACTCAGAGAAAGGACGTGCAACATTGTCCCTGCGAGGGACGAGGAAGCGGGACTCCTCCCCATTGATTGAGGGCTGCTCCTGAGGTTTGAACTCCGTGACTTCTGGCCTGCCCCTGCTGGCTGAGCGACCTTCAGGAGGCCAAAGAATGCCCTCGGGTGAGGCATGTCCAAGAGCCGTCTACTGGTGACCCCCAGGAAAGATGAAAGAGGCAGCAGAGCACCAAAAGCAGCTGCCTCAGCTTCTTGCCGGCTGTGTACACTTAGCTTCTCTGTGCCTTGGTTTTCTTGCCTATAAAATGGGGCTGAAAATGGTACCCCACACACAGCAATCATGAGGATGTAAAATGCTTAGCACAGGGCCTGAGACATGGCTCCGAAAATGGCAGCTAGTTTGGTTTCTAGATAACTATGAGTAGCTCTGCATGGCTGGAATAGACAGTGCGGGTAGCAGGGGCAGCAAGAGTGGGCGGGGGTGGGAGCAGCAGTGTCACGGGGGGGCCTTGATTGTCAGCACAGGTAATGAGGTCTCAACCAGAGCATGGTTGACATGGTTTGGATTTGTGTCCCTGCCCAAATCACATTTTGAATTGGGAGAGGGGCCTGGTGGGAGGTGACCATATCATGGGGGCAGATTTCCCCTTTGCTGTTCTCGTGATAGTGAGTGAGTTCTCACAAGATGTGATGATTTAAAAATGTGTAGCACTGCCCTCTTCGCTCTTTCTCTCTCCAGCCACCATGTGAAGAAGGTCCTTGCTTCCCCTTCACCTTCCGCCGTGACTGTATGTTTCCTGAGGCCTCCCAGTCATGTCTCCTGTGAAGCCTGCAGAATGGTGAGTCAATTAAACCTCTTTTTCTCATAAATTACCCAGTCTCAGGTAGTTCTTTATAGCAGTGTGAAAACAGACTAATACAGTGGTTGAGGGATGCTAGGGAGGAGGACGAGTGAGGAGGGCTGCTGGGTGTGGGGCAGACAGAGACTAGGGGGTTCAGGATGGCTGCCATCTGGCCCACCAGGACATCCCTGAGTCTGGGTGTTCATTCACACAGTGTCTCCATGACTTCTCTGTACCAACCACTTTCCAGGGAGGTGGATCTCAGCCTGAAAAGAGCTCTTTGTGCAGGCAGGGAGATAATACTTGAGCAGAAATAATGATAAGTTGGGTAAAACCCATCAGAAAGCCATCAGAAGGAGGCACAGAGGGTGAAGGGAGCTCAAGGGGAGGGAAGCATCACTTCCAGATGGAGAGGTCAGGAGATGCTCTGGAGGACGGGTATTTAGGATCTTGGCCTTATGGGAAGGATGACAAGATAGGCAGGTGAAGTGAGGGTGAGGTCCAGCCTAAGCAAAGTCAGAGAGGTGGGAATGTACAGGAGGTGCTACAGGTGGGTCAGTGGCAGTGGGTCAGTGACTGCAGCCCCAAAACCCAGACCTCCCTGTGGAACTGTCTTTGGGATTAAAGTTATCTTGGCTTGTCCAGTTCAAGGCTATATTTGCGTGTAAAAGTTTGATGTGCATGGTGTAGGTGAAGCCATGGGGAAAACAGCTCATCCCCCTCCAAATGCCAACAATGTATATTAGCACAAGCCTATAGGAGTGTGTTGAGTTGGGTTCCCCAGAAGCAGACAAGGATATCTGTGCAGGTGGTGTATTAACAGAGCGCTCCAGGCCGGGCGCAGTGGCTCACGCCTGTAATCCCAGCACTTCAGGAGGCCAAGGCAGGTGGATCACGAGGTCAGGAGTTTGAGACCAGCCTGGCCAAGAAACCCCATCTCTACTAAAAAAAATACAAAAAATTAGCTGGGCGTGGTGGCAGGTGCCTGTAATTCCAGCTACTCAGGAGGCTGAGGCAGGAGAATCACTTGAACCTGGGAGGCGGAGGTTGCAGTGAGCCGAGATTGCCCCATTGCACTCCAGCCTGGACGACAAGAGTGAAACTCCATCTCAAAAAAAAAAAAGAGTGCTCCCAGTGAAGACTGGTGAGAAAGTGCGGGAGGCAGGACAGGAAAGGGAAGGAAGCCCAGTAAGATGCATTGGTTATTTATTGCTGCATAACAAATTAGCCCAGACTTAGCATCTGAAACAACAAGCAGTGATCATCTCAGTTTCTGTGGTCAGGAACCCAGGAGTGGCTTCACTGAATGGTTGTGTCTCAGGGTATCTTAGGAGTGGGCAGTCAAGGTGTTGGCTGGGGCTCAATCACCCCAAGGCTCAACTGGGAGGCCGGGCGTGGTGACTCACTCCCATAATCCCAGCACTTTGGGAGGCCAAAGCAGGCAGATCGCTTGAGATCAGGAGCTGAAGACCAGCCCGGCCAACATGGTAAAACCCCATCTCTACTAATAATACAAAAATTAGCCATGTGTGGTGGTGCATGCCTGTAATCCCTGCTACTCAGGAGGCTGAGGCACGAGGATCTCTTGAACCTGTGAGGTGGAGGTTGCAGTGAGCCAAGATTGTGCCACTGCCCTCCAGCCTGGGCAACAGAGCAAGACCCTGTCTCAAAAAATCAAAGGCTCAACCTGGGGAAGATCCACTTCTAAACTCACTCTTGTGAGTGTGGACAGGCCTCCAGTCCTCACTGGCTGTAGAGACATCAGTTCCCTGCCACTTCAGATGGCTGAAGTATCATGGCATATCATATAATATCCTATCATAGCCTATATCATATCATATCATGTCATATCATATCATATCATATCATATCATATCATATCATATCATATCATATCGTGGCAGCTTGATTGCCCTAGAGAGAGACAGCCCTGAAAGGGAGAGAGAGAAATAGAGGGCCACCCCAAGACAAAAGCCATAGTCTCTTTTTTTTCCTTTTTTTGAGATGGAGTCTTGCTCTTGTTGCCCAGGCTGGAGTGCAGTGGCACGATCTTGGCTCACTGCAAACTCCACCTCCTGGGTTTAAGCAATTCTCTGCCTCAGCCTCCCAAGTAGCTGGGATTACAGGTGCCCGCCACCACACCTGGCTAATTTTGTATTTTTAGTAGAGATGGGGTTTCACCATGTTGGCCAGGCTGGTCTTGAACTCCTGACCTCATGATCTGCCCACCTTGGCCTCCCAAAGTGCTGGGATTACAGGCATGAGCCACTGCGCCCAGCCCCCCATGGTCTTTTTATCACTTAATCTTGGAAGTGACATCACATCACAGCCTACACTCAAAGGGAAGGGATCACACAAGGGTGTGAGTGCCAGAAGGCAAGCCCCTTAGGGCCATCTTAGAGTGTACGCCTGCCCCAGTGAAACTTTCAGCAAAGTCCCAGCCTCAGCCACATCCCACAGGGAGCTCTGGAGTGTAAAACAGTCTCCAGGCAAGGAAACTGGGCTTTCACACTCCTGTCCCGGTCTGTTGTTGACTAAGTCCCCCAAGGTGGGGCTTAACAGCCAGGCATTTCAGGTTCGTTCCATGGACAAGGCAGCTCCAGTAGCTGAAGAACAGGCCTCCAACGAAGGTCACAGGCATGAACTCTTCTCTTACAACAACGCATGGCCAGGCACGGTGGCTCATACCTGTAATCCTAGCACTTTGGGAGGCTGAGGCAGGCAGATCACTTGAGGCCAGGGGTTCGAGACCACCCTAGCCATTATGGGGAAACCCCACCTCTACCAAAAATACAAAAATTAGCAGACCATGGTGGCCCACACCAGTGGTCCCAGCTACTCAGGAGGCTGAGGCACAAGAATCACTTGAACCCAGGAGGTGGAGGTTGCAGTGAGCTGAAGTCGTGCCACTGCACTCCAGCCTGGGCAACAGAGCAAGACTCTGTCTCAAAAAAAAAAAAAGCACACAGAGGTCGGGGGAAGCACCCCAAATGTAAAAGATCCAATGGGCTCTAGAGAGAGCATCAATAGTGTCCCCTTAAAAGCGGGTAATTTGGAAACATTTACCAACATCAAGAATGCCTGTATCCTTTAACCATCAACCTCACTTCCAGAAATTTCTCTTACAAACTCACTGAAGAAACAGCCTGAATATCCATTAGTAGGGTCTGGTTAAGTAAATTATGGTCTGTTCACATACTGGATTATTATACAGCTGTTAAAAGAACTAATATGGGCCGGGCATGGTGGCTCATGCCTGTAGTCCCAACACTTTGGGAGGCCGAGGGGGGGTGGATCATTGGAGGCCAGGAGTTCGAGACCAGCCTGGCCAACATAGGGAAACCCTGTCTCTATTAGAAATACAAAAATTAGCCATGTGGGGTGTCGCACACCTGTAATTCCAGCTACTCAGGAGGCTGCGACAAGAGAATCACTTGAACCCGGTAGGCAGAGACTGCAGTGAGCCAAGATCACGCCACTGCACTCCAGCCTGGGCAACAGAGCGAGACTCTGTCTCAGAAACAAACAAACAAACAAACCCTAACATGAAAGATCTCCTAGACACATCATGAAGTAAAAAAAGCAGGGTGTAAAATATTAACTGTATTGGAAACAAAGGAATTATTTGTGTATATCTGGACTTGCAAAGGAATGGGAATTTTCAGGTGAAATAAACAATACATTATTATTGGTGAAAGGGAGACTGACAGCCTGGGGTGGGAGGGAGATTTTTCATCTTATGTCTTTAGCAATAATTGAATATGTAATTGTGTGCAGTGGCACAATCATAGCTCACTGCAGCCTCGACCTCCTGGGCTCAAGTTATCCTCCCAGCTCAGCCTCCTGAATAGTTGGGACTAAGGTATGCACCACCATACCTGGCTAATTTTTAAACTTTTTGTAGAGATGAGGTCTTGCTGTTGCCTAGGCAGGTCTCAAACTCCTAGCCTCATGTGATTCTCCCACCTCTGCCTCTCAAAGTGCTGGGATAACAGGCGTGAGCCACTGCACCCTGCATTGCAATAATTTTTTAATCGATTTTTAAACAAAAGAGAGAGTGAATCTGGAAACTCAAGTCCCTAGAAGCCACACATATGTTTGTGACTCTTCCTGTCACCTGTTCAGTGCTATGGGGGCCCAGCAGCAGTGGTTTCTGACCCAGCCCAGAGTTGTCCCTGGGAAAACTGGTTTGCTTCAATGAGATTGTATTGCCTGTCTAATTTGTTTCTGCTTTGTGTTTTATAATTTACTCTGAAGATTATATTGTATTTTTTATTTTACTCTAAATTTTTTACAATAGCCGTTGGCCAAAAGCATTAATGATCTGATTTTGAGAGCTGTGTAAATTACCAGCCTGCACCAGCCCATTTCTCTCTTGCCCTGTCTAGGTTGTCCTCCCCAGAGCCCCCTCTGGAGATCTGAGGAGCAAATCCAACCCCATGACTCCCACCTCTGCTGAAAGCTGCCATGGCTCCCTACAGCTCTCAGCATAAGCAATAACAATAAGAGCACCCACTCATTGAGTGCTGACTACAGCCCCAGCCCTGAGGCTCGTGCTTTACATGGGTTATTGCCTGGAGATTTCACAAAAGCCCTGGGAAGCAGAGATCATCTAAACCAGCAGTCCCCAATTTTTTTTGGTACCAAGGACCAGTTTCACAGAAGACAAGTTTCCCACAGAATGGTGGTCGGGTGGGGGAATGGTTTTGAGATGAAACTGTTTCACCTCAGATCATCAGGCACTGGATTCTCATAAAGAGCACAGAACCTAGATCCTTCACGTGCACAGTTCCCGATGTGGTTCGTGCTCCTATGAGAACGAAATGCTGCTGCTGATGTGACAGGAAGTGGAGCTCAGGTGGTGATACTCACCTCCTGCCATGCGGCCCAGTTCCTAACAGGCCACGGACCCGTACCAGTCCTTGGCCCCAAGGTTGGGGACCCCGATCTAAATGATTTTAAAGGTAAGAAAACTGAGTCACAGAGAGGTGGAGTTATTTTCCAAGTTTACACAGCCAGGATCTGGCTGAGCCCAAATCTGAAATCCTACTTGGCTCAAAGGGCTGGATCTGGGTTGAGAAAGCATAAATAGGGCTGGAGAGGCCAGTAGGAGTAGATCGCGAAGCACCAGATGCTGAGGGTGAGGATAATGGGAGCCAGAGGAAACAAGGACCCTGAGTCCTCTGATATCTGTTTGGAACCATCTTGGGTGCCCCTTTCAAGACCTGCATGGTCATTTCCCTCCAAAAAGTGTTTCCTGCTTTTGTAGTCCATGGTTATTCATTCATTCGTTCATTCATTCAACAAATTCACGTGCCAGACGCTGTTAAGTCTAGGGACACAGACATGGTCCCACCAAATCAGACAAGGTCCCACTCTCCAGGAGCTCTAAACTCTATACTCTAGGAGTATAAACCAACAGTGACAATTCAGAGATCCATGTTTGGGTTAGAGGAAGCTCAGGGAGCCGGGGGGTTGTAGGAGCGTAAAGGAAATATCCAAACAGTCTGGGGTTGGGGTCAAGGGAGACTCCCTAAGCAGGTGCTGCCTCAGTTCAGCTCTGAAGATGGCAGATACCAAGGTGAAAGGAGAAAAAGGGATAGGAAACGGGGCAGAAGGAACATTCCGAACAAAGGGAACAGCATGTACAAAGGCCTGGAGGAGAGATTCTTGAAAGAAGAGACTTGGCCTGAATTGTCGTCTGCCAATTCCCCAATGCCTAGAACACTGTCAGGCACACAGTGGATGCTTAATAAATATCAGTTGAGTAAATAGAGCATGGCATGTTCAGGGGGCTGCAGGTGATTCAGGGCAGCTAGATGATAACCTGCAAGGCAAGGAGAGATCATGCAGAGGCTGGGGAGTTCCATAGGGGCCAGGTTAGGAAAGGTCTGGAATAGCAAGTTTATAATTTTGAGCACCAGAGAGCTGCTGACGGGTCTTGATTTGGGACAGGGGTTAGCAGGGAGGGTGCTTCATTGGAATGGTTTTGAAAGACCCTCCGGTTCAATATGTGGAAAATGACCTGGGAGGGGCCAGGCGCGATGGCTCATGCCTGTAATCCCAACATTTTGGGAGGCCAAGACAGGATTGCCTGGGCCCAGGAGTTCAAGACCAGCCTGGGCAATATGGCAAGACCCTGTCTCTATAAAAAATATAAAAATTGGCCAGGCATGGTGGCTGATGCCTGTAGTCCTAGCTACTCAGGAGGCTGAGGTGGGTGGATTGCTTGAGCCCAGAAGTTCAAGGCTGCAGTGAGCTGTGATTGCATCACCGCACTCCAGCCTGGGTAACAGAGTGAGATGAAAGAAGAAAGAAAGGAAGGAAGGAAGGAAGGAAGGAAGGAAGGAAGGAAGAAACAAAGAAAGGAAGGAAGAAAGAAAGAAAGAAAGAAAGAAAGAAAGAAAGAAAGAAAGAAAGAAAGAGAAAGAAAGAGAGAAAGAGAGAGAGGGAGGGAGGGAGGGAGGAAGGAAGGAAAGAAGGAAGGAAGGAAGGAAGGAAGGAAGGAAGGAAGGAAGGAAGGAAGGAAGGAAGGAAAGAAGGAAATAAATAAGCTCAATACCCCAAGCAATGCCTGCAACTGAGGATTCCTCCCAGGGAGACCACAGCCCATTGGCATGGCTCAATAGTTTGTGAACTGCAAAATCCAGCCTGGGAAGCTGGTTGTGTTCATCAACCCCACCTGCCCATACTGCTGGAAGACCCAAGAGATCCTCAGTCAATTGCCCATCAAACAGGGGCTTCTGGAAGTAGTAGTAGTAGCTGTCAATATCACAGCTTACTAACCACACCAACGAGATTCAAGATTATTTGAAACAGCTCACAGGAGCAAGAATGGTGCCTCGAGTCTTTATTGGTAAAGATTGTATAGGCGGATGCAGTGATCTAGTCACTATGTAACAGAGCAGGGAACTGCTGACGTGGCTAAAGCAGATTGGAGCCCTGCAGTAACCACAGAGCAGGCCCCATGCTGATGTCTCTCCTCAAGAGCTGGATGGCATTGCAAATGATGACATCACTTCTTGGTGGATGAATTTGGGGGCACAAACAGCTTTTTTTCTTCTTTTGGCTCAGTATTTGAAAGTTGATCAACTTGTTCTTAACCACAGGGCCAAGAAGGTTGACGGACCATCTTGGTTTTCTTCTGGATGCGCTCTTTGGTTTTCAAAAGACTGTGACAAGTTCTGGCCTAGGATTCGCTCACTGACCCTCAATTGTTCTTTCTCTTTGGCACGCATTTCTTACTGTTCCCCATGTGTTGGCATGCCCCTACCTCTAAGCCGGTGTTTTTCAACTATGTTTATCCAGACTCCTTCTCCACAATGATGAATCCAGTTGGTTTTCTGCTACTGCCCATTAGCTGAAATAATTTCGCTGCTTGACTTTATGGAGTTGGTGTTATTAAATTAGTGGGTATTTTGAATGTGCTCTTTCAAACTACATGCATCTCTCCACTCAACCCCACCCCATCCCATCCTGCCTTGAGAATCACTGCTCTGAACCAGTGTTCTCCACCTTGTCCTCTCACAGATCTCATAGGAAATGTTCAACAATTCTGTGAAGAGTCTCAGGACCCAATTGGAGAAATATGAAAAGTTAAGCTTAGTTGGTCTTGGTATCACATGGATCAGAGGCATAATTGCAGAGGCTGTGATTATGTGGGACACGCTGTTATTTAAGATGACCATCCAGATAATCCTGAACACTGTGTATTTATTTGATTTAGAGTACCAACAAGAATTAAAGCACAAAATGTAAAATATCTGAGGAAAACTTACAGCCCCCACCCCAAGAGTGTATCTGCGAAAGAGCACCCCACACTTTGAAAACTAAGAATCCCTTATCATGAAGTTTGCCTGTTCTAGAATTGTAAGATTGTTAATTTCCTTCTTCAGTCTCTAGTGAGAACGCTTAATTTATTTTCTAATAAAAAAATACCTATAGATTGAAAAAAACAAAAAGAAAATGACCTGGAAGGGACAAGGCTGGAGGCAGGGTGACCAGTGAGGAGGCTGGTTCCATAATTCAGATAAGAAAAGATGATTTAGAATCTCACCTTCTATCTTAGTCCATTTTCTTTTGCTTATAACGGAATACCTGAAACTGAGTAATTTATCAAGAAAAGGAATTTATTTCTTACAGTTATGGAGGCTGAGAAGTCCAAGGTCGAGGGGCCACATCTGGTGAGGGCCTTCTTGCTGATAGGGACACTTCACAAGGACCCAAGGTGACACAGAACATCACAGGGAGAAGGGGCTGAGCATGCTAGCTCAGATCTCCTTCTTCTTATAAAGCCACCAGTCCCTCTCCCATGATAACCCATTAATCCATTAGCCCATCAATCCATTAATCCATAAATGGATTAATCCATTTATGAAGGCAGAGCACTCACGACCCGATCACCTCTTAAAGGCCCCACCTCTCAATACTGCCACATTTGGAATTAAATTTCAACATGAGTTTTAAGGGGGCAAATACTTAAAACATAGCACCTTCTAACCAGCTACAATACTGCCCAGCTGCCCACTCAGGATTACTGAGAACCCCAGAATCTTGTCCAGCCCAGTACTGTCCTCCATGTTGACTCTCATCAGCAAAGAGGAAATCCAGATATCACCTAGGTCTCCCGGAACTATACTCCTAGTAATGCTGCCAAAGATGGCACTTATGTCCAGGTGAGCATACGGTCTTTTTTGTACCTTTCTAATTATCCAAGTTATATAGGTATATCGGTCATTGTCCCATTGGAGAAATAGAAGGCCCTTAAGATATTTCAAGCAGAGAGGGACTGAATGCATAAAATTTATTACAAAATTGTTGGCTAGGAGAAGCAGAAGAGCAAACAGGAACAGAAGGTGGCACCCAATTATCAAGAAGCTGGTACACTCCATGCTTGGCCCACAGGCCAGCACTCACTACTGAGCTGCTGCAGGTGCTGCCACTGCCATTGAGCAGGAGCCACTCCCATGGTCACCAATGGAACCACTGACCCTGCTGGAACCCACACTTGTCTGTGGTCAACTGAAATTTCTACTGCTACTGCTGCCATGTTTCGTCTCTTGCTAGAACCTCCCGTTAGCAGAACCTACTGGCCCCAGCTGATGAGATCATCTGACAAATGTAGTTTGCAGACTTCTAGCCCCCACAATAACTGCAGAGAATGGAAGCCATGAGAGCCATCAGCAAATAATTGGTCCACAAGGTGTCCTCAGTCAACAAAGCAAATAATTGAAGAAACCCTTTGAAACCATAAAACAGAAGTGGATGAATTTCTGTCCCTGTAGCACCAACATGGGCGCCAGAACAAATCTTTGAGATGGATGAGCCTGTAGGACCAAGGTTTTCTGAAGTTTAAGGAGCAGCAAAACTCTTTCCCCAGAAGTGACAGCTATATATGTCCCAGAGAACAGCTCTCGTGAGGCCAGGGAGGGGACCTGTGGCACGCACATCCAAATCCTTCAGAGCAGCCTGCTCCTCCTCTCCACATTCCTCTTGACAGCCCCCAAAGGCATACACAAAACCATCTGAGAAACCGATGTCTGCCCAGATCTAAATTTATGAAGTTGACTGAGTAATGACGCAGACAGGCTAATACCATTGAAATAATTAATTCCTTACAGTTCCCAAGACAAGGGGGCATGCCACACCATGCAGGGCCACATGGGAATCACCAGGATTGGTCAGCAGGCAGGAGCAGGAGCAGCTACAGCCTACAGGTTTCCTTGGGAAAGGCAAAGCAGGGTAAATGGCTTGAGGATAGTTTGAATAATTCTGGTAGGTGGGAAGCATAAGGGATTTCCGTAGTTGTCTGGTGCCTGGCCCTGGGTTTATTTAGGACAGTGAAAATGATGGCTTGGTGCAAAAGAGTTGAATTTGATTTGATTTGATTTGATTTGATTTGATTTTTTTGAGACACGGTCTCGATTTGTTGCCCAGGCTAGAATGCAGTGACACAATCACAGCTCACTGCGGCCTCGACCTCTCAGACTCAAGCAATCCTCTTGCCTCAGCTTCCTCAGTAGCTGGGACCACAGGTACGTACCACCACACCTAGCTCATTTTTAAATTATTTATAGTGACTGGGTCTTCCCATATTGCCTAAGCTGGTCTGAAATTCCTGGGCCCAAGCAATCCTCCCGCCTCAGCCTCCCAAAGTGCTGGGATTACAGGCATGAGCCACTGCACCTGTCCTGAGAGTTAAATTTTTTAAAGTGGTTCAGAGCACGGACTCTGGATCACAGGGGAAATGTTGGCCTTGTGATTAATGGATGCCAAAGAGACAAGAACAGAATCTAAGAAAACACAGACAGGAAACCACTTTGAAATGACTAACCTTGTCTTATTCTCACGCATACACCCATTTTACAAATGGAAAAGGGAAAAGGACCTCCCCAGAGTTTTACACTGAGTTTGAGTTGAGATGAGGACTCAGGCCACCTCTTGTCTTCCAGCCCAAGCCCCTTTCCCTGGCTCCTTTAGGCTGGTAAGTGTTGGGGAGTATTTGCAAAGCTAAATAAATATTTCCCTTTTTGCTCTATGCTCCCCATGTTAGCTGTCTGCAATGAATCTCTAGTCCCTGTCAGCTTTCTTGCCCCCACGCACCACATGAGCCAAATCCTCTAAACACCACCTCTGCAGTAGGGGTTTCAGAAACCATTCTGGAACTGCTGTTTGTCTAAGAACCAGCTGTGCATGGTAGAAAAAGCACAGGCAAAATGAATGTACTAGAACTACACGTACCAACGTGTCTTCATCTCAGGATTATGTAAGTCCAAACAAGCAAGTTGCAGAATGACAGGTCCATCCGAGACCCTTGCTCATCAGGATTTTTCTGTCCCCCGTCTTAGAGAAGAGGTTCCCCCTGCCCCCATCACTCACACTCTGCCCATTCCCAGTGTTCTGTCCCTCAAGTCTCAGCCGTAATGTCCCTTCCCTAGAGAGGCCTTCCCTGACCACCCCATTTCAGTTGCCTCCCTGCAGATAATGTCTCTCTACAGCATATGTTTGCAATAGCAACTATTAGCTCGTTTATCTCCCCAGTGTCTGTTAGCTTCCTGAGGGCGGAACCATGTCTGTCTTTATTTCAACTTTATTTCCAGTGCTTCAAACACATAGGGCACTCAATAAGTGAGTGTTGAATGAATGAATGTGTGAATGAATGAGAGTAAGCTCAAAGAGGGGGAATTACTCAAGCCAAGGCTCCCCCGCCCCCACCCGTGGGCTCTTTCCCGAGCCCCTCCCTCCCCAGGAGTTCAGGCTCCAAGATGGGTTCAACCTGCCTTGGAGAGCTCCCTGGCCTTCTCTTTCCCTCTGTCTGAAGTTTCCCATCCCCTTGAAATGGGAGGGCCCAGGAGACCTCCCCACGACACCTGCCGCTGGAGAGCGTTCTCCCAAGGGAAAAAGGACGGGGGGCGGGGTGGGGGGACCTCCCCGCTCCACGACGTCCTCACACCAGGCCCTGCAGGGGGAGGGAGCGCGCGCAGCCCCCACGCCCACCGCCTCTGCGAAGCAGCCACTGCAATCTGCAGCCTGACCTCAATTAGCCCGGTGCCTAAGCGCGCCAATTACCGCGTCAATCACTGCGCCGGCTGCTGCAGAGGGGAGGTGGGGGAAGGAGGAGGGGAGAGGGCCTGGATAAGAGCAGCCCTGGCCGCCCTGGACTGGCTGAAACCGGTCTAGACCTGGGGACGCCACTGCTGAGACCCCTTTCTCTCCTCTAGCCCACCTCAGAGCTCAAGGGATCCCTCTCATCCCTCTCATCAATACTCCGGACTCATTCCAGACGGACTCCCCCACCAAACACCCACCCACCTCCCCATGCTCCACACTGCTCTGCGCAACTGTGCGTGCCTCAGTTTCCCCACCCACTAGATTGTAAACTCCGGGAGAAAGAATTGGTATCTTTTCTCTTGTACACCCTAAACACTTAATAGTAAAAGTAAGATAAATACAATAGCAAACCTATTATATGGGAATCAAAGTAATACCCCGGAAGAGAGGACTCTCCAGTGCCTGAAACACATGAGGCTAAAGTAAGATGTCCAGGGAATTACGGAGGATTGGCAAACAGTAAGTGCACCGTAAATGCTGTTATCACCTCCCTCCATTTATTCAAACATCTGATGACACTGATGCAGGACAGGCAAGCCCCAAAATTGGGGCTTAGCCTAAAAGGATTCTTGGCTTCACCCAGGAAAGAATTCAAGGGCGAGCTCGTTGTGTTAGTAACTTTTATTGAAGCCGCAGTGTAGGCAGCCACAGAGGCAGTACTGATCCTTGCAGAGCAGGGCTACCCCATAGGCAGCGTGCCCAGAGTAGCAGCTTAGAGCCAGTTCTACACTCTTATTTATACCCATTTTTAATTATACGCAAATTAAGGAGCAGTTGATGCAAAAATGTCTAGGATGAGGATAACTTCCGGTTTGTCCAGTGGTTGCCGTAAAAAGGGTCAGTAACTTCCAGCTGTTGCCATGGCAATGGTAAACTGACCTGGCGCACTGGTGAGCATATGCTACAGGGTGATGCTTTGTTTGGGGAAGAGCTTCCATCCCAGATCTGTTTTAGCTAGTCCTCAATTTGGCCCAGGGTCCAAGCCTGGCCTCTGGAGTCTAGTGCCGCCTTCTACTACAACACTACCTCTGTGCCAGGCTCTGGGCTGGATGCCGTGCCAGGGACCCAACCAGGAGGCTGGCCTGGTGCACACAGGAGGTCATGGTCAGCTGGTTTTGAATCGATTGTTGAGGTTTGTCTTCTCCACATCCTCATTTTTCAAGCCCTGATGCTTTTTTGACCTTGTAAAATATGAGATGGAGGCACGAAGATGGGACCAAAGATTGAGACACTTGGGTCTGAGCTCACTAAGGAGACAAAAGTTCCAGCCCCTATCCTTAGGAACACCCTGCTCTGCAGAGCAGAGAGTCAATTTTTTTTTTTTTTTTTTTTTTTTGAGACAGAGTCTTACTCTGTCACCCAGGCTGGAGTGCAGTGGTGCGATCATAGCTCACTGCAACCTCCACCTCCCTGGCTCAAGCGATCCTCTGGCCTCAGCCCCCTGAGTAGCTGGGTCCACAGGTGCATGCCACCACGGCCAATTAATTTTAATTTTTATTTTTTATGTGGAGATGGGGCACGGGGTGGGGAGTGTCTCTCTAAGTTGCTCAGGCTGGTCGCGAACCTCGGCCTTCCAAAGTGCTGGAATTACAGGCGTGAGCCACCAGCCTAGCCGGACAACATCCTGCTGACTGTGCAGGACAAAGCTGCCCTAGTTAGGTCTCCCCAACACTCTTTCTGTGTTCCTTCTCTGGTGCCTTTGGAACACCTCCCCTCGCCAACTCCCTGCCTCTGGTGCAGCTGTAACCATGAGGCTGCCCCACCATGACTGCAGCTGACCATTTAGAGTCCCCCATCAGCCTAGCCAAGTGATTGGCCCAAGGATGGACATGTGACCCCAGCAAAGCCAATCAGAGTTTGCCCTGGGATTACTATAGAGAAAGACGCTCTTAGGGTTGCTGAAGCGGGAGGTTGAGTCAGGGGTTGCTGGTGGCCGCTTTATTGGCCATAGACAGAGCCCGTTTGCATAAATGAAGCCAAGCCTGGGAAAGATGGGGAGAGAGACAGAGACATTGTTTGAGCCCCTGGTTCTCTCAGTTACTTGACACAACCAATTGAATCTTGCTCAAGGCAGTGGAAGTTGGGTTTGTGTCAGTTGCAACCAAGAGTCTTTTGCCTGTTTGTTTTGAGACAAGGTCTCCGTCACCCAGGTTAGAGTGCAGTGGTGTGATCTCCAGTCACTGCAACCTCTGCCTCCCAGGTTCAAGTGATCCTCCCACCTCAGCCTCCCAAATAGCTGGGACTACAGGCACATACCACCATGCCCAGCTAATTTTTCTATTTTTTGTAGAGACAAGGTTTTGCCATGTTGCTCAGGCTGGTCTCAAACTTCTGAGCTAAAGCAATCTGCCCACGTCAGCCTCCCAAAGTGCTGGGATTACAGACATGAGCCACCACGCCCAGCCCAAGAGTCTTTTACTTTCCAGAATTTCTTCATTGGGCACATCAAATTATTATTATCAAACACATAGACAGAGATGCTCTTAGAAGCTCTCAGGTACAAAGGTGATGTCCACCATTTTCTGTTCATTTGTGCTTTTATATCATTTCTACAGTAAGTATTACTTTTGTGATACCAAATAGCAATTGTTTTAAAACATACTTTACCTATGATTTGGGGACATAATGATGAGTCCCAGAAGTAGGTGCTGTATGTTTCTGTTCATGCAAGGTTCACGACCAGGCAAACTGGGTCTATTAGTACCAGAGGTCAGAAGGGTGGTTACCTCTGGGGGGATGTGGAATGGGAAGGGTGCAAGGGAGCCCTCAGGGTTGATGGAATCATTATCTTTACCTGGGTAAAAGTTACACAGGTATATGCAAATATAAAGAGTCATTGGCCAGGCACAGTGGCTCACGCCTGTAATCCCAACACTTTGGGAGGCCAAGGCGGATCACTTGAGGTCAGGAGTTCAAGAACAGCCTGGCCAGACATGGAGTGAAACCCCGTCTCTACCAAAAAAAAAAAAAAGCAAAATATTAGCTGGGCGTGGTGGCACGCACCTGTAATCCCAACTACTCAGGAGGCTGAGGCAAGAGAATTGCTTGAACCCAGGAGATGGAGGTTGCAATGAGCCGAGATCACACCACTGCACTCCAGCCTGGGTGACAAAGCAAGACTCCATCTCAGAAAAAAAAGGAAAAAAATGTCATTAGGTTGTATTTAAAGAAGTGTATATTTTACTGAGTATGTACTATACCTCAATAAAAATTTTGGAATAGAATAACATGTATTCATATCTCTGGATACCTTATAGCTCTACAAAGCTCCCTCACTTAGCCCACTATCCCACTCAAATTTCACATGAAGAATAAGAAATTTTTTCTTTATTAGGATTCTGGTATACAATAACAATAAAACAACTTATGTTGCCAAGCCTGATGGTATATGCCTGTAATTCCAGCTACTACAGAGGCTGAGGCAGGAAGACTGTCTTCGCCCGGGAGTTCAAAACCAGCCTAAGCAATACAGCAAGACACCTGTCTGAAAATAAATGAATACATAAATTTTTTTAAATAAGTAAACAAAGCAACTTACGACCAGGTGCAGTGGCTGACACCTGTAATCCCAGCACTTTGGGAGGCCGAGGCAGGTGGATCACCTGAGGTCAGGAGTTCAAGACCAGCCTGGCCAACCTGGTGAAACCCCATCTCTACTAAAAATACAAAAGTTAGCTGGGTGGGATGGTGAGCACCTATAATCCCAGCTACTAGGGAGGCTGAGGCAGGAGAATCACTTGAACCCGGGAGGTGGAGGGCTGCAGTGAGCTGAGATCACGCCACTGCACTCTAGCCTGGGCAACAGAGCGAGACTCCATCTCAAAAAAAAAGAAAAAAAAACTTAAGTAAAAAATTAAAATAATTGTAGACAAGATCATGGGGGCCACAACCTTCTCCCGTCACCACCTCTGGGAAGCCTTTCTCCCTGTGAGACCCTGCAGGGATTCTCACTGCCCCCACGATACTACGACTATGGCCGAGTAGAAGTGAATCAGTCTGGCAAACCTGACAGAGCTGCATCCTCCTCAAACAGCCTGGCATTTGGAACAGAAAAGCCCGCTTTCCCAGCAAAAGTGATTTCCAGTATTAATGGGTGGAAACTTCTCCTGGATTGATCCCCCTTTTCACAGGACTAATTATAGATTTATTAATATTTATAGGCCTCTAGTCACAGCCGATAGTTCTTGTTTGAGGACATTAAGCCTTATCTCACTACCTCCAGGAAGGGGCACTTGAAGCCAGCTCTAATTGGGTGACCTGCAATCAAGATAGAAGGGAAAAAATGACAATAGCTCGCCTGTTGCCATATATTAAAATACGGTCCGCCCAGCTTAATGATTATCTTTAGAATTAATAATCTTGCTAGTCCAGGTTTGGCCCTAATAGCAGGAAATTGTATTAAATACTTTGTTAAGAGCAATCAGGTTTTTGATAAGGCTAATGGCCCTGCCCCTGGCTGTTTCTCATCCCTGAGCTCTTGGTTTTCCTTCCCCAGCAAAATGCCAGTTTGTCCATATCCCTTGTCATCTAAAGTCACCATCACCTGGTGCTGTCTCCTGATGGGGCTCCTGCTGCCTCTCTCATCCCCATCCCATCCATCTTAGGTGCTGTGACATGATTCATCTTTGGAAGTTGCAGCTCTGGCCCCACCATGCCCCTACTCCACAATCTTCAGTGGCTCCCCATTGTCTACTGTATGAATGGACATCTAGCCCTTTGAAATTCAGTCCCAACTGCTCCATACTTTGTTCTCTGCAAGGACCCTAACCTTTAGCCACACTGGACAGTTCCTTTCTGTTTCCAGAACACACCTACAGTATCAGAAATAACATGGGCTTGGGAATTGGAGCGCCTAGAGTCAGATCCCACTGCCAATTGTTTAACCTTGTACAAAATGCTCAACTGCTTTGAGCCTGTTTCCTCATCTGCAAGATGGAGGTGATAATATTGTCTACCTCATATGGCTTGTAGTAAGGATTGTATGTGATCAAGCAAGCAAAATGTCCCAGCCAGGATCTGGTATACCCTGGTGCACAGTTAACACTTGTACCCACCCTCCCCTAATTCTGCAATTTTACATCCCTCTTCCTGGAGTGCCGAAGAATGCGGAGCTTCAGAGCTCAGGTATCTGAAAATTCAAACTCAGGCTTGGGTGATCTTGGGCAGGTGTCTTAATCTCTTTAAGTCTCACTTTCTTCTTCCATGAAATGGGTGCAATAGTCCCTATTACCTATTGCTGTTAGAATCTTTAAATAAGACCATATAGGTGAAACACCTATAGTACCTGGCACAGAGTAAATTCTCAGTAAATATTAGTTACATTGTTGTTACATTCCCAGCTATTAAAGCAGCATTCAAAAGTCTTCTCTTCCAGGAAGCCCTCCTGCACCTCCTTTTCTGACTCTGTCTTGTGATGTTTTGTACTCTCCATGAGGCATTTGGGTGCTTCCATCCTTCCCCTCGGCCACCCACAACTGGGCTTAGAGTATCCACGGATCAAGTTGTGCCTCTGTCTCGATGTTTTGGGTGCCTGGCATGAAGTTCGGCACAGAGCAGGTGTTCAAACGTTGTCTCAATGACAGTAGCTGCTGCTGAGCGCTGAATGCTCACTATGTGCCAGGCACTGTGGTGGGCACTTTCAAGCAATTAACTCGTATAACAATGGATTTTTAACATTCATAGCAATTAACAAGCAATTAATTCATTCCCTATGGCAATTAATAGCAATCCTTTCTTACAAACAACCCCATAAGGTGGGTTTTATTAGTGTCTCCAGTTTATGGGGCAGGAAACTGAGGTGTGGAGAGGTGAAATGACTTGATAAAAGTCACACCGAACATAAAGGATTCAAGGGTCACGTGCAGCCTGGGGCTGCCAAGAGCCTTCACCCCCAGCAATAAGGAACCGGAGTTGGCAATGTTTCCCTAAGCTTGTCTCGGGCGGCCCCAGTGGCTGCAGCTGTGACTTTTTTTCCCCAAGGTGGAGACCAGTGCCTGCTGTGTGCCCATATCTGGGTTAGGCCCTCCCCAACATTATCTCCTTAAATTGAGCAGTTTTACCTCATGTTGCACTGATGGCAACCAAGGCTCAGATAGGTGAAGTGACTTGCCCACAGTCACACAGCAAATAAGCGGAGGAGTGGGTATTTGAACCTAGGTCCAGGGAGCTCCAGTCTCCTTTAAGACTGGTGAGCTCAATCAGAAGGCTGAAGCATGAGCTCCAGTTCTTGCTGGACTGCAGTCCGGTCCTGACCTCTGTGCCCCTTTCCTAGAACCTTGGCCCTCTGCCCTGTGGTCAGCAGCCGCTCCTCTTGGAATGAAGGAGGGTTCTGGGCGCTTCTCTATGTCCTCCAGGTCTCTCTCCTCATCACCAGCTGGGGTCTTATTTTAAGAACAACAGAATTATCTTCCTGGGATCCAGACCTTACCCTGCCCAACTCTGACACTTGTCCCCTTGGGTTGAGGTCACCTAACTCCACCTGGTCGCCCTCCTTGAGACTCAAACATTGTGATAGGGAGCCAGAGGCAGGCATTCACCTGAATTCTCCTTCCTGGCAACCAATATGTGTAATGGAAGAGAAACGTGCAAAGGGCTGTGTGGGTTTGGGGAGGAAGGCTCTGCCTGGGCACAGCATGACAGGATGTCTGAAAAAGGGAATTGGAAGCTGGCCTTGGAAAAGGGAAATTCACCAGACAGAGGTGGGAAACCAAAGTCTTTGAGGCAGAGGGACCAGGAAACACAGGGCGGCATGGCATCACACGCTGTCTTAGGAAAACAGCTGGAGTGGAGGCGTGTGGGTGGCATCAGCCAGAGTCAAGACCAGCGAGGAAATCCACTGGAGGTGACGTGGGGAGGAGGTCTGCAATTCCAGAAGATGTACAGGAACTGGGGCTCACCCTTCCATGTAGAGGGGTCAAGGAGCAGTGCAGCAAAGAGCCTCCCAGACCCCAAGAACAACTGCCTCCTGTCACCTTCCCACTCGCAGCAGCCATCACTGGGACAGCGTTAAGGTGCTGCTGACAGGTGCTGCCGCAGGCACCGCTATTGCCAGGGAGGCCTGACAGCCGCTCCAGCTGTCTCCCATCAGAGAGAACACACATCTGAGACCAGACTTGATGAGGTTGTCTCCAGACAGGCATCTGCAGAGAAAGAGAGGGCATGCAACAGGCCACTATTATAATGCATTCCCCACCCATCTCCCCAGTGGCACCACCCAACAAGAGGCTCCTAAGCACCAGAGACCCTCTGAGGGTCTTTCTCGGGCTTCCTCGACCTGTCTGGCTCATGCAGGCACACAAACACACCCTTAAACAGGTCTGAGAGCCCATCTATTGCAATATGACAAATATATACATGTGCATGGACACTGGCACACACAAGCATTCCATAGATGCATCTGCACTGGAGTGTAAGTACGCACAAAGGCTGGGTGTGGTGGCACATGCCTGTAATCCCAGCACTTTGAGAGGCCAAGGCGGGAGGATCACTTGGGCCCAGAAGTTCTAGACCAGCCTGTGCAACATGGTGAAACCCCATCTCTACAAAAAAATCAAAAAAATTTAGCTGGATGGGGTGACAGGCACCTGCGTTCCCAGCTATTCAGGAGGCTGAGGCAGGAGGATCATTTGAGCCCGGGAGTTTGAGCCTGCAGTGAGCTGTGTTCATACCATGGCACTCCAGCCTAGGTGACAGAGCAAGACCCTGTCTCAAAAAAAAAAAAAAAAAAATTCATGCACAAACATGCACATGTGTACATACACATTCATGCCAATTTCCAAACAGAAATGCTTCCATAGACACACATAAACATGGGTATACACATGTATTCATACTTTGATTCCCATATATTCATGAACACAGATGTGCACACCCCATTCACAGCCATACACACAGTATTTAAATGTGGGTTCTCTCAAAGGAAAAGTCTAAGACTGGGATTTGGGTGCAAATAGTTTATGTGGGATCCTAGGAATCTCAGCAAGGATGACAGGAGACAAATGTGTATTCTGAGTGAGTTAACACCTGGGGTCTCTGGGGCTCCGTCCTGCTAGACATCCTCTGAAAGACCATGTGAGACGCACTTCAGAATTGTCTCTGAAGGGCAAGGAAGTTGTTGGTGCTTCTTTCAAATTCCTGGTTGGTTTCTTGTTGTTGTTGTTGTTTTGAGATGGAGTCTTGCTCTGTCGCCCAGGCCAGAGTGCAGTGTCAAGATCTTGGCTCACTGCAACCTCTACCTCCCGGGTTCAAGCGATTCTCCTGCCTCAGTCTCCCAAGTAGCTGGGATTACAGGCATGTGCCACCACAGTCGGCTAATTTTTTTTCTTTGTTTTCTTTTTCTTTTTTCTTTTTTGTATTTTAGCAGTGACACGGTTTCGCCATGTTGGCCAGGCTGGTCTCAAACTCCTGACCTCAAGTGATCTGCCCGCCTCGGCTTCCCAAAGTGCTGGGATTACAGGCGTGAGCCACCATGGCTGGCTTTCTCTACATCTCCTGTTCCTTGCTGACTGAAGGTTGCTCCTGGGCACTAATTCTGCATTTCTGGGCTAAGCGCACCCAGGAAGCACCCTTAGATAAAGACGCAGAAAACCATTACTGTGTGCAGGAGCTGTCTGAAAGGGACCTATGAGGTTCACTGAAAGTATCCACCACATCCAGGATATATCCTGATTCATGAGCTCTCCAAAACACGTGATCAATATTTGCACTGATTCCAAGAGCCACATGTTAAACATGTTAACATCCCTGAAATTGAGATATGCCTTACAATTAAAATTAATTTTTTCTTCCTTTTTAGTACATAAAATACTGTTTTCATTAATAGAATCTCAGACTTAGTGAAATATTTATTATAGGCTGGGCGCGGTGGCTCACACCTGTAATCCCAGCACTTTGGGAGGCCAAGGCAGGCAGACTACTTAAGGTCAGGAGTTCGAGACCAGCCTGGCCAACATGGTGAAACCCCATCTCTACTAAAAATACAAAATTAGCTGGGTTGTTGCGGCACATGCCTGTAATCCCAACTACTCTGGAGGCTGAGGTGGGAGAATCACTTGAATCCAAGAGGAGGAGATTGCAGTGAGCTGAGATCACACCACTGCACTCCAGCCTGGGCGAGAGAGCGAGACTCCATCTCAACAAAACAAAAACAAACAAAAAAAAAACAGAAATATTTACTATATACATATATATGCTGCCACATGCCTAGAGTATCTCTGGAAAGATACACAAGAAGAAAATAGCATGGCAGAACATTGACTTTTATGACAGTTTTATTGAGATATAATTCATATGCCATAAAATATATCCTTTTAAAGTGCGCATTCAGTGTCTTTAGTATATTCACAAAGTTGTACAATCACTATTTAATTCCAGAACATTTCCAACACCTCAAAAAGAAACCCCATACCCATTAGCAGTTAGACCTCATTTCTCCCTGCTCCCAGCCCTAGGCAACCACCAATCTACTTCCTGTCTCCATGGAGTTCCTTATTTTAGATCTCTCATATAAATGGAATCATACAATGTGTGGCCTTTTGTGTCTTCTTTCACTTAGCATAATGTTTTCAAGGGTCATCTACGTTGTAGCACCTTTCTTTTCATGACTGAATAATACCCTGTTGTATGGATATACCACATTTTGTTTACACATTCATCAGCTAATGGATGTTTGGGTTGCTTACACCTTTTGGCTATTATAAATAATGTAGCTATAAACATACATTAGTAAGTTTTTGTTTGAAAATAGGTTCATTTGACTGGATGTATACCTAAAAGTAAAATTGCTGGGTCCTATAGTAACTCTATGTCCAACTTTTTGAGAAACTGACAAAATGTTTCCATTTTATATTCCCATCATTAATGTATGAGGGTTTCAATTTCTCCAAATCCTTGCCAAGTAACACCTGTTATTGTCCTTTTTTCATTATTATACCCATCCTACTAGGTATAAAGTGGTACATTCACTTATTTCCTCTTTAATTTTTATTATGTAATTGTCTCTGCTTACTGTGGATTTAGTTTGCCCCTCTTTTTCTAATTTCTTTATGGAGGAAGTTTAGGTGACTGATTCGAGATCTTTATTTATTTTAATATAGGTGATTGTAGCTGTAAACTTTCCTCTAAGCACTGCCTAAGCAACATCCCATAAGTTGTGGTATGTTGTGTCTTCATTTTCATTCATCTCAAAATATTTTCTAGTTTTCCTTGTTATTTCTTTTTTGACTAATTGGCTAGTTAGTAGTGTGTTGTTTATATTTCCACATTTTTTTGGAAAGTGCTTTCCCAAAGTTCTTTCATTATGTTTTTATAATTAATTTCATTTTATGTGGTCAGAAAACATATTTTGTGTGATTTAAATCCTTTTGAACATATGAGACTAGTTCTGTGACCTAACATATTATCTATTTTAGAGAATGATCTATGCATACTTAAGAAAAATGCTGCTGTTGAGAGGAATATTCCATAGGTGTCTGTTAGGTCAAGTTAGTTTTTAATATTGTTCAGGTCTTTCATTTCCTTGTTGATCTTCTGCATAGGTATCGTATTCATTATTAAAAGTAGAATATTAAAGTTTCCATCTATTATTGTTGAATTGTCTATTTCTGCCTTCAATTCTGTCAGTTTTTGCTTCATGTATTTTGGAGCTTTATTGTTAGATGCATATGTGTTTATAGCTGTTATGTATACCTGATGGATTGACCATTTTATCATTATAAAACATCCTTTTTTGTCTCTAGTATTAATCTTTATCTTAAAGATTACTGTGTCTAATGTTAGCATAGCCTCTCCAGAACTCTTTTGGTTATGGTTTTCGTGTTATGTATTTTTCCTTTTTTTCTTAACTGATAAGGTAGAATTCGTGTCTGCCATTTTACTTTGCCATGTGTATGTCTTACATTTTTTTGTTCCTCTATACCTCCAATACTACCTTCTTTAGTGTTAAACAGATAATTTCTAGTATACCTTTTTTTTTTTTTTTTTTTTGAGACAGAATGTTGGTCTGTTGCCCAGGCTAGAGTGCAATGGCACAACCTTGGCTCACTGCAACCTCCACCTCCTGGGTTCAAGTGATTCTCATGCCTCAGTCTCCTGAGTAGCTGGGATTACAGGTGCCCGCCACCATGTCTGGCTAATTTTTGTATTTTTAGTAGAGACGGGGTTTCACCATGTTGGCCAGGCTGGTCTTGAATGCCTGACCTCAAGTGATCCACCCACTTCAGCCTCCCAGAGTACTGGGATTACAGGTGTGAGCCACCATGCCTGGCTACTAGTATACCATTTTTATTATCTTGTTTTGTTTCTTTTATTTTTTGAGTTATTTTCTTAGTGGCTTCCATGTAGATTACAATCAATATATTAACTTAAAATAATCTAATTTGGTTCAATACCAATATAATTTCCATAGTATACTAAAACATTGCTCCAATATACTTTCATTTCCTCCCTCCTCTTTTATGCTATTGTTGTCATACAAATTACATCTCTATACATTACATTATAAGCCCATCAACATAGCTTTATAATTATTGCTTTGTGCAGTTATCTTTTAAATAAGATTGAAGAAAAAAGTTATAAACAAAATTACATTTATGTAGCCATATATCTACCTATGTAGTTATCGTTCCTCCTTATTTCTATACTTTACTTCTATAACTGTTGTTTCTTCATGCAGATTCCAGTTACTGTTCTTTCATTTCAACCTAAAGGACTCCCTTTAGTATTTCTTGTAAGGCAAGCCTTCTAGTAATAGATTCTCCAATATTTTAAATCTAGGAATGTCTTAATTCCCCATTTTGAAGAATAATTTGCTGGATAAAGAATTCTTACTTAGTAGTCTTTCTTTCAGCACTTCAAATATTCATCCCACTGCTTTCTGGTCTTCGTGGTTTCTCATATAAAGTCAGCTGTTAATCTTCTTGAGGACTGCTTGCACCTGGTAAATCACTTTTATCTTGAGACTTTCAAGATTCTCTCTGCTTTGGGCTTTCAACAGTTTGACAATGAAGTGCCTAGATACAGACCCCTTTAAGTATATCCTTCTTGGAGTTTGTCGCACTTCTTGGATGTGCAGATTAATGTTTGTTGACTAAACTTGTGGAGGTTTTGGTCATTATTTCTTCAAATATTCTTTCTTCCTCATCTCTCTCTCCCATCTTTCTGAGACTTCCATTTTGCACATGTTGGTACACTTGGTGGTATCCTACAGGTCTCTGAGGCTCTAGAGTTCACTTCTGTTTCTCAGACTGGTCCAGTGACCAGATCCCATCCTGAAGCTGTCTAGGGCCCCCCACCTACCTCATCAGTCATGTCATTAGCATACAAAAGACACTAATTACTCTGGAGATTCCAAAAGTTTTAGGAGCTATATCCCAAGAAACAGGTAGAAAACTAAATACCACTGTTTTCAAAAATATCACAGAGATAGGGAGAGAGAAATGGGATTAAGGCAGGTTAAAACATCATGGAGGTGGATGCCTGTGGTGCCAGCTACTCAGGAGACTGGGAGGTGGGAGGATTGCTTGAGCCCAAGAGGTTATGGCTGCCGTGCCATGATCATGCCACTGCACTCTAGCCTGGGTGACAGAGCAACACCCTGTCTTAGAAAAATGAAAACAAAACATCATAAAGCTCATGGTCTTACCAAGATTCAGCTATTTTAAAATCAACACTCCTCAGATTAATGTAAGCTTTTAATTTCCAGTGTTTCAAAAAACTATATTGGAGAGTTTCTCCAGTATTTTCATTGCTTTTATGAAGGAGCAGATTTTTGGAAGTCCTTCCTCCACCATTCAAAAAGCCACTGGGACATGGATTTTTCTTATGTATCTTTTTTAATTGTGTGAAGCTTTTATCATGTCCAGGTATTACCAAATCAAAAAATAAAATAAATCTAAAAATGAAATAGGGTACATACACATCTCCATGTGCACACACAGGATCCAGGAGCCCACATGCATAAGCATAGAAATGTGCCTGTAACACACATTCATTCATCCATGCTGTGGAGTGGCAGGGTCAGCTCTGGATTTCAGGAGTCTCCCCAACCCCTGGTTGCAATGGGGAGCTTGGAGGGGATGAGATGGAAGGCAGAGAAGCCAAGAAGAGGCTGGGGAGTCATCTGGCAGCAGTGATGGTGTGGCATGGACTTGGTCCAGGGGGAGCTACACGCATGTCCACAGCTACTAACTCCTCAGGACCCCATGTGCACACCGGTCTAGGCATGTGCATATGTAAATACAGGGTCCATGTGTTCGGGCATGCATGCATCCGGCAGCATGCTGTTCAAGTTAAAGAGAAATGTAGTACAGACGTCCCAGAAGGGCTGGGGGACTGAATTATAAAACATAAGGGGACTTGGTGAATAGGACAAGATTCTGGAGGGGAGGGGATGAGGAAGATGCAGTTTTCTGGCCTGATGGCCTGGGCCCACCAGCTTCCCTCTATCAGGCAGACCCATGCACCACATTCTGCTCTGGGACCCCCTTTTCTAGCTATGCTGACCCATCCTGGTCATTCCGGAAGCCTATCTCTAGGATAGGGCACAGTTTTGTCAGCCCCTCGTGGAGTTGGCGGGGGGGAGGTGTCATCCTTGGTCACCCTGATTTGTTATCAGCCCTTTCTGTGTCATTCTAGGTCATTTCCCTTCCTTATGAACAATATCTGCAGATGAGAGTAATGTTTGTATCTTGACCTACCCCACCCCTGGAGTTAATCTTATCATGCACTCTGGGTCACTCCACTGCAGAGAGTACACAGGCAAAGGCTGGAAGCTCGCTGGGTAAGCTCCCGGATGTCACAGACATGACTAGCTAATCCCTAACCCCTTCTGACACCAAAGATCACAGGCCTTCTAAGTCCAAGATGCTACAATTCAAGATTTTTCAAAACATGATTTCTTTTTGTTATGAATTACTTCAGACATTCAAAGAATAAATTAATAAAGACCAATGTGCCCATGATCCAGTTTTAACTTATATTAGAATTATGCCTGACTTGCTTCAGTTCTTACCTTTTATTTATTTTTTAAAATGTATTTTGTCAGCAAACAAGCGTATTTATTCCTTCTCGGGTTGATGAGCATTTGGGTTGTTTCCAGGTTTTTGTTATTGTGGACAGAACTGTTATAAGCATTCTTGTCATGTCTGCTGCTGTGTGTGTGCAAGAGTTTCTCTTGGGTATTTACCTGGGAGTGGAATTGCTGAATATTCACCTCCATGAGATACTGCCAAATTGTTTTCCAATGTGGTTGCATCAATTTGCACTCCACCAGCAGTGTCGGGGAGGTCTTGGGGACTTGCATCCTCCGATATCCTTACACAATGGAATGCTATCCAGCAGTCAAAATGAATGAACAACAGCCACAAGCAACAACAAATGTGAATCGTAGCAAAGTAATAGGAAGGGAGAGAAGTCAGCTTCGGAAGGATACAGAGGCCATGCTTCTCTTTTAAAAACTTATAAACAACTTACATACAGAAACACATGTATATGTATATTTATATATAATTTATAACTAATAAAAATATATAAATAAAATGTTACAGATACAATTGAATACCCCTGTATATACCACTCACCAACCCAATTCCTTTCTCTTTCTCCTCCCAACCCCTGAAAAGAAAATGCTTGGCCGGGAGTGGTGGCTCACGCCTGTAATCTCAGCACTTTGGGAGGCCAAGGCAGGCAGATCGCTTGAGGTCAGGAATTCAAGACCAGCCTGGTCAACATGGTGAAACTCCATCTCTACTAAAAATACAAAAAAAAAAAAAATTAGCCAGATGTGGTGGCACGCACCTGTAATCCCAGCTATTCGGGAGGCTGAGATGACAGAATTGCTTGAACCCAGGAGGCAGAGGTTGCGGTGAGCCAAGATTGCACCACTGCACTCCAGCCTGCGTGACAGAGCAAGACTCCATCTCAAAAAAAAAAAAAAAAAAAAAGCAAATGCTCTCAGGGAACAGGGTGTGTAGCCTCTCTACCCATCATGTTTATTTTTATTTATTTTTATTTTTATTTTTTTGAGAGTAACTCTAGAGAGTAGCAGAGATTCTTCACTTGACCAAACTTTAGTCAGGCTCCCGAAACTCTGCTAAGCCCATCTGCATACTTTCTTACAAAATCCAGTTTTAGCAAGAACCCTAAGTCAGTTTAGCAAGAACCCCCTATCCTCAATATCTGATCATCCTTCATATCTAATCAGGCTGTTCACCCTCCACCACGGCCCAGATTATGCCTGATCCCCCTGGCCTGTCTTCAGCAAGAATCCTGTTAGATCAGTTGAGTCAGATTCTCCCTCACCCCTGATGCTTCCTCTCAGTCATTTTCCATCCTTGGACCCCTGCACTGCTCCTTAGCCATAAATCCCACTTGCCCATGCTGTATTTGGAGTTGAGCCCGTTCTTTCTCCCCCACCGCAAATTCCCGTTGCAATGGTCCCTGTTGCCATGGTCCTGAATAAAAAGTCCACCTTACCACTCTTCAACAAGTGTCGTTGAATAAATGTTTCTGTTTTTCTTGTTGTTTTGTTTTGTTTTTTGTTTGTTTGTTTAGATAGCTCTGTCTCCCAGGCTGCAATGCAGTGGCACAATCTCGGCTCACTGCAACCTCTGCCTGCCAGGTTCAAGTGATTCTCCAGCCTCAGCCTCCCAAGTAGCTGGGATTACAGGCATGTGCCACCACACCCAGCTAATTTTTAGTAGAGACAGGGTTTTGCCACGTTGACCAGGTGGGAATAATTTTTTCTCTAACAGATGTGACCCAGCTCCCAGTCACCCCTAGGATCCCCAGTGCAGTCCCCTCAGCTGGGTTTCAGGAAAGGAGTCGAAGGGAAACCCGGAGCCCTTGAACCTGCAGGCCTCTGAGAAAGGAGTCCTACCCCATCTCCAGGCCTGAGGGTGATGTCAGAATCCACAGCCACATCTAGAAGACTTGAGAGCAACGGTGGCCTGTGCCCTACTCCAGGCTGAGCCCCAGTCTGGGTCCACAGGTCTGATATGGCCCAGCAGAGACCCCTGTGCCCAGCATGGTGTGGGAGCATCAGAAAGACTCAAAAGACCAGAGCAGCCTTGTGGACAGTTGCATGCCATGGTGACCAGCCACTGAGGGTCAGAAGGGGCATCATGTCTTGATAGGCAGACAACTGAGGAGTCACCTCTCCTCTCCCATGACCTGTGGCAGTCCCCCAAGTATCATCCAGCCCCATGAAAGAGGGAAGCCCGGTCCGCCTGGGTTTCTTCCATCCTGGCAGAACGGAGCTTGAAATGCAAGTTCGATGCATTATTTAAAAACAAAGGAAGCTACATTTCTTGCACACCTGGGGTGTGGGTGGAGAGTTACACTGAATGCATTCAGAGCTGAGGAATCTGGGTTTCTAGGAAAACAAGCTTTCCAGGTTCTAAGATTCTAAGCTCCCCAAACCTCTAGGTTCAAGGATAATTTGGAAGCAGGAAATGTGTAGCTTTGGGGCTCCTGAGACTTCTGCCAGAGTTACGTCCATTTTCCTGACTCTCCCAGACCCTACGAGACAGCTAAAGATAAGAGATATGGGAAAAAGCCCACCTACATCCCTCCCCAAGATTCTGCTGGCCTTGACAACTCACTGTACCAGCGGGGAAACTGAGGCCTACAGAGGGCCTGACTTTGCCCTGGTCACACAGTCAGCACTAACCCAGGCCACCTCACACATACCCTCCTCCCACGCCCCCTCAATGCGTCTTCCCCAAGTCTGGGCTGCCCCCTTGCCTCTGCCCAGGACAATAGATTCAGGTGGGAGCCGGGGGTCCGCGGGGAGTGGTTGCCTGTGATCCCCATTGCCCGGGCAGGCATGGCCACTCCCTAGGCCCCAGGTCTCTCGCTGCCAAAGGTTGCCATCAATTTTCTGTCCACCACATTTGTCTGCAAACCATGAAGAAAAATCGCTCCCATCTCTCTGCCTCAGCTGCCACTGTGATATATGACTTCAATCAGAGACCCCTCCTCCCCAGAAGCACCCTCCTTCTCCCCCAGTCTCCCCAAGGCTGGGGGTTAGGGGGCAGGGGGAAATGGAGTGATACTGAACCAGCTAATGGTGGTGTGCTTTCAGAGACCCTTTAGGAGATGATGCCCCATCTTGACTTTGTGGAGGAAAGATGGTGTAGACACTGCAGATCATTGCTGTGCAGCCTGTCACCTCTGCATATAATAACACCTCCCCACCTCCTGGACACAAAAGCCACACAAGGTCTGTTTACAGCTTGGTTTTTTGTTTGTTGCTTGTTTGAGACAGGGTCTCGCCCAGGCTGAGAGCAGTGGCACGATCTCAGCTCACCACAGCCTCGACCTCCTGGGCTCAAGCGACCCTCCCACCCCAGCCTCCCAAGTAGCTGGGACTATAGGAACATGCCACCACACCCGGTTAAGTTTTTATTTTTTGTTGAGGGAGTGGGTCTCACTATGTTGCCCAAGCTGGTCTCCTGGGCTCAGTGATCCTCCCACTTCGACCTTCCAAAGTGATGGGATTACAGGCATGAGCCCCTGCACCCAGCCTGTTTACAGCTCTTACTTCATTTGCTCCTTCTGTCATCTCTGCGGGGCTCCTGATGAGACCAATCTTAGTTACATTTACCCTTTTTGCCTAGCCTTATGCTGGGAACTGGGAACCCACAGCCACAGTCCTTGACCAGCCTCAGCATCTCATGACAGAGCCAGACATGAGGGAATAAAGGCAGTGTGGAAATGTAATCACCAAAAACGTCCTGGGTCCATGGGAGCCCCAGATGAGGAGGGAGGTCTCTCTGCTGAGAGCAGGAGTGAGGTGGGATGGAGGAGGCTGGCGTTTGTGTGGCTGGGAGAGCTCTGAGGAGGTGGGCTCTGAGCTGGTTCTGAGGCTCTGAGGTTAGGAGCATAGACTCTGGAGTTGCACTGCCTGCCCTGCCATCCTACTGTGTGACCCAGGGCAAGTTGCTTGACTTCTCTGAGCCTCTGCTGACTTCAGGAGATCTGCAAATGGGAATTTCTCTTAGAGGGGCTGTGAGTGCCAAGTGAATAAGGCATATAAAGTGTGAAGTGCAATACCTGGTGCAGAGGGCTAGCTGGTGTCCTCACAATTTGCAGAGAGTGTCTAGGAGTTTGCCTAAAGGACAATGTGGCAAATGGTTTGGGCAAAGGGAACAGCCTCTGCCAAGGTGTGAACATGGGGAAATAGGAGCCACTGGGAGATGCTGGAGCTTAGGAAGAACTGAGAGAGGGGGCTGGTGTGGATAGGGCTTGGAAGGCCAGAAATTTGTACCCAAGCCTGAGGGGAGTGGGGAGCAATGGAAGGGTCTTGAGCAGGAGAGGGGCCAGGTCAAATCGTCTATTAGAAAGACCCCACTAGGTTGGGCTCAGTGGCTCACACCTGTAATCCCAGCACTTTGGGAGGCCAAGGTGTGTGGATCACCTGAAGTCAGGAGTTCGAGATCAGCCTGGCCAACATGGCCAAACCCTGTCTCTACTAAAAATACAAAAATTAGCCAGGTGTGGTGGTGCATGCCTGTAGTCCCAGCTACTCGGAAGGCTGAGGCAGAAGAATCACTTGAACCCAGAAGGTGGAGGTTGCAGTGAGCCAAGATCACACCACTGCACTCCAGCCTGGGTAAGAGAGTGAGACTCCACCTCAAAACAAAATGAAACAAAACAACACCACTAAAGGTGAATGAAGAAGAGAGGTTGGCGGGACCAAGTTGGGACTCATATTCTGCTCTCTCTGCCCAAATGCTCCTGCATAGCCCTGAAGGATTTCAAATCCTTTATGAAGTCTAGTGCCTGCCCTGCTTACAGGCCCCAGGTACTGGCTGGGTTCCCAGTGGCCATCTCTCCAGCTGAGATATGTGTGTTGGAGCCGGGGGAGTGGAGAAGCCAGCTTCGGGGTGGGAAGCCCATCTGGCAGATTCTGGCTGGAGTAGGGGGCAGTGGCGGGGCAGCCTCCTGCTCATCAGCCTTTCCACTGTGGAGTCAGTCAAGCGTTCCTCCCTCCAAGGAGTGGTGGCTGTCAGGCGTGTCCAAACTGCACTCCTGGCTGCCTCAATTTTGCATCCCCTAGGTAGCGCAGACACCATGAATGGACCAGAGATTGAATGCAAAATCAAAATGCAGCAAATAAATGGATGCAAAAGTCATTTGGAGCCAATAATAAGAACCACCTCCAGACTCAGAAGCAGGGAAAGTTGCACAGAGGCTGAGCTGGCCTGGCTGCTGGTGGAGAAGGGATGTTAGTTTGGGCACCCCTTCCCCGGCTTCACTGGCCCCAACACTCCTCTCACTGATCCACGTCGCTGGATGGTCTCCAAGGTTACTCAGGGTACAGACAGGGAAAATGAGACTTGGGGCCAGGTGCGATGGCTCATGCCTGTAATCCTAGCACTTTGGGAGGCCAAGCCAGATGGATCACCTGAGGTCAGAAGTTTGAGACCAGCCTGGCCAACATGGTGAAACCCCGTCTCCACGAAAAATACAAAACTTAGGCTTGGTGGCACATGCCTGTAATCTCAGCGACTTGGGAAGCTGAGGCAGGAGAATCACTTGGAATCACCTGGAAGGCGGAAGTTGCAGTGAGCCGAGATGGTGCCACTACACTCCAGCCTGGGCAACAGAGCGAGACTCCATCTCAAAAAAAAAAAAGAGAGAGAGAGAGACTTGTAAACAGAGGATAGATACAACCCAAGATACCCAAAGAGTTAGGGCCCTAGACTCAAACAGATCTGAGTTTTGATTCAGCTCTTCCAATTTCCAGCACACGTGACCTTCAGCAAGTCACCTAATCTGCAATTGCTCTCATCACTTTAGTTGGGCAGGCCAAAGGTAAAATATTGGAGCGTGGAAAGGCACTAAGCACTGAACAGAGATGGAGCACCAAATATGCACTTGTGAGGGCAGGTCTCATTCACTTCTCCATCCCAAGGCCTCCGCTGTGCCCAGCACACAGTAGGTGCTCAATGCATATCTGTTGAAGTCATGGATGGTGCAATGACTGCGTTAGGAACTAGGAGCAGAGTTCTAATTTGTTTGCTGATATAGCCCTAGAGCCCTAAACAGTGCCTGGCACATAGTAGGTGCTCAGTAACAGTGGTCCCCAATCTTTGTGGCACAAGGGACAGCTTTCATGGAAGACAATTTTTCCAAGGACCGGTGTGGGGTTGGGGGAAGGAAGGTTTCAGGATGATTCCCGGATGATTAAAGCACATTACATTTATCGTGCACTCTATTTCTATCACATTGTAATATAGAATGAAATAATTATACAACTCACCATAATGTAGAATCAGTAAGAGCCCTGAGCTTGTTTTCCTACAACTAGATGGTCCCATCTGGGGGTGATGGGAGACAGTGACAGATCATCAGGCGTTAGATTCTCATAAGGAGTGTGCAACCTAGATCCCTCGCATGCACAGTTCACAATAGGGTTCGCCCTCCTGTGAGAATCTAATGCCACCACTGATCTGACAGGAGGTGGAGCTCAGGCAGTAATGTGAGCAATGGGGAGCAGCTGTAAATACAGATGAAGCTTTGCTTGCTTGTCCCCCGCTCACCTCCTGCTATGTGGCCTGGGGGTTGAGGATCCCTGCTCAATGATACACACATTAATGAATTTGGTTTTAAACACCAACTTTGTCCTTCCCCTAGTTGCCATCATTGAAGAGCCCCAGCACCCCAAGCACCCCAGCCTGGGCTCCTGGGGGCTGCAAATTGAACTTCATGTGTCTTAGTGCCCAGAGAGGGAAGGAAAACGTTATACTAACATCTGGTAGTCACAGGTACCAACAAGGCACTTCATGGGTTACAAAGCAGGTTCCCATGGAATGTCTTTGCTGATCTCCAGTCAGTTTCACAGATGGAGAAAGAGAAACTCAAAAGATGAGGTGACTTGCGCAGGGTCACAAGGTATGTCAAGCAGAGATGGCTGGGATTGAAATGGCAAATCCTTTCTCTTTGTATCATTCATTCCTCTAACCAGTTATAACAAGTACCTCCCAGTGGGATCATGATGGGGCTCAGACAGGCACTGGTCCCCACTATGGAAGGAGTGAGGGTCCTGGGTCAGCAGGCTGAAGGCCAAGGCCCACCCTGGGCCACCAAGAGCTGTGGAGACAGGGAAGTGAAGAGCAGGATGAGAGACAAGTGGAGAAGCCTCTGGCTAGGTCATCCGGGCAGCTAGGACAAAGCAGAGAGACTAGAAGGGGCAGAGAGAAAGGCAATTACACCAGGAACATCTATTAAGCACTCACTGTATGCCAGGCACTGAGGATATGGCAGTGAGCAAGGCAAACAAGGAACTCACATGCTGGTGGGGAGACAGACTCTGGTTTGTAATTACTCACTGCAAGTAGAAGTGGGGGCTCTGAAGGCAAGGAGCATGGTTTCCAGGAGGACACGGGGACATAAGTTAGGCCTGGAGGGTCAGGGAGGGCTTCTTGGAAAAGGTGGTGCTTGGGCAGAGATCTGGAGGATGATAAGAGAAGGAGGGAGGGAGAGACAGAGACAAGGAGTGGGAAAGACGAGAGTAGGGGGAAGAAACTGACAAAGTCAGAGGAAGAGTTTGAGGACCCAGTGCAGTGGCTCACACCCAACACTCTGGGAGGCCGAGGCAGGTGGATCACCTGAGGCCAGGAGTTTGAGACCAGCCTGACCAACATGGCGAAACCCCATCTCTACTAAAAATACAAAAATTAGCCGGGCGTGGTGGTGCACACGTGTAGTCCCAGCTACTCAGGAGGCTGAGGCATGAGAATCACTTGAACCCAGGAGGCAGAGGCTGCAGTGAGCTGAGATTGTGCCACTGCACTCCAGTCTGGGTGACAGAATGAGGCTCTGTCTCAAAAGAAAAAAAAAGAAAGAGAGAGAGAGAGTTTGAGGAAAGATGATGAGCAAAGAGAAGGATCCAGAAACGAGATGGTCAGCTGGAGTGCAAGGTAGAGGAGAAAAGGGAGCCCCAGACACAGCCAGCTGGGGGCTAACAGTGAGACCAAGAGCAAGGAGGAAGGGAGGGTGAGAGGAAAGAGAGACACACAAATCACTCCAAGCTCCCCACCTACTGTAGCTCAGACTTTCATCTCTGACACAAAAGAGGAACTTGAGTTCCCCTCCAGGGAAGCACAGGGCACTCAGGCTGAGAATTCACATCCCAGCTGTGGTTTCCTGTTTCCCCCTGTAAGCCAGAGGGCACTACTGCATGGAGGTAGCGCTGTGGGGCTGGTGGGCCAGGCCTAAGGACAGAGCCAGAGGCTGAGCTTCCTCCCTCTCCCAAAACCCTCAGTGAGTGCCTCAACCTAATTTTCTGCCAAAGACCCACTGTCAGCTAAAGGGCTTGTTGTTGGGTAGGGTGCTAACTGTTAATGAAGGTGTTACCTGTTAACTAGGATGTGTTCACTGTGGACTAACATGTTCACTGTCAACAAAAGTGTGTGTTAAGTAGCATGTCCACAGTTTACCAGGGTGTTAACTGTTAAAAACAATGTTTGCTGTTAACTAGAGTGTTCACTGTTAACTATATACTACAGTGTTCAACAAGTAAGCTTTTTGTTAAGTAGGGTGTTTGCAGTTAACTAGGGTGTTAACAGTTAATGAAGATGCTGGCTATTAACTAGGGTGTTTAACTTCAACTAAGGTATCTGTTAATAAGGTGTTTGCAGCCAGGCGTGGTGGCTCATGCCTGTAATCCCAGCACTTTGGGAGGCCAAGATGGGTGGATCACCTGAGGTCAGGAGTTCAAGACCAGCCTGGTCAACATGATAAAGCCCCATTTCTACTAAATATACAAAAAATTAGCTGGTGTGGTGGCAGACACTTGTAATCCCAGCTTTTTGGGAGGCTGAGGCAGGAGAATCACTTGAACCCGGGAGGGGGAGATTGCACTGAGCCAAGATTGTGCCACTGCACCCAGCCTGGGCAACAAGAGCTAAACTTCATCTCAAATAATAATAATAATAACAATTATAAAGTGTTTGCTTTGGCCCCAGCTTTTGTGCCTCAGTTTACATACTCCACCCTCCTCCCTCTCTCCATCTTATTGGCTGGTGGTGCTGGCATTTCTCTCAAAGCAGGGCTCATCACTGCAAGTACAAGGTCCTTGTTTGACTTCAGGACCTCTCCCCCAGTAACCTGGCCCCATAAAGAGTCCAACTCAACTCCCCGGTCCCAATCTTAATTGACAACCAAGGTGGAAAGTAAAATACTTTCTGAAATTACCTACATTTTAAAAAAGAAACATTTGAAAGATTTACATAGCCAAATGACTGACTCCTTAATGGCGGAATGACAGGCAGAAAAGCTATTCCTTGGCCTTGAAATCCTGCAGAATGGAGAGGCTGTGAGCTCTGATGGTGGGATTCCCATGTTGTTTCCAGCTTTGAAGTCATGCCTGGGCATCTGCCAGAACATGAGGGGACAGCATCTATCAGTCCTGTCCCCCAGGCTGGAATATTGTGCTGGGTGCTGCCTGGAGAAGGGAGGCCCAGTGCTGGTGTTCCAGGATCCCTGCCAGGGCCCTGACTCAGATGGCCACGGGAAGCCGGAGTCTGCCCTCCAAGTAGCCACTGATTTGCTGGGCAACACTCATCAAGTTATTGCCCAGTTTGGGCCTCTGTGTAAGGTGGGGTTCAAGCCAGCAGACATTGGTGGATCTGCCCAGCTGTATCTTTTGGGGCCACTCTTCAAGGCCCACTTCACAGACACAGAAACAGAGGTCCAGGGAGGTGGCCCTCTCCTAGGTCTGCACCCAGCCTTCACCCACCCCACTCCCTTCTCAGTCCTGACTCCCCAGCCTGCCCCAGGTCCTAAGAGCCCTCCCCCACTGCCAGGGCCATGGCAGTCCTTCTAGATACAGGACGGACTCAGTGCCAGCAGGCCTCCTCGGTCTGGGAGTCAGCTCCTGTGAGAGAGGGGTGGAAGGAGTTCCAAAGCTGCCCATCAGGCCACTGCCAGGCCTTCAGCCCCTCTGCCACCGCAGCCTGCCAGGTTTGGGCCAGACACACACCCACACACATTTGCAAACACGCTCAAGTATGGTAGGCATACTAGTACAATGCATGCCCTCAACTTCACTCCCAGACACACATGCACCATTACACAGACACACAGATGCCCCTACAGACACTCATGACACACACTCAGATAGACCACACACACGTGCCCATGCAGGCCCATGCACAGGGCACACTATGCTACACACCCACAAGCCATGTGTGTCACCCACTGTGCCAGCCCAGCCGCACCACCTGCCTGGACGTTAGCATCGCCCAACCTCAACCATCTCCCCACCCTGTCATCTCTCTGCTGCCCCTCTGAACCCAGCACACACCCCACACTGCAGTCACGACATTCCCGGCTGAAAGCACACTGATGGCTCCCCTCAGGCTCTCGGGGGCAAATCCACTGCCCCACCTCAGCTCACCCCAGCCCTCTCCCCCAGCATACACTCAGCCCTACAGCAGCCCCTCGTCCCCTAGGCCAGAGGCTCAGCTCACATCTAGCACCCCAGCTGGTGCCTCTTGGCCAGGCAGAGGGAAGAGCTGTGGCTGTCAGTCCTCACAGTGGGCCACCCAGAACATGCACTTGACAAGCACTTTCTTATTTAATTCTCTCAACAGCACTATGAGGGAACAGGTACCTCTATTCACCCCATTTTACAGAGAAAAAGACTAAGGCTCAGAGGGCTGGGCTAGGATGTTTGGGGGAGGGGAAGAGAGCGCTGTGTGAGCCTCTTCTCCATACCCCCACCTCCCTACTCCTTCTCTGTCTCATTTACCTTCCTCTGTCCAAACAGGTCTCTCTTTTTCGGAGACGGAGTCTCACTTTGTCACTCAGGCTAGAGTGCAGTGGTGCGATCTGAGCTCACTGCAACCTCTGCCTCTTGGGTTCAAGCGATTCTTCTGCCTCAGCCTCCCAAGTAACTGTAATTACAGGTGCCTACCACCACACTCAGCTAATTTTTGTATTTTTAGTAGAGACGGGGTTTCACCATGTTAGCCAGGCTGGTCTCGAACTCCTGACCTCAAGTGATCCGCCTGACTCAGTCTCCCAAAATGCTGAGATTACAGGCGTGAGCCACTGCACCCAGCCCAAACAGGTCTCTTAAAGCCTCGCCTCTCTTTCCCCTTTCTTCTGAGAGTTGCTGTCCCTGGTCCTGACAGCTTCCCCTGCCTCTGGCCATCTTCTCTTGCTCCTCCAGTCACCAACGTCCCTTCCTCCGAGAAGAGAACAATGGGAACTGTGTACAGGCCTCGGTTTGGCCGAGGCTCCGCCCAGCTCTGACAGTCACTAGCTGTGTGATGCTGGGCAGGTGGCTCCATCTCTCTGTGCCTCATTTTCCCCATCTACAAAGTGGGGGTGATAATAATACCACTTAGCATTGCTGGGAGGAATAATTGAGTTAATACAAGCGAGTGGACACTGTTGATGCCCAGCTCCGATGTGTTTGGATGCTAATAAGAAATCCTTATTCAGGCCGGGCACGTTGGCTCACGCCTGTAATCTCAGCACTTTGGGAGGCCGAGACGGGTGGATCACTTGAGGTCAGGAGTTCGAGACCAGCCTGGCCAATATAGTGAAACCCCATCTCTATTAGTAATACAAAAATTAGCAGGGTGTGGTGGCGTGCACCTGTAATCCCAGCTACTCGGGAGGCTGAGGCAGGAGAATCACTTGAACCTGGGAGGCAGAGGTTGCAGTGAGCTGAGATTGCACCACTGCACTCCAACCTGGGTGACAGAGTGAAACTGTGTCAAAAAAAAAAAAGAAAGAAAAAGAGAGAGAGAGAGAGAGAGAAAGAAAGAAAGAAAGAAAGAAAGAAAGAAAGAAAGAAAGGGGAAGGAAGGAAGGGAGAGAGAGAGAGACAGGAAAGAAGGAGAGAGAGAGAAGAAAGAGAGAAAGAAAGAGAGAGAAAAAGAAAGAAAGAAAGAAAGAAGAAAGAAAGAAAGAAAGAAAGAAAGAAAGAAAGAAAGAAAGAAAGAAAGAAAGAAAGAAAGAAAAAGAAAAGAAAGAAATCCTTATTCGGAGGCTTGACCTGGGGGCCTGGGAGTCAACGTGTCCCAAGAATGGCCCCCAGCCAATGACTAACAGAGGAGTATGAAAGCCCGGATCTTTTGCTTCCAGCTGGGACAAATTCTGGGGTGCTCCAGACCCACACCCCATTAGGCTGAGGCTAGGACATGGTCTGAACTCACACCCTTGCCTGGCTTCCTCCCCTTCCCTGTTCTGCAGCCCCTCTCCCCCTTACCTGGGCACACCTTTGAAATAAATCTCTTGCACAGGGGACTTTGTCTCAGGATCTGCTTCCAGGGACCCCGACCTAAGCAACAAGTCAAGCTATTTAGCATAGATCTGGCTCAGAGTAAATGCTCAATCTATTTGAGCTACTATCATTTTATTTCCTGGCAACTATGTGACTGGAAACAAATACCTTTTCCTGTCTGGGTCTTAATTTTCTCATCAGCAAAATGAGCATCATGATCTCTGCTCTGCATAAATTTTCATGGAATCACTGCGTGAGGGGGCCGGGTGTGATGGCTCAAGCCTGTAATCCCAGCACTTTGGGAGGCCAAGGCAGATGGATCACCTGAGGTCAGGAATTCCAGACCAGCCTGGCCAACATGGTGAAACCCGTCTCTATTAAAGAAATACAAAAATTAGCCAGGTGCAGTGGCACACACCTGTAATCCCAGTGACTCGGGAGGCTGAGGCTGGAGAATTGTGTGAACCCGGGAGGTGGAGGTTGCAGTGAGTCGTGATCACACCACTGCACTCCAGCCTGGGTGACAGAGCGAGATTCTGTCAAAAAAAAAAAAAAAAAAAGTGTGAGGAAATAGGCGAATGTCCACCTCCACTGAAGGATGGGCCGGGTGAAGGGACAGTTGCGGCTCTTCCTAATCAGTCCCATCACTTACCTGCCCTCCCAGTCACCATAGCTGGGAGCCCCCACCTCTGCCATTCCATGCATCCCTGGCCCAGAGGAGGCAAAACAGCCCTCTGCTTCCCTCCTCCAGAAGCAGGAAAACTTCACATCAGGATCCCGATGTCATCTTGAGATCTGCACAGCCCTCTTCTCACTTGAACAATTGTCCTCAAAGCCACAACCCCTCTGACTCTTCCAGGTTCTATTGCAGAAGCCTGGCCAGCCAGCTTTTGCTAGGTCATAAAAGGGCGATTGTTAGATTTTCGGGAACTTTGAGAACCAATTGTTAAACTGCTGGCAACTTGAAATCGATTGCAGTGGAAGTATTTACACCATGAAAACTGGCAAATGCTACAGACCCCAGCATTCTTTGGAGAGGTGGTTTACTAGCATGCAGCAGACTCCATCCCTTTATCAAACTCCCACCTGAGCTTCAGTCCTTTTAACAGAGAAAATATTTTGTATTTTTCTAAGTTAAGTGAAATCACTTTGCTTTTGCAGATGATCTTTTTATAGATTTATTTTCTATGGGTAGGTGGTTCACACATTGAAAAAAAGCAAAAAAGTTTCACATTTATTCCTTAGCACTTCCACCCCTAACATACATTCCCCATAGAAAGTCTTATCTTGAACTACCTCTTAAAGATTTCTTGACTTATAGAGTCTTAGAAATATTGACTTTCGGAATCTTCAAGTTATAGAAACTTTAGATTCTGGAATCCTGAACCCTTAAGACTCCTGGCTGTTAGAATTGGAGCATCCCAATTAGGGAAGTCACATCTTATTCAGGGATTTGGTTCTAGAGTTAATGGGTGAGCAAATATCCCAGTCTGGTGTAGTCAAAATGCCCCTTGCCAGTACATATATGCAAAGGAATATTATTCTGCCATAAAGAAAGAATAAAATCCTGTCATTTGCAACAACATGGATAGAACTGAACGACATTATGTTAAGTGAAATAAGCCAGGCACAGAAAGACAAACTTTGCATGTTCTCACTCATTTATGGGAGCTAAAAATGAAAACAATTGAACTTACAGAGACAGAGAGAAGAGTGACAGTTACCAGAGGCTGGGAAGGGTTGCAGGGAGGCAGGGGAAGTGAAGTTGGTTAATGGGTACAAAAACATAGATAGAAGAAATAACGGGAAGCTAAGGCAGGAGAATTGCTTGAACCTGGGAGGCAGAGGTTGCAGTGAGCCAAGATCGCACCACTGCACTCCAGCCTGGGCGACAGAGAGGGACTCTGTCTCAAATAAGATCTAGTAGCACACTAGGAAGACTATAGTCAAAAATAATTTATCGTATATTTTAAAATAACTAAAAAAGTAGAAACGGAATATTCCTTACACAAAGAAATAATAAATGGTTGAGGTGACAGATACCTCAATAACCCTGATGTGATTATTACACATTGTATGCCTGCATCAAAACATCACATGTACCCCGTAAATATATTACACCTATTGTGTACCCAGAATAATGAAAAAATAATTTTTAAAAAAGACAAAATTTCCCTTGCAAATCCTGTAGAGACATTCCATGCTGGAAACCATTCAGCTGTCAGTGAGTCCAGCTCAGTCAGCTTTTCCTCCAGGGACGAAGCAAATCCAGCCAGGCATGGTGGCTCACACCTGTAAGTCTAGCACCTTGGGAGGCCAAGGCAGGCAGATCACTTTAGCCCAGGAGATCGAGAACAGCTTGGGCAACATGGCAAAACCCCATCTCTACAAAAAATACAAAAATTTGCCGGGCATGGTGGCATTCACCTGTGGTCCCAGCTACTAGGGAGGCTGAGGTGGGAGGATCACCTGAGCCCGGGAAGTTGAGACTGTAATGAGCCGTGATTGCATTGCTGCAATCCAGCCTGGGTGACAGGAGACCTTATCTCAAAAAGAAAAGGAAAAAGAAAGGAAAGGAAAGGAAAGGAAAAAATCCCTGCGTTTTCAGTGGAGCAGATGATCAAAAGTGTTTGGTGTGAGTTTAGGAGCTATGGCAGAGTAAAATATGTGTATTTAAACCCTGGAATCACTCCACACCACTATGAGAGGCACCTGGAAGGCAAAGCCACACGTCTGCCACTTTACACTCTGGCAGAATATACAGAAACCCCAAACTGCTCTCTTCCTCTCCTCAGTCATAGTTGAAGTTCTGTGTAGCCTTCAATCATAACAAATTAAAATTATCTGCCCACCAACAGTAGACTGGATAAAGAAAACGTGGTACATATACACCATGGAATACTATGCAGCCGTAAAAAAAGAATGAGATCATGTCCTTTGCAGGAACATGGATGGAGCTAGAGGTCATTATCCTTAGCAAACTAACATAGGAACAGAAAACCAAATACCCCATGTTCTCAATTATAAGCGGGAGATAAATGATGAGAACACATGGACACATCAAGGGGAGTAAAAGACACTGGTGCTTACCAGAGGGTGGAGGTTGGGAGGAGGGAGAGGATCGGGAGAAATAACTAGTGGGCACGGGTTTAATACCCGGGTGATGAAATAATCAGTACAACAAATCCCTGTGACACAAGTTTACCTTTAGAACAAACCACGTAACAAGCAACCCTGAACTTAAAAGTTTTAAAAAATTAAAATTATAAGAAATTTGGAATCAGAAGGGATCTCACAGTCAAACCCTGTCAAATGCTTAAGTATCCCTTACAGCATCCCCAAAAAGAGTTCATTCAGCCTCTGTTTGAATTCCTTCAGTGGCAGGGAGCTCACCACCTTGCAAGATAACCCATGCCACTTCTGGTCACCTTTAATTACAGTGTTGGAACAAGGTGTACCTTCCCATCTCTGATCATTAACAAACACTTACAAAGTGCCTCTCCTGCAGGAACCAGGATGCAGAGGAAATCAGGCCCTACCCAGAGACCTAAAATACCAGCATTGAGATGGAAATCATGGTCTGAACACTCAGAGGGGGGCCAGTCACTCCAGCGAGACTGTGACTCCCTTGACCTCACCCCAATTTTGCATGTAATTTGTGAGGATTCATAGAGTCCTCAAGTCCCACGATCAAGTTTAAATCTCTTACAGTATAGACGAGGTTATTGCAGCTTGAGCTGGGGGGTGATTTCCCCAAGGTCAAGTTCACACAGCGCCTAATCAGCAGTCAGGATCCAAACCCTTATCTTCTGCCTCAAACCCAGCAGACGCCCCCCAACCCCACTCCCACATCAGATCCCTTTTCCCAGCCGAGCCTAGACAAGCCCAGAATCTGAGATCAGAAGCAGAGCCTCCCCCTCCAACCTCCCAGCCTCTGCCACATCCCCAGGGTTGGGGGGTTAGATCTGCATGGCACCCCCCCCCCACCAGCCATTCTGAGCCACAGGAGACCCTGGCAAGAACCCAGACCACTGAAGGGGGCAGACAGCTGGGCCGGGTGATGGGTGGTTTTAATATTTAAACACAGTTTGTTGCTGCACAGCCAAAGGCAACAGCAGCTGCCTCCTTTTTCTTCTCCTTCGTCTCCTTCCTTCCTTCCCTTTTTTTAAATCTTTAATGTCTCCCGCCAGCCGCCAGTGGGGGAGGCGTTGTTCGAGTGTCATATTTCAAAGGGTTGCCATAGCTGGAGGGATATTCAGAGCATTTCGAGCCAATCCATTGTGTATAAATATATAGATATATATATATAGGTTTCATTATCCCCTTCAGGGCTGCCAGAGAATATATTCTTTTAATATGTATAATATATTTGAGCTGCTACATGGCTCGTAGGAGGAAGGGGAGGTGGGGGTGGCTCACAATTGACATTTCAGAGGCATTTCCAGGGACAGAGAAACAGCTGACTTTGGGGAAGGGGAGGGCTCCGTTCAGCAAAGGTTGGCCTCTGGGGGCCCTGTCGTCAAGTGGATGTGGCGTCCAAAACATAATCCCTACGTCGTGCCTGGACCTAGCACTGATATTTATTTGGTCCTTTGAGAGGTTTCGTCTGATCCTTTTGGGTAGCCATAGTTTTCTGTTGTTAAGTGGTGTTCAGTTATAACAAAGGACTTGGGGGCAATGTTTTCTGTATCTGTGGCAGCCACAGAAGTTCCAGGCCATGTGCAAGCTGTGTGACCTTGGGCAAACTGCTTAAACTCTCTGAACCTTAGCGCCTTCACCTGTAAAAGGAGACAGCAGGTCTGCCTTGCTGGATGAAAGTGCATCATGCATTGAACATGCCCACGGGAGGAAAGAGAAGGCCAAGTGGGTGTTCACACTGGGGATATGACCCAGTAATGGGGAGCAAGGGAGGCCTCCCCTGAAGAAGTGATGCTTGTGGGGAGACCTACAGGATGACCCCCAGGTGAAGAGGGCCAGTGAGAGAATGTTCCATGAACCTCCCAAGCCTGTCAAGGCAAGGGACACATTTTGGCCATTTGAGCCCCTCTCGTGGGATGGATTCAGAATGAACTGGACTGCCAGCAGCTGCCTGACTTATCTTAGCATCATTCTAGGGACCCAAAGGGCCCTCAGAGTCCCAGCCCTCCCCACCTCCACCTTGGCAAGTGCTCGGTGCAAGGACTTCAGCCTCTGGGTCCTGTTTTGCTTGCCAGTTTCTCTTGGTGCTTCCCCCAGCCACTTCCCAGGAGGCAAATTAATATCTTCCTTGGTAGCTGTGATCATTTAGAAATGAGGTCAAAATTAAAAGGTAGCTTGTTTTTCCCTGGCATTTCTCGACATCTCTGACTCTCCAGCAGCCTCTGCTCATGTGTGTCTCTTGGCGCTCCCTCCAAACTCTCCCACCACTGCCTCTTCCCTCACCTGGGTCTGGCCACCTAGAAGAGGAAGACGGGAGTCACCACAGTCCTAGTGGGAAAACAACTGCTGGGCTCTGGGGCAGGGACTCCCACATAGGGGCCACCTGAGAGCTTCTGTGTCAAAAGATCTGGGACCTGAGAATCATATTGACCGAAGCTCCCAGGCAATACTGAAGCTGGACCAAGTTTGGAAGCCTTAATCCTTGAGTTCAGAACCACAACCTACCTGCAAAGACAGGGAATACGTAGGGAGGGCTGGATTCCGTCCTGGGATCCCTTACAGCCCATCCCGCGTTTCACACACCTGTCCCCACCTTGGAAAAAGGCACTTCCAACTACCCAAGGCTTCAAGGCAATTTGATTTGATTTGATAAATAAATTAAATAAACCCTATTTTTTTTATTTATTTATTTTTATTTTTTTGAGACACAGTTTCACTCTGTTGCCCAGGCTGGAGTACAGTGGCATGATCCTGGCTCACTGCAACCTCTGCCTCATGGGTTTAAGCGATTCTCCTGCCTCAGCCTCTCGAGTAGCTGAGAATACAGATCCATGCCACGATGCCTGGCTGATTTTTGTATTTTTAGTAGAGGCAGGGTTTCACCATGTTGGCCAGGCTGGTCTCGAATTCCTGACCTCAGTTGATCCACCCACCTCCACCTCCCAAAGTGCTGGGATTACAGGCATGAGCCACCACGCCCCGCCAATCCTATTTTAAAATACATCCAGAATCCACCACCTCCACAGCCACCACCTTGGTCTGAGCCACCAGCAGCTGTCCCCTGATTCATGGCAACGGCGTCCTCTCTGGCCTTCTGACTGCCCTTCACGCCCTGCCCAGGCCCACTCTCCACCCAGCAGCGTGAGGATCTTATAAAAGGATGAGTCTGATTGTTTTCCTTGCCCTAGCTCACCCTTTCCACTGACCTCGCCTCTGCATGGCTGACTCCAACTCATCTTTCAGCTCCTGGTTTAAATGCTGCCTCATTGGAGGGAACTCCCCTGACAGCTGCAGCTAAGAGCAGCCTCCCCCTCCTCAGTCGTCCTTTCTGTCTGCCCTTTCTTGGTTTCCTTCACAGGACTTTGTAATTGTTTGTTGGTTTGTTGTTTACTTGCTTGGCACGCTGCCTCCTCTCTCTGGACGGTGGGGTCTCTAGGGGCAGAGCCTCACTTTTCTGTTTACTGCTCTCTCCCCGGCACCCAGCACAAGGCCACGGACAATGGGTGTCTGTATACAGTTCTAGAAGAACAGGAGGGCAATAACTGATTGGTCCAATTCATCGTTTTGAGTCGGGCTGCTTAGGTAAGGATGCTGTAGGCGCGATCACCATCCCATGGTCCAGTAGGCAGGTCTAGGAATGAGCAGGGTCTGGAGGTGGTCATGTCTGGAGAATGCAAGGATGGGATGCCCAGGACGCTGGCCCAGGCTCCCCTTAAGCTTCTGACCTGCGCTAGGATGAAGCCGAAAGCAAGGGAGAAAACTGAACATGCCTGTTCCCTACACACCCATTTTACAGATGAATAAATGGGTCCTCAACCTAGCCCTCACAGTGAGCAACTTCCAGAGGGCCAAGTCCCCCCAGCCCTACCCTCCAGACCTCATCCCTGAGCTGGCGGACCTCCCCACAGCTGGCGAGGGTCTCTGAGGGGACTGAGAGGTCATTGAGTCCAATCCCCCACCTCTGAGCCAGCCTGTGCAGCCCAGGTAGAGAACAGCGCTCCCACTGCATTTCCTAAGTCTAGGGACAAGCTTGGTGCTGTGGAATTTGGGACTAGAATTTAGGAGGTCTGAGTAGCCTCCCTTCTCCTCCCTGGGTCTCAGTTTCCCCTTCCTGGGGGCTCTGGGCGTCAGGCGGCCCGAGCGTGGTCTCTGGGGCCGCAGCCGCTCTCCACGGAGCGCTGGCGCCCCCTGCGGGAGCGGAACGGAAAGAGCAGGCCGGGCTCTCGTCGCCGCCGCGATTTTCCCACCGTCTCCTCCCAGGCGCCGGGAGGCGGCGGGAGCTGTCTGAAGGCGGAGGGCGGCCTCTTGGGGTCTGCAGCGCCACCAGGCCTGGAACCACAGACGAGACAGATTCACAGACACACAGAGACACAAACACCCACCGACCTCAAAGACTCCAGACCCCTAAACCATGCACACAGGTGCACCCACCCCTTCCCCAGGCAACCCCGGCCCCTTCCCGCGGTCCCAGGAGCCCCGAAGAGCAAAGGACAGCTGTTGGCAGAAGGCGTGGACAGAACTCGGACACGCGGGCCGGGTTTCCTCACGCGAGTGCGTCCTGGAGGCCGCTCAGAGGGTGGGAAGGAGAAGGGGAGGGGCTGGGCCTGCATAAGTCCCCCATACAAGAGACAGCCTGGGTCCCCATGTAACCACCCCGTGGGTTCACCTTGCCCGCTGCCCGGAGACAGCCAGATTTCTCAGAGCTGGCTGGACACGGGAGTTTTATTTGTACTCAAATCGGCCTCCCTGAAGATTCTGAGGCTGGAGTTTTTCAAGGATAGTTTGGCGGGCCAGGAAATGGGTGCTGCTGACTGGCTGGGGATGCAATCCCAGGGGTGTGGAAAATTGTCCTGGGGTGCTGAGTCCGCTTCTGGGTGGGGCCACAGGACTGGGGTGCCACCCGCACCCCCATGCCCCAGCCATTGGTAGTAAGAAATGCCAAAAAACCTGAAAACTTGTCTCAAAAAGTCAATCTTGGACTCTCCAAGAGTGATGTTATTTGCAGGAGTAACCGGAGAAGTTGCGAATCTTGTGGCCTCTGGAATAATGACTGATAATCGGTTACAGCTCCACCTTAGCAGAATGTAGGCACTTCTCATCTTCCTAACCTAGTGCTCTTTCATTATCTTTACAAAGGCGGTTTAGTTTGGGAGATGGGCTATTATCGTTTAAACTATAAACTAAATGTCTCCCAAAGTTAGCTTGGCCCAAGCCCAGGAATGCCTAAGGGCAGTTTAGAGGTGAAAGGCAAGATAGGGGTTGGTTAGATGGGTCTCTTTCACTGTCCTAATTTTCTTACTGTTATAATTTCTGCAAAGGCAGTTTCATCAAGGGAGAAGAGTGGGGCCAGGGACACAGCTGCCCCATCTCAGCATCACAGGAAGCCCTAAGAGAAATTCCAGGTGTGGGATAGAGACCCCTGGCATGACCATGGTGACCCCTCTCCTTTGTCAACCTCAACAGGGTTCACAAAAGTGTCCAGGCCCCCTCCCCCAACTCCCTTCCCCTCCCAGCCCCCACACCTGCCAGGAACCCCAGCAGTAGCCTGTGGATGGGGAGGAGGCAGAACAACAAATTCCTGGGTGTAGCCCTTAAGTTTGGAAATCAGGCTGGCTGGCTTTTTACTCATTCAGGTGGACTTGCAGCACTGGCTACATGCCATGTGTGTGCTGGGCACTGTGCACATTCTGTAATGAGCAGTCTCTGTCCTCCTGGAGCTTACCTGTATAATACCTCATATTATATAGGTAATATAATGCCAGTTGGTAATCCAGCAATTCCACTGTTAGGTATACCCAAGAGACATGAAAACATACAGATATGTCCCTATATGAGAGGTGTGTAAACCAGAGCAACTCTATCTTGAATGGGGCCAGGTAAAATCAGGCTGAGACCTACTGGTCTGCATTCCCAGACGGTTAAGGCATTCTAAGTCATAGGATCAGATAGAAGGTCAGCACAAGATTCAGGTCATAAAGACCTTGCTGATAATAGAGGTTGCAGTAAAGAAGCTCTTGCCAAAAGCAAGATGGTGACAAGAGTGACCTCTGGTCATCCTCACTGCTACACTCCCACCAGCGCCATGACAGTTTACAAATGCCTTGGCAACGTCAGGAAGTTACCCTATGTGGTCTAAAAAAGGGAGGCATAAATAATCCACCCCTTGTTTAGCATATCAAGAAATAACCATAAAACTGGGCAACCCGCAGCCCTCAGGGCTGTTCTGTCTATGGAGTGGTCATCCTTTTATTCCCTTACTTTCCTAATAAACTTGCTTTCACTTTACTCTGTGGACTTGCCCTGAATCCTTCCTTGTGTACGATCCAAGAACCCTCTCTTGGGGTCTGGATCGGGACCCCTTTCCTGTAACACCTATGTTTGCACAAAGACTTGCATGCGAGTGTTCATAGCTGCTTTCTTTCTTTCTTTCTTTTTTTTAGACAGAGTCTCGCTCTGTCACCCAGACTGGAGTGCAGTGGCGTGATCTCCGCTCACTGAAACCTCCGCCTCCCGGATTCAAGCAATTCTCCTGCTTCAGCCTCCCAAGTAGCTGGGATTACAGGTGCATGCCACCTTGCCCAGCTAATTTTTTGTATTTTTAGTAGAGATGGGGTTTCACCATGCTGGCCAGGCTGGTCTTGAACTCCTGACTTCATGATCCGCCCACCTAGGCCTCCCAAAGTGCTAGGATTACAGGCATGAGCCACCGTGCCTGGCGTGCTGCTTTATTTCTAATAGTTGAAAACTGGAAACAGCCCAGCTGTCCATCATCAACAGGAGAGTGGATAAGCAACCCGGTGCATTTGTACGATGGGATACAGCTCGGCAATAAAACAGAATGAACCCTTGGTACACGCAACAACATAGGTGAATCTCAAAAACATCATGCTGAGCAAAAGAAATCAGACACAAAAGAGGACATGCCAGATTATTCCATGGGTGTGAAATTCTAGAAAAGTAAAGCTAAGCTATAGTGATCCAACGCAGATCAGTGAGTGCCTGTGTTACAGGAAAGGGGTCCCGATCCAAACCCCAAGAGAGGGTTCTTGGATCTTGCACAATAAAGAATTCAGGGCGAGTCCACAGTGCAAAGCAAAAACAAGTTTATTAAGAAAGTAAAGGGATGAGACCATCCTGGCCAACGTGGTGAAACCCCGTCTCTACCAAAAATAAAAAAATTAGCAGGGCATGGTGGTGCATGCCTGTAATCCTAGCTACTCGGGAGGCTGAGGCAGGAGAATCGCTTGAACCCGGGAGGCAGAGATTGCAGTGAGCCGAAATCGTGCCGCTGCACTCCAGCCTGGGTGACAGAGAGAGACTCCATCTCAAAAACAAAACAAAACAAAAAAGTCAGTGGAAGAATGCATCCACCCTAGGTACAATGGTCGTATATATGGGGAGATGTGCTCTGCTACAAGGGTTTGTGATAAAGAATTAATTTTCTTAATTACTATATTGCTCAAGAATCAATATTATCTTTAGAGCAAAATTAGAAATGCCTTTGTTCGGCCGGGCGCAGTGGCTCACGCCTGTAAACCCAGCACTTTGGGAGGCTGAGGCGGGCAGATCACGAGGTCAGGAGATCGAGACCATCCTGGCTAACATGGTAAAACCCCGTCTCTACTAAAAATACAAAAAAATTAGCCAGGTGTGGTGGTGGGCGCCTATAATCCCAGCTACTCGGAGGCTGAAGCAGGAGAATCACTCGAACCCAGGAGGTGGAGGTTGCAGTGAGCCGAGATCGCGCCACTGCACTCCAGCCTGAGTGACAGAGCAAGACTCCATCTCAAAAAAAAAAAAAAAAAAAGAAAGAAAAAGAAATGCCTTTTTTGTCCAGATATTGGGATATCTGGACACTCCCAATCTGGGTCTGTTTAGTGAACATTATTAATTTGTTCCCTTAATCATAAACCTCTAGAGGCTAGGAATGCCTGACTTTCTGGGAATGCAGCCCAGCAAGTCTCAGCCTCATTTTCCCAGCCCTCACTCAAAATGGAGTCGCTCCGGTTCAAACACCTCTGACAGCTGGGGCAGGGAGGGAATCTTCTAACTGAACCTTTTGGGGTGATGGAAATGTTGATTGGATGGTGGTTACCAGGAAACACGTATTTGTCAAAACTCCAAACTGTACACTTCAAGTGAATGTATTTTATTGTGGGCGAATTATTCCTCAATAAAGTTGATTTTTAAAAAGATATAATGCCAGGAGCTATAATGACAATAGGATGAAAGAGAAAGGGATATATTTAAGATAATGTGGTCAGAGAGGCCTCTCTGAGGAGATGCTATTTGAGCCTGAATGAAGTGAGGGATCTGGACTTAGTTAGGGCTATCTTAGGGGGAAACATTCCAGGTGGCAGAATCAGCAGTTGCAAAGGCCCTGAGGCAAGAAAACCTCTTCCTCCATGCCCCAAATAACTGAAACAAAGGTTATGCTGGTGTCTCCGGAAAGGGGTCCCAATCCAGACCCTAAGAAAGGGCTCTTGGATCTCGAGGCGAATTCATAAAGTGAAAGCAAGTTTCTTAAGAAAGTAAAGGAATAGGGGAGGCATGGTGGCTCACGCCTGTAATCCCAGCACTTTGGGAGGCCAAGGAGGGTGGATCACTTGAGGTCAGAAGTTTGAAACCAGCCTGGGCAACATAGTGAAACCCCGTCTCTACCAAAAATACAAAAAATTAGCCTGGCGTGGTGGAGCACATCTGTGGTCCCAGCTGCTCTGGAGGCTGAGGCAGGACGATCACCTGAACCTGGGAGGTGGAGGTTGCAGTGAACTGAGATTGCACCACTGCACTCCAGCCTGGGCGACAGAGCGAGACCCAAAAAAACAAAGTAAAGGAATAAAAGAATGGTTACTCCAAAGGCAGAACAGCCCTGAGAGCTACCGGGTGGTTACTTTTTGGTTATTTCTTCATCATATACTAAACATGGATTATTCATGAGTTTTCCAGGAAAGGGGTGGGCAGTTCCTGGAACTCACAGTTCCTCCCCCTTTTAGATCATATAGGGTAACTCCTGGACATTGCCATAGCAATGGTAAACTGTCATGGCGCTGGTGGGCATGTTGTCTAGCATGCTAATATATTATAATTAGTGTATAATGAGCAGTGAGGATGACCAGAGGGCACTTTCATCGCCATCTTGGTTTTGGTGGGATTTGGCCGGCATCTTTACCGCATCCTGTTTTATCAGCAGGGTCTTTGTGACCTGTATCTTGTGCCGACCTCCTGTCTCATCCTGTGACCAAGACTGCCTAACCTCCCGGGAATGCAGCCCAGCAGGTCTCAGCCTCATTTCACCCAGCCCCTATTCAAGATGGAGTTGCTCTGGTTCAAACACCTCTGACTCTGGCATGTACCCAAGGGCTGCCAATTGTTGACTTAATTAAAACAATTAAAAAGGGGGACTGCTCTGCCCTCATCCCGATCGTGTGCCTCCAGTTGTGTCCACAAAGACAGCTGCATATGGTGGACTGTGAGGACCCACATCAACTGGAAAAATGACGCCTGCAACTCCAGAGGAAGCTAGGGAAGTAGTGGTGACCCTAACATTTCTTGCTTGTTTTGCTTTGGGGTTCCCATGAAAGCAGACCCTGAGGCAAAAATTTGGGTGCAGGTGGTTTCTTTGGGAGGTAGTTCCAGGAAGCACAATTTGAGAGTCAGGAAGCCATCCAGGGAAGGGAAGGAAGCCAGTACAGGGCGCTAATGAATGGGTTCCTGCTGTGGACAGCTGGGGCTCAGTTTGGCTGAGGTCCCTCTGGGAGACTGCAGACCACACCTCAGAGCTGTGCCACTGAGAGGAGAGGCTGGGCCATTTACCCAGCTCCCATCTTCTGCTGGACCATGGTGAGTCTGGGACGTGTGTAGGCTGAGCTGGCCCTGGCCAGAGAATGCCCTTGGGCAGAAAGACACAGAAAGCTGCTGGTGAGCATGGTACTCTCTGCATGTCAATTCCAAGATGGGTCAAGGGAAGGGTGTGGACAGGGTGCCAACCACGTCTGCTACAGCATTTGACTGGGGACACAGGAAGGAACGCTTTGTCACACAGAGGTTTGCAAATTTTGTTTCATTGCAGTGAATAAGAATCCAAGTCTTAGAAAAGAGGTTCTGTAACATGGCCAACTGTGACACCTCCTGTTAGAAGCAGCCTGGTACCTTCAAGCCCCAAACTAGGGCGTCCCTCAACTCCTGGCCCGCTTCATTCCCACATCCAATCAGGCTCCCAGGCCTGTAGATTCTCCCTTCCTCCAGGTCCCACAGGCCCTGGCCTCATGCCTTCCAGACTAGTGCACGTTCCCCAGTCCATCCAGTTGGGCCTTCAACTCCAGCCCCACCACCCTCTTCACTCATTCTGTCCTTGCTGTGGCTCCCACCATCCACAGCAGCATTTGCCAAATGTCTGCCCTGGGGTTTCACCTGTATTTATTATTTACTTAATATATTTCTTCAAGTCGACTTGCCTTTTTGATTTATATACATTTATCTTTAAAAGGAAACTATTAAAATGATTTACTATTTTAAAATCCTTATAAAATTATGAGTTCAGCTGAGCATGGTGGCTCACACCTGTAATCCCAGTACTTTGGGAGGCCGAGTCAGGAAGATCAATTGAGCCCAAGAGTGTGAGATCAGCCTGGGCAACATAGTGAGACCCTGTCTCAAAAGGAAAAAAAAAGAAAAGAAAGAATTATGAGTCCTACATCAAATCACCCAGACAGGTACCACCTACCCTCTCCAGTGAAACTGACTTCACACTAAGAAAACTGCTGGAAGTTAGAATCAATCTTTAGCTGGGTGTTAAAAACCTTTTATTTAATTTTATTTATTTATTTTTGAGACAGGGTATCACTCTGTTGCCCAGGCTGGAGTGCAGTGGCACAATTGTAGCTCACTGCAAACTCAACCTCCCAGGCTTAAGTGATCCTCCTGCCTCAGCCTCCCAAGTAGCTGAGACTACAGGCGCGCCACCATGCTCAGCTAATTTTTCATTTTTTGGGTACAGACGGGGTCTTGCCACGTTGCCCAGGCTGGTCTCCATCTCCTGGGCTCAAGTGATCTCCCTGCCTTGGCCTCCCAAAGTGCTGGGATTACAGGCATGAGCCACCATGCCTGGCCTTAAAAACCTTTTGTGTCCAGGGTTCTACCTGCATCTCCAGATTCACACCCTACCACCCTACCACCCTACACACACACACACACACACACACACACACACATTCATACTCACGCACATATGCACACACATGCACTCACACAGCCAGAGGCAGTGGCTCTTATCTATTCCAAACTCTTCTCTATGCTCTTACCTCTGCCTGAGATTTTCTTCCAATGTCCTTACGTACCCAGCACTCTCCTATTCATCCTTCAAAACCCAATTCACATTGCACTTGCTCTCTAGATTTTCTTCCCTCTCTGAGCTCCCAGAATTAATTTCTGCCTCATTTAGCTTCCTGCACTCCTCTGCTCACCTGCCCATCATAGCACAGACCACCTGGTGCCACAGGTGCCTGCCTCAATGCCTCCCTCCCCCACTTAGGAGTGCTTGTTTAGGGGAGCAGGGCCAGGAGTGTGTTGTATTCATAAAGCACCTGACAAGCATTTATTGAGCACCACCTATGTGCCAGGCACAGAGAAGTATATGGTGGATACAGCCACGAGCAAAACAGACCCAGTCCCTCTCTCCTAAATCTCACTGCCTGGTAGGGAAGACAGACACTAAATACTTAGAAAAACAAATGAGTACACACTTTCCAAATGGAGATAAGTGCTATTAAGAAAATATTCTGAGTGTTATGAGAGAGAATAATGGAGAACATTTTGGGACAGGGCAGGAAGAGAAGCCCTCTCTGAGGAGGTGACATTTGGGCTGAGTCCTGAAGGATGAGATAGGAAGGGGGTGGGGACAGTGCTTCAGGGAGGAGAAACAGCCTGTGTGAGGGCCCCAGGGTGGGAAAGTGGTATATTCCTTGAAAGAGAACCGAGGCCAGGAGGAGAAGGACAGGGAAGATGGCGGTAGCCAGATGACACTAAGAGTGGCAGACGCTGACAATGCCACAGACATCGATGGACACGCAGCCTGATGGCTTCTTGTGTCTTAGCCCAAGGGAGTCACCCGCCCACAGTCCTGAGCTTGGATGGATACAGAGGGCAAGCCAGGAGAGTTAAACCCCAGAATCAGAATTTAGAGGATAAATACCTGCATCTTCCACCAGGTCCAGGACTAGGGTGTAGCAGGGAGGTACAAGGGCACAAAACATGAGGGTCTCACCCTCAGGCTCTGCAAGGGCAGAAGCAGCACCTGATGGTGGGGGCCCTCTTAAATGTTTGTTGTTGTTATTGTTGTCATTGTTTGTTTGTTTGTTTTGAGATGAGTCTCACTCTGTCGCCCAGGCTGGAGTGTAGTGGTGCACTCTCGGCTCACTTCAACCTCTGCCTTCAGGGTTCCAGTGATTCTCCTGCCTCAGCCTCCCAAGTAGCTAGGATTACAGGTGTGCACCATCACACCTGGCTAATTTTTGTATTTTTAATACAGACAGGGCTTAACCATGTTGGCCAGGCTGGTCTTGAACTCCTGACCTCAAGTGATCCACTCACCTCAGCCTCCCGAAGTGCTGGGAATACAGGCATGAGCCTCTATGCCCAGCTTAAATGTTTTTATAACAACTTTATTGAGATATAATTCACATACCCCAAAGTTCACCCTTTAAAGTATACAATTCAGTAATTTTGAGTATATTCACAAAGTTTTGCCTTTCTATATAAATTTTAGAACAAGCTTGTCTATGTCTACAAAAGCCTCTCTGGGACTTTTACACGAATTGCACTCAATATATAAATCAATTTAGGGAGAACTGACATCTTTACTACGTTAAGTGATCCAATCCATGAACACAATGTCTCTCTTTATTTAGGTCTTCTTTGAATTTGTTCATCAGCATTTTGTAATTTTCAGCATACAGATCCTGTATGTGTTTTGTAAGTTTGTACCTTAGTATTTTGTTTTCTTTGAAGATACTTTAAATGGTACCATTGTAATTTGGGGATTTCACGTGTTCGTTGTTAGTATGTAGAAACAAAACGAAGTTACCTGATCTTAGAAAAATTTTAATATGGGATTCCATTTCTGCTTAGGATATAGAAAGCTGCAAGAGAAGGCCAGCCACGGTGGCTCACGCCTGTAATCCCAGCACTTTGGAAGGCCGAGGTGGGTGGATCACTCGAGATCGAGAGCTCGAGACCAGCCTGGCCAACATGGCAAAACCCCATCTCTACTAAATATACAAAAATTAGCCAGGCATGGTGGTGCATGCCTGTAGTCCCAGCTAGTCGGGAGGCTGAGGCAGGAGAATCGCTCGAACACAGAAGGCAGAGGTTGCAGTGAGCCGAGACTGCACCACTGCACTGCAGCCTGGGCAACAGAGCGAGACACTGTCTCAAAAAAAAACAAAAAGGGCTGCAAGAGAATGGTGCACTCATCCTAAAAAAGAGAAAAAGATAATTTATTTATAAAATCATAACTTTTCTTGAGCTCATCACAGAACTAAGATCACAATGTGAGCAGTGGCAAATCTGTATGGGTCTGCAGCAACCTCAATTCTTGCCTCCTCAGAGGAAAGAATTCAACTGAGGGCCATAAGACAGAGCGGGAGACCAAGGCAAGTTTTAGAGCAGAAGTAAACGTTTATTAAAAAGCTTTAGAGCAGGAATGAAAGGAAGTAAAGTACACTTGGAAGGGGGCCAAGCTGGCGACTTGAGAGAGTCAAGTGTGTGGTCTGACCTTTGACTTGGGGTCTTATACGTTGGCATGCTTCTGAGGTTGCCTGACTTCTTCCCTGATTCTTCCCTTGGGGTGGGCTGTCTGCATGCACAGGGGCCTGCCCGCATTTGGGACGGGCCGCATGCGCAGTGTGTTTACTGGCGTTGTACACATGCTCACTTGAGGCATTCTTCCCTTACCATTCAAGTGTTCCTAGAAGGCTACGTACCACTTAAACTCCACCATTTTGCCTTTTAGTGCGTATGCTTGAGCCCACTCGCCCAACTCCTGAGATCTTATCGGTAAGCTGATCACCCATTTCAGGTGTTTTTATCTATTGGGAGACTGCCTTTCCCTGGCGCCGGCTGCAACCAATTATTATTTTAAAGCAACAGTTTTAACAGCTGTCTGACCATCACCTGATGGTTGCCTGACATTCCTGGGTTTGGGGGGCCTCTCCTGCCCTGCTCGTGTCTGAGTAGCTACCTACTTACTTACTATGACAACAAGGTGACCAAATGAATTGAGTTCTAAAGAGTAATAATCTCCTTGAGGAAGAGACAGGACCTGCTGTAAAGCAGGTTCACTGTGCACTGGTTACCACCTCAGCCCTCTGCATCTTAGTCTGCGCTTTGTTGCTTGCTCAAGTCTATTGAGGCAGAATGCTCACACACACAAGTTACATGAAGATTTATTACTTACAGATAGCAGCAAGGAACAGTTAAAGCCTAGGATTCATGATGAGCTGGTCCTCCAAGGCTCAGGAGAGCTACCCAAGGCAGGTGGAGACTCATAGCCCAAGCCCAAAACATTTCATCCAACTGCTGACGAATATACATTCTACTCATCTGCACGTGGAACATTCTCCAGGATAGGCCACATTTTAGACCACAAAACAAGTCTTAACCAATTTTTAAAAATTTAAATTATACCAAACATCTTTTCTGACCATAATGGAATGACACTAGAAATAAATAACGAGGAACTTTTGAAATTGTACAAATACATGGAAATTAAACAACATGTCCAGGAATTTGTCCATTTCTTCTAGGTTTTCCAATTTGTTGGTATACAGCTGTTCATAATACTCTGTAATGATCCTTTGAATTTCTGTGCTATCAGTTGTAAGGACTCCCTTTTCATCTCTGATTTTATTTATGTAGATCTTCTCTTTTTTTATAGGTTAGTCTAGATAAAGGTTTGTTAATTTTGTTTATATTTTCAAAAAACCAACTTTTTGTTTCATTGATCTTTTGTATTTTTTTCATTTCAACTTCATTTATTTCTGTTTTTATCACTATTATTTCTTTCCTTCTAGTAATATTGGGTTTGGTTTGTTCTTGCTTTTCTAGTTCTTTAAGGTACATCATTAGGTTGTTTATTTAAAGTCTTTCTACTTTTTTTTTTTTTTTTTGAGACTGGATCTTGCTTTGTCACCTAGGCTGGAGTACAGTAGCACAATCACAGATCACTGCAACCCCAACTTCCCGGGCTCAAGGAACCCTCCCACCTCAGCCTCCCAAGTAACTAGGACCACAGGCATGGGCCACCATACTCAGCTGATTTATTTTTTATTTTTTGTAGAGACAAGGTCTCACTATGTTGCCCAGGCTGGTCTCAAACTCCTGGACTCAAGTAATCATCCTGCCTTGGCCTCCCAAAGTACTGGGATTATAGGTGTGAGACAGTGCACCTAGCCCTTTCTACTTTTTTGGATATGGGTGCTTATTGCTATAAACCTCCCTTTTTATACACTATTTTGCTGTATCCCATAGGTTTAGGGATGTTGTGTTTCTATTTTCATTTGTTTCAAAACAATTTAAAATTTTCTTCTTAATTTTTTTATTGACACATTGGTTGTTCAGGAGCACTAACTAATAAAAAAGAGAGAAGACCCACCTAAATAAAAGCAGAGATGAAAAAGGAGGCCTACAACCGATACCAGAGAAATTCAAAGGCTCATTAGAGAGTATTATGAACAACTGTATACCAACAAATTGGAACACTTAGAAGAAATGGACAAATTCCTGGACGTGTACAATCTACCAGTGTTGAACCATGAAACAATACAAAACCTGAACAGAACAATAACGAATAGCAAGATCAAATCAGTAACAAAAAGTCTCCCATCAAACAAAAGCCTAGGAACTGATTGGCTTCACTGCTGAAATTCCACAAAACATTTAAAGAATACCACTTCTACTCAAACTATTCCAAAAAATTGAAGAGGGAATACTTCTAAACTTATTCTGTGAGTCCAGAATTACCTTGATACCAAAACCAGACAAGGACAAAACAAGAAAATAAAACCACAGCCAATATCTCTATGAACACAGATGCAAAAATCCTCAATGAAATACTAGCAATCAAATCCACCAACACATTAAAAACATCACTCACCATGATCAAGTGGGTTTCATTCCAGAGATACAAGGATGAGTCAACATATGCAAATCGAAAGACATGACACATCACATTAACAGATTCAAGAACAAAAGCCATGTGATCATTTTAATAGATGCTGAAAAAGCATTTGATAAAATTCAGCATCCCTTTATAACAAAAACTCAGCAGTTTTTGTAGAAGGAACATACCTCAAAACAATAAAGGCTATGTATAAAAAACTCAAAGCTAACTTTATACTGAACAGGGAAAATGTGAAAGTATTTCCCCTAAGATCTGGAACAAGGCAGAGATTCTCACTTTAGGTCTCAGCCAGAGCAGTTAGGCAAGAGAAATAAATTAAGGGCATCCAAATTGGAAAGAAAGAAGTCAAATTTTCCTTGTTTGCAGACAACACAATCTTATATTTAGAAAAATGTAAAGATACCAGATATTTTTAGAACTGATAAGGAAATTCAGTAAAGTTGCAGGATACAAAATCAACATACGAGAATCAGTAGCATTTACATATGCCAACAACAAACAATCTGAAAAAAAATTAAGAAAGTGATTCTATTTACAATAGCCACAAAAAATACCTAGGAATAAATTTAACCAAAGAAGTAAAAGATTTTTACAATGAAAACTATAAAACACTGATGAAAGAAATTGAAGAGGAAGGGCTGGCTACAGTGCCTGTAATCCCAGCATTTTGGGAAGCCAAGGCAGGAGGATCACTGGAGCCCAGGAGATCAAGGTCAGCCTGGGCAACATAGGGAGATACCATCTCTACAAAAAATAAACACATAAATTAGCTGGGCATGGTGGCACATGCCTGCGGTCCCAGCTACTCATGAGGCTGAGGTAGGAGGATCGCTGGAGCCTGGGAGGTTGAAGCTGCAGTGAGCCATGATCATGCCACCACTGCACTTCAGCCTAAGCAACAGAGTGAGACCCTGTCTCAAAAAAAAAAAAAAAGAAAGAGAGAAGGAAAGAAAGAAAGAAAGAAAGAGAAAGAAAGAAAAAAATAGTTGAAGAGTACACACATACACAAAAAAAAGGAAAGATTATCACATGTTCATGGATTGGAAGAATTAATATTGTTAAAATATTCATACTACCAAAAGCAATCTACAGATTCAATGTAATCCCCATCAAAATTCCAATGACATTTTTCACAGATATAAGAGAAAACAATACTAAAATGTGTAAAGGGGCTAGGCATGGTGGCTTATGCCCATAATCCCAGCACTTTGGGAGACGAAGGTGGGTGGATCACCTGAGGTCAGGAGTTCAAGACCAGGCTGACCAACATGGAGAAACCCCATCTCTACTAAAAATACAAAATTAGCTGGGTGTGGTGTTGCATGCCTGTAATCCTAGCTACTCGGGAGGTTGAAGCAGGAGAATCGCTTGAACCCGGGAGGCGGAGGTTGCGGTGACCCAAGATCACACCATTGCCCTCCAGCCTGGGCAACAAGAGCGAAACTCCATCTTTAAAAAAAAAAAAAAAAAAGTATAAGGAACCACAAAAGACCCCAAATAACCAAAGAAATCCTGAGCAAAAAAACCAGTTGGTAGTATCACACTAGCTGACTTCAAAATATACTACAAAGTTAACCAAAACAGCGTGGTACTGGCATAAAAACAGACACTTAGACCAGTGGAACAGAATAGAGAACCCAGAAATAAATCCATGCCTTTACAGCCAACTCATTTTTGACAAAGGCACCAAAAGCATACGTTGGAGAAATATTAATAATAGTCTCTTCATTAAATAGTGCTGGGAACACTGAATATTCATATGCTGAAGAATGAAACTAGACAACTTTATATATTTTACCATATATAAAAATCAAATAGAAATAGAGTAAAGGCTTAAATAAAAGACCTGAAACTATGAAACTATTAGAAGAAAACATTGGCCCCGTCCGGGAGGTGGGGGGCAGCCCCCCCCCGGCCAGCCGCCCCGTCTGGGAAGTGAGGAGCCCCTCTGCCCGGCCGCCACCCCATCTGGGAGGTGCACCTAACAGCTCATTGAGAGCGGGCCATGATGACGATGGCGGTTTTGTCGAATAGAAAGGGGGGAAATGTGGGGAAAAGAAAGAGAGATCAGATTGTTACTGTGTCTGTGTAGAAAGAAGTAGACATAGGAGACTCCATTTTGTTCTGTACTAAGAAAAATTCTTCTGCCTTGGGATGCTGTTAATCTATAACCTTACCCCCAACCCCCTGCTCTCTGAAACATGTGCTGTGTCCTCTAAGGGTTAAATGGATTAAGGGCGGTGCAAGATGTGCTTTGTTAAACAGATGCTTGAAGGCACCATACTCGTTAAGAGTCATTACCACTCCCTAATCGCAAGTTCCCAGGGACACAAACACTGCGGAAGGCGGCAGGGCCCTCTGCCTAGGAAAACCAGAGACCTTTGTTCACATGTTTATCTGCTGACCTTCCCTCCACTATTGTCCTATGACCCTGCCAAATCCCCCTCTCTGAGAAACACCCAAGAATGATCAATAAATACTAAAAAAATTAAAAAAAAAAAAAAAAAGCATTGGGGAAATCCTTCAGGACATTGGTCTGGGCAAATATTTTTTAAGTAAGACTTCAAAAGCACTGGCAACAAAAGTAAAAGTAGACAAGTGGGATTTCATCAAGCTAAAAAGCTTCTGCACAGCAAACGAACAAAGAATCAACAAAGTGAAGAGAAAACATACAGAATGAGAGAGAATATTTGCAAGCTATCCATCCAACAAGGGACTAATAACCAGAAATAAAAGGTATTCAAACAACTTAACAGCAAAAAAAAAAAAAAAAAAAAATCAAATTATCAGTTTCAAAAATGGGCAAAATACCTGAATAGGCATCTCTATGTCTTCAAAAGAAGACATACGAATGGCTAACAGGTATATGAAAAAATCCTTAACAGCACTAATCATCAGGGAAATCCAAATCACAACCACAATGAGATATCATCTCAACCCATTAAAAATGGCTATTATCAAAATGACAGAATAACAGATGCTGGCAAGGAGGCAGAGGAAGGGGAATGCCCATACACTGTTAGTGGGAATGAAAGTTAGTACAGACACTATGGAAAACAGTATGGAGGCTTCTTAAAAAAACTAAAAATAGGCCGGGTGTGGTGGCTCACGCCTGTAATCTCAGCACTTTGGGAGGCCAAGGAGGGTTGATCATGAGATCAAGAATTCAAGACCAGCCTGGCCAGCATGGTGAAACCCTGCCTTTACTAAAAATACAAAAAAAAAAAAAAAAATTAGCAATTAGCCAGTCATGGTGGCATGCACCTGTAGTCCCAGCTACTCAGGAGGCTGAGACAGGAGAATTGTTTGAACCCAGCAGGTGGAGGTTGCAGTGAGCCGAGATTGAGCCACTGCACTCCAGCCTGGGTGACAGAGCAAGATTCCATTTCAAAAAAAAAAAAAAAAAACTAAAAATAGAACTACCATATCATTCAGCAATCCCACTATTGGGTAGCTATCCAAAGGAAAGGAAATCAATATATCAACGAGATACCTGCACTTTCTTTTTTTTTTTTTTTTTTTTTTTTTTGAGACGGAGTCTCGCTAGGTCGCCCAGGCCGGAGTGCAGTGGCGCGATCTCGGCTTACTGCAAGCTCCGCCTCCCGGGTTCACGCCATTCTCCTGCCTCAGCCTCCCGAGTAGCTGGGACTACAGGCACCCGCCACCAGGCCCGGCTAATTTTTTATATTTTTAGTAGAGATGGGGTTTCACCATGTTAGCCAGGATGGTCTCGATCTCCTGACCTCGTGATCCGCCCGCCTCGGCCTCCCAAAGTGCTGGGATTACAGGCGTGAGCCACTGTGCCCAGCCAATACCTGCACTTTCATGTTTATTACAGCACTATTCACAACAGCTGAGATATGGAATCAACCTAAGTGTCCATCAACAGATGAATGGATAAAGAAAATGCAGTATATACACACAATGAAATATTATTCAGCCATAAAAACAATGAAATTCTGTCATTTGCAGCAACATGGATGGAACTGTATGTCATTATGTTAAGTAAAATAATCCAGGCACAGAAAGACAAATATCACATGTTCTCATTCATATGTGGGAGCTAAAAAAATAGACTTGATGGATATAGTGAGTAGAATGTTGGTTACCAGAGGCTGGGAAGGGTAGAGGGAAGGGTGGATAGAGAGAGTTTGGTTACTGGGTATAAAAATACAATTAGACAAAAGGAATCAGTTCTAGTGTTCGACAGCACAGTAGGGTGACTACAGTTAATAAGAATTTGTTATATATTTCAAAATAGCTAAAAGAGAAGATTTGGAATGTCCCCAACACAAGGAAATGATAAATGTTTGAGGTTCCTAATTACCCTCACTTGATCATTATCCATTGTATACATGTATCAAATTGTCATATGTATTCTATAAATATGTACAACTATTAGGTATCCCAAAAAAAAGACTTTCCAGACAAATAGAAGCAGACATATTTCACTTGCAGTAGACCTTCACTACAAGAAATAATAAAGGAAGTTCTTCAAGCAGAGGAAGTAATAAAGAGCTGAGATTACAGGTGTGAGCCACTACACCCAGCTGACTTTTTTTTTTTTTAATTACTCTGGTTATTTTAGGTCCTTTCCATTTCTATATAAGGTTTAGAATTATCTCATTAACCTTTACAAAAGTCTTTTGGAATTTTCCTTGGGATTGTGTTTAATTTGTAGATGAATTTGTTAAGAAATAATTTCTTAATATCAAGTCATAAGGCCCATGAACATAGCATGTCTCTCCATTTATTTCAGTCTTTTGAAATTTCTCTCAGCAAGGCTTTTTCGTGTCGAGGTGTGGTGTTGTATATACTTCGGTTTTCGCCCACTGTTCTTGGCTCCTAACTCCCACAGCCCTTGTTCCAATCTTTTGCGATCATGTTTGTGTCAGGCCTCAGGTGGGCCTCTTTCTGGCCTTCTCCTGCCCTCCTTGCTCCTGCCCCAAGGCAGGATTCTAATGTTCACCTACTTTTCTGATTTGGGGTCTTAAGACCCTTACACGAGAGGGTCCTACTTAGGGGAAGGAATGCTCATGTCATGAAGCTTCCAGAAAAACCCAAGAGGACAGGGTCGGTGAGCTTCTAAATAGCTGAACACTGGGAGGTTCCTGGAGGGTGGCGCCCTGGGGAAGGTATGGAAGTGCCTCACCTCTTCCCCCAAATCTCACCCTTCACTCTCTTCATCTGTATCCTATGCAATATCCTTTATAATAAATCAGTAAACATAAGTGTTTCCCTGAGTCCTGTGAGCTGCTCCAGCAAACTAATCGAATCCAAAGAGAGGGTCGTGGGAAGCTCAACTTGAAGCTGATCAGTCAGAAGTTCTGGAGGCCCGGACTGGTAGGCACGGGTGGATGGGCACGGGTGGCAGTCTTGGGGACGGAGCCCTTAACTTGTGTGAACTGACACTGTCTCTGTGTAGACAGTGTCGGAACTGAATTAGAGGACACCCAAATATTCAACAAATATTCACTGAGCACCTATACTATTTCACCAGGTACTATGCTATAAAGAAAGAGTTACATCAGTGAACGCAACAGGCAAATATCCCTGCCCACATGGAGCTTTCATTGTAGAGGAGGAGACAGGTAATAAACACTAACCATAGCTGGGAGCGGTGGCTCACACCTGTAATCCTAGCACTTTGGGAGGCCAAGGCGGGCAGATAACTTGAGGTCAGGAGTTCAAGACCAGCCTAGGCAACTGGTGAAACCCAGTCTCTAACAAAAATACAAAAATTAGCTGCGTGTGGTGGTGTGGGCCTGTGGTCCCAGCTACTCAGGAGGTTGAGGTGGGAGAATCGCTTAAGCCCAGGAGGCATAGGCTGCAGTGAGCCACAATTGTGGCACTGCACTCCAGCTTAGGTGACAGAGTGAAGTCCTGTCTCAAAACAAAAACAAACAAACAAACAAACCAAGCAATAAGCATACTAAATAAAAATTATGTAATATCTTACCAAGCCATCAGTGCTATGGGGAAAAACATAGAGCAGGGAGAGAGGGATTCGAGGGTGGGGGTAGGTTGCAGTTTCAGAAAGGATGGTCAGGGTCAGCCTCTTTATAGGACATACTTAAGTAAAGACTTACAGGACGTGGGCTGGGCACGGTGGCTCATGCCTGTAATGCCAGCACTTTGGGAGGCCAAGGTGGGCAAATCATGAGGTCAGGGGTTCGAGACCAGCCTGGCCAACATGGTGAAACCCCGTCTCTACTAAAAATACAAAAAATTAGCTGGGTGTGGTGATGGGTGCCTGTAATCCCAGCTACTTGGGAGGCTGAGGCAGGAGAATCGCTTGAACCCGGGAGGCGGAGGTTGCAGTGAGCCGAGATCACACCACGGCACTCCAGACTGGGCAACAGTGCAAGACTCCGTCTCAACTAAAAAAAATAAAAAACCTTACAGGACGTGAAGAAGTGAGTCATGAAAATATCTGGGAAGAGCATTCCAGCAGAGGGAACGGCCAGTGCAAGTTTGTAAGTGGGGAGCATGTCTGCAATCTTCAAGGAATGACAATGAGGCTGGAGTGGTGTGAGGATAAGGTCAGAGGGATAGCACAGAGCCAATTCGCAGAGAGTCTTACAGGATTTAGGATTTAGTTCTGGAAGAGATAGAGGGACATCAAGGATTTTGAGTACAGTATTGATATAATCTGGTTTTTGGTTTTGTTTTTGCTTCAAGACAAGGTCTCGCTCTATCGCCCAGGCTGGAGTGCAGTAGGTTGATCCCAGCTCAAGTGATCCTCCCACCTTAGCCTCCCAACTAGCTGGGACTACAGGTGTGTGCCACCACATCTGTCTAGTATTGACATAATCTAATTTATTTTTAACAAAATTACTCTGGCTGCTTGTCTTGACTATAGCAGAGCAAGGCTAGAAACACGAAGGGCAGGAAAGAGGCATTTGCAATAATCCAGGTGAAAGATGATCATACCTTGGACCAGGGTATTAGTCATAGAAATGGTGAGATGTAGTTGGATTCTGGAGATATTTCAAAGGTAGAGTCACAGAGATTGACCAGATGTAGAGAAAGAAGAGTGGAGGATGATTTGAAGGTGTTTCACCTGAGAAAATGGAAGGATAGCATTGCCATCAATGAGACAGGACCACAGGTAGAGCAGTTTGGGATCAAGAAACAAGGGTCAAGATCTCTGTTTTGGACATGTTGGATTTGAGATGCCTGTTAGACATCCCAGTGAAGGTAACTAGTAGACAGTTGAACATACAAACTTGGAATCCAGAAGAATGATATTAACCCCCTTCTCTGATAGAGGTGGACACTGATAATTCATTCCTTATCAAAATGATGTAATGACTTTTGTACAACAACCTTTTGTTTCTGGAAGCCATCTGAAGCAATCTCCAGAATCTGTCCTTCTGTAGACTGTGTCAAGTTATTCACTGATGTCCGCAAAACGATGGAAGAAGGGTTCTTATCTACTCACAGCTGCTTTCCAGCTTGGGAAAATACTTACGAAGACCTTTTAATTCAGTTGTTTAAATGTCTCTTCATCGTGTTCAAAATACTTTCACCAAGTTCTTCAGCTGAGTTTATAACCTGATCGTTGAGACCACAAAAAGGTTTTCAGCATTTGTCTTACAGTTGACAAGTGTGTAGGAATAGAGATCTCCTTCACAGGACCCAGAGGATTGCATGGGATCCCAGGGATTGCAAGGGCCACTGCTGCTTCCTGGGTGTTCTCTGTATGCCATGTCCTGTGCCAAGCACTGCATCTGCATAAACACATTGAACATCACAACCATCCCAGGAGAACAGTGCTATGATTAGACCTGTACAGCTGAGGAATCTGATGCCTCAAGAGGTAAAGTGACTTGCCCAAGGTCACACAGGGCATGAATGTTGCAGGCAGGACTGAAACACTCTGAGGGACCACAGAGGTGTCCTTGAATCCAAGCTGCTAAGCTCTGCTGGCTTAGTGCAGTGGGGGCTGATTCAGAGTCAGGGGTATTGGAGGCTCTAGCTTCCCTCTCTGAGCCTTGGCTGAGGGCTAGGCCACCCAGCCCTCTAGGACCTGGAGCCATTCTGGCCTCCTGGGCCTGGCATCAAGATACATGTCCCTGCTAGTCTGTAGTCCCCATGGAGGGGCCGTGGGGACAGGACAACCACTGCTAGGTGTGCGTGGGAAGGCACTAAGGATCAAAAAGAGTCCCTCAGACCTCCTGCTCTCATTTCTCCTTCTTTTCAGACCTCCTTCCTTGCACCACCTAGAATGCCCCGCATCTCCACGTTTTGAAAACAGGTAGGGTGTTGAGGGCAGGAGAGGGTTATTAATCACTTTTTCTGAAAAGTCAGTTTCTCTGATTATCACCCTGATAATCCTTGAGATCCCCCTCCTTCCTCCTCTCATCACCACCAGCCCCATTCTTAGGAGATGGACAGACAGGGAAGGAGGAGGTCAAGGTGATCATGAAATTGGAGCGAGGCCCAGGAAAGCTGGCAGTGGGGAGTGGTGGCAGGGAGGGTGGCATTCTGTTAGGGACCTTTCTGTTGAGTGTGAGGTGCCCCTCAGACTTGGGGGATAGGTGATACAACCAGCCACAGTCCTCTTACCTATTTGTGTTTGGGCCTGGAAATTAGTGTCTAGCATGCCATGGGCAGTTGAGTGCGATGTATATTGCACAAGCACATTCAGCCAAGGAAGGACAAAAATCTAGCTTTGTTCCCTCGCTGTGAAACTGTATCCAGCCAGAAGAGGGAGTGACTGTTTCTGATTCACACAAACATGCTATATGGGCTGGCAGTCAGTGAATTTTTTTAAAAGTCTTAAAATGCTAGATACAAAGCCTCAGTGTTTCATTTTAACTTAAAACATGTAAATGTGTATTCACTCTCCAATCTTTTGAAACGGGGCTAAGGCTTTTCTTTGAGGAGTCCACTGATCAGAATTCCAGTTCATTGCTACATCTATGATTTCCAATTTTTGCATCTTTAAAATGGAATAAGAACTCAAGACTTGTAAAGTGACCTGCATGCAGACTTCTTGAAAATTTCTCTCTCACAGTTGCCCTGCTCATGTCTTACTAGAGAGCAGTATTCTAACAACTTGCCAATATTGGGTCTTTTGCTTGTTGTTTTCTCCAACATTTTAAATGAAACATTTCACACTTACAGAAAATATTAAATAATTTTACAGTTAATACCCTCGTATATCCCACCTAGATTCTGCAAGTAACATTTTGTTATATTTGCTTTATGAAATGTTGACCTCTCTGTCCATCCATTCATCTTATTATTATTATTATTTAGACAGGTTCTCACTCTGTTGCCCAAGCTGAAGTGCAGTGGCACAATCTCAGCGCACTGCAGCCTCAACCTCCTGGGCTCAAGCAATTTTCCTATGTCTGCCTCCTAAGTAGCTGGGACTACTGGCATGTGCTGACACCTGGCTAATTTTTAATTTTTTTTGTAGCGGGGGCAGTCTCACTATGTTGCCCGGACTGGCCTCGAAATTGACCGCCTGGGCTCCTGCTTCTGCCTCCCAAAGTACTAGGATTACAGGCATGAGCCTCCATGCCTGGTCATCTTACTTTTTGATGCATTTCAAAGTAAGTTGCAAATATCAGTACGCTTCTTTCTAAACCCTTCAACATCTGTATATATTATTATTATTATTATTAATTATTATTGAGGCAGAGTCTTGCTCTGTTGCCCAGGCTGGAGTGCAGTGGCGCGATCTTGGGTCACTGCAACCTCTGTCTCCTGGGTTCAAGCAATTCTCCTGTCTCAGCCTCCTGAGTAGCTGGGATTACAGGCATGCACCACCACGCCTGGCTAATTTTTGTATTTTTAGTAAAGACGGGGTTTCACCATCTTGGCCAGGATGGTCTCAAAATCCTGACCTCCAGTGATCTGCCTGCCTTGGACTCCCAAAGTGCTGGGATTACATGCATGAGCCACCACACCCGGCCTTAACATCTGTATCATTAACCAGAGTTCAATATTTGCTTATGTAAAAGTTACATGTGGTGGAATGCACAAATCTTAAGCGGATCATTCTGAGCTTTGGCAAATTCACACACCTGTGTAACCCAAATGTGTATGAATGTAGAAAAATACCTGTTGCATAGCAAGAGTGACGCCATCTTGAAGTGAAACCATGATGACCGATGTTTGACTCCTGCATACCAACGTGTTGCTGTAGCATAGACAATCCCTCTTAAACACACAATGCCTATAGCACAGGTCACCCCTCATAAAGATGTTTATCTAACCTCCACAGTGGTCACGAGTTTCCAAAGGAAGTCTGAGACGTGACCAGCTGCACAAGCTTTACTCTGAAAGCTTGCTATAAAAAGGATATTTTCAGGAGGGAAGGTGCAGGGAGCCACCATCCTGAGACTGCCCAAGATACTGCTTTTGCTTGTAAGTCCCTATTAAATGTTTCTGAGAAACTAGATTTGTCTGCCTGTTTCTTGGGTCTCTCAGCTCCCTTGTCCTTCCTGCTCAGAGAGGAACAATGAAGATGTAAAACAAGGCCATCAATCCAGAAAGTTCCCTCATGCCCCTTCCCAGCAATCCCTGACCCCAAAACCATCATTCTGATGTTCCACCATGGATTAGTTTTGCCTTTTCTAAAACTTCATATGAATGGAATCAGATGGCATGGACTCTCTTCTGTCTAGCTTCTTTCACTCAACATAAATGTTTCTGAGATTCATCTATAATCTATAATTTTGTGGTCTCTTACATTTTGTCAGTTTGCATATTATTTTATTTATTTATTTTTTTTTTGAGACAGAGTCTTACTCTGTTGCCCAGGCTGGAGTACAGTGGTGCAATCTTGGCTCACTACAACCTTGGCCTTCCCAGGTTCAAGCAATTCTCCTGCCTCAGCCTCCCGAGTAGCTGGGATTATGGGCACGCACCATGACGCCTGGCTAACGTTTGTATTTTTAGTAGAGATGGGGTTTCACCATGTTGGCCAGGCTGGTCCCAAACTCCTGACCTCAGGTGATCCACTTGCCTTGGCCTCCAAAAGTGCTGGGATTACAGCCGTAAGCACCATGCCCGGCCTGCATATTAAATTAAATTGGGTGGTTACAATGATTCGATCAACGGCCATAAATAGGTTTGTGAACAAGCACAGCTGACTCTTGGTGAACTTGGAGTTGTCTGGGTGGGGCAGGGGCTCCTGCACATGCCACAGTGCACCAGATGCTCAGAAGGGCACGGTCCCTGTTGCTGTGTTTTACAGGGGACTGGAGAGCATGGGGTAAATAGAAGTTGGTTTAAAGGAGCTTATAGTAGTTTGTTTTTATCTCTTTGTGGAAGTATAATGGACATACAAGGAACTGTACATATTTAAAAAACAGAGTTTGGTAAGTTTTGACATGTGCATACATATACTTGTGAAATTGTCACCACAATCATGATAATTAATGTATTCATTACCCCAAAAGTTTTCTACTAGCTTTTTAGCTAGCATTTTTAAAGCATTTACTATGTGTCAGCTTAATGCTAAAGATTTTTCATCCATTTTGTGATTTGTACTCAAAGCCACACTAAGAATTATCAGCCCCATTATACAGATGAGAAAACTGAGGCATAGGGAGGCGAAATGAAATGATTTGCCTCACTTTCTGATCACACCCTTTCATGTGTACTCAGTTCTTTTCTTTTCTTTTTTTTTTTTTTTGAGACAGATTCTTGCTCTGTCATCCAGGCTAGAGTGCAGTAGCACAATCTCAGCTCACTGCAACCTCTGCCTCCTGGGTTCAAGCCATTCTCCTACCTCAGCCTCCTGAGTAGCTGGGACTATAGGTGTGAACCACCACACCTGGCTAATATTGTTTTTTTTTTTAATAGAGATGGGGTTTCGCCATGTGGGCCAGGCTGGTCTCAAACTCCTAACCTTGGGTGATCCGCCCACCTAGGCCTCCCAAAGTGCTGGGATTACAGGCCTGAGCCACTGCGCCTGGCCACGTGTATTCAGTTCTGACAGTTTTTTTCACATTGCTAAAATTGGAATTTTGATGAAATATAGACTAGAGAAGCCATGATTTTTTTCTTTTTTTCTTTTTATTTTAATTTCTTGTGAACCCAAACTGACAGAAACCATGATTTTTAAATGTGTTGTTTTGTAAGTTTTTAACTTTTATTCTGAAATAATTTCCAACTTAACAAAAACAGTTATGAGAATAGCACAAAGATTTCCCATATACCCTTTACCTCGAATCACTTACTGCTAACATTTTGCCACATCTATTTTAAAATTCTCTCTCTCAGATAAATATAGTGTAAACGAGAAAAAAAATTCTAAGTCCCCCGCCCCCAACCATCTGAATGGACTTCCCCCTCAGCCAGGGCTCTTCAAATTTAACTTGAGAGACTGTTTTGGGACGTGATGGGAAGTGGGAGTCGAACATGCCTCCTTATATCTCCCCGGCATTAACATCAACACAGACTTTAAGTCTGATAAGAAATATTTTACAACCTGTTCTCTCTGAAGCCTGCTTCCTGAAGGCTTCCTCTGCAAATAAGAACTTTGGTCTCCATAGTATCTTAACCCAGACATTCATTTCTATTGATCCCAGGTCTTTAGATAAACTCAACCAATTGCCAACCAGACAAATTTTAAATCTACCTATAAGCTGGAACACCCCCCTCCCCCAATCTCTGCTTCAAGTTGTCCCGTCTTTCTGGACCAAACCAATGTATTTCTTTTTTTTTTAACCATGAATATATCCAGTTTATGATATTTTGGGTGATTTTCATTGTCTTTTTGTTGTCTTTATGCAGTAATTTTTTATTGTTATTTTGTAAAATTTTTAAAAAATGTATTTCTTAAATGCATTTGATTGAAGTCTCATGCCTCCCTAAAATGTATGAAACCAAGCTGCACCCCAACAACCTGGGTCACATGTTCCCAGCACCTCCTGAGGGCTGTGTCACGGGCCATGATTACTCATATTTGGTTCAGAATAAGTTTCTTCAAATATTTTACAGTGTGACTCTTTTCATCCATGATTGATTGGTAGATAGATAGATAGATAGGTAGATAGATAGATAGATAGATAGATAGATCAATCTCAATCATTTGAAAGTAAGTTGCAGACATCATGCCTCTATTTTTCTAAAGATTTCAGATGAACAAGGATCTAGTCTTTTGTAACCGTAGTATAATTATTAAAATCAGGAAATTTAACAATAAATAATATACTATTATTTAGTTTATCGTCCACGTTCAAGTTTTGCCAGCTTTCCCAATAATGTCCTTTGTAGCGAATCTTTTCCAGTGCAGTATTCAGTTCAGAATTACATGTTTCATTTAGTTATTATATATCTTCTGTCTCCTTTAAACTGGAACAGCTCCTTTCTTTTTCTATCTTAGATAAAGGCATTTTTTAAAGAGACAGGCCAGTTATTTTGTAGACTGTCCCCAAACTTCAGTTCGTCTAATTGTTTTCTCATGACTAGATTATGTACTTTTGGCAGGAATACCAGAGAAGTGTGGTTTGTCCTGTTACTGGTGATGTTAACTTTGATCACTCAGTTAAGGTGCAGCCTGTCAGGTTTCTCCACTATATTGTCATTTTTTTTCCTTTGTAATTAATAAGCTGTTTGGCATTCAACTTGTAAGGAAGAGCTCTCCTTTGCTCCCATTTATTTCTTTATTAACAGCATAGACTCATGGATTCTTATTTTATTCAGTGTGTAATAATGTATTACTATCATTATGCTGATGTTTCATTGTCACAAAGAGGCAGGATTTGAACCCAGGTCTTTCTGATTCCAAAGCCTATGTTCTTAATGTCTGTATTAGTCCGTTTTCACACTGCTATAAAGAACTACCTGAGACTGGGTAATTTATGAAGCAAACAGGTTTAATTGACTCACAGTTCCACAGGCTTAACAGGAAGCCTGACTGGGAGGCCTCAGGAAAGTTACAGTAATGGCGGAAGGTGAAGAGGAAGCAAGGACTTTCTTTACATGGTAGCAAGAAAGAGAGAAAGAGTGCGAAAGTGCCACACCCTTTTAAACCATCAGATCTCGTGAGAACTCACTCACTATCACAAGAAAAGCAAAGGGGAAATCCGCCCACATGATCCAATCACCTCCCACCAGGTACCCCCCGAACGCTGAGAATTACAATTTGACGTGACATTTGGGTAGGGACACAGACCAAACCATATTAACGTCTATGCTACTTGCAGCTGTATTACCTTGAGCAAATCACTTAACCTCTCTAAAACTCAGCTTTATTGGAAGAGGCATGTGTGGTGGATGACAAAGATCCTCAGGGGAAAGTCTGTGTCTTTTACGCTCAGCTATTCTAGGACTAACTCCCTCTTCCCTGCCAGGACCTCAGCACAATTCTGCTCAACCACCTTCAAGCTGCACCAGCCTCTGCCTTGTCCATTGATAGAGGCTTGCCACACACCAGTGAGTCATACCCAGCCCTTGCCAGATCTGAGGCTGCTCCATCAGACTGGGTCCCAGAGTAAAACAGCATGGAGCAGATACCGCTGAGCTGCAATGCACATGTAGCATGAACGAGAAAGAAACATCTGTCGTCATCGGCCACTGAGGTTTTGGAGTTGTTTGTCCCTGCAGCATAATTTCATCTACCATTCTCTGTGCTAGGTTCTGGAAGTACAACAGGAACCAAGACAAACAGCCCCTGCCCTCATGGAGCTTACAGTCTACTTGGGAAGACAGATGTTAATGTTAATCAAATGAATAATTATTAAGTCACAATGATATTAAGGGCTACAAAAGAAAAGGACCTGGTACCCGGACAGCATCTGCCAGGGATACCAGCTTCATCAGGAGAACCAGGTAGGGATTTTAAGGAAGCAACATTAAAGCTAAGACCTTAAAAGTGAGCTGGAGTCAGCCAGGTGAAGGGCAGGCAAGATCCTCCAGCAGAGGGAACAGCATGTGCAAAGGCCCTGCAGCAGGAAGAGAGCCTGCTGGGTTCCTGAGCTTTCCAAGTTTGCTTCTTCAATTGCCTCTCAATTCCATGAGCCCCAAGGTCCTGCTGATACATTTCCTTTGTACTTAAATTATCTGTTTTCCACCAAAGGAATAAAATGGGTACACTTAATATTTTAGGTAGGAATTTGGGGCCACATTTCCTACACACTTTTGTGGGAATCACATTAACCTGAGTCTTTCAAATAAATTTCCACCTCAATGGACTCATTTGCCAGAAAGAAGTTCCTATTCTAATGCATCTGTGGGCCCATCTGGCTTCTCCAAGAAATAATCAAAAGTATCCTCTTGAGCAATAAGTATTGAAAAGCACTCTGATTTCTGTTATTCTTTTGTTGACTCTTCAGAAAGAGTCATTGGCACTATCCCATACAATGGCCAGGGCAGCAGAAGCCCAGGGGTCTCTTTGAGCAACACTGACACCTATTACCGCCTCCCATTCCTGTGTCAGGGGCAATCTCCTGGGATAATCTGAGACAAACAGAACAAAAAGGATTCTCCATCCTCTGGGCAACTGAACTCAAGATAGTCTGCCTAAATCTGCTCTTCCCTAGGTTTTACTCATTTCAGTAAATCCATCTATTTTTCAAGCCAAAATTCCAAGATTGATCCTTGAGTCCTCTCCTTAACCCATCAAAGATAAAGGAATCTGAGTGAGCACAGACGTAAGCCATCATGTCTGTTGCAGAGACCAAAAGAGCAGGTCAGTGTGACTGAACCTCTGAGAATGAGAAGGGAGCAACTTGGGTCATGGTCATATCACACAGGGTCTTACAGGCCAAGGAGAGGAGCAATGGATTGGTTTTGTTACTGGTGGTGAATCCATATGGGTCTGCAGCAACTTCAGTTCTTGCCTCCTCAGAAGACAGAACTCAATCCAGGTGGCATAAGTGAGAAACCAAGGCAAGTTTCCAGAGCAGGAGTGAAAGTTTTGTAACTGCCCAAGGGGTTCACCTTGCCTGCTGCCTATACAGAACCGATATCAAGACACAGGAATTGAAATTGAGAAAGTAATTCACACGGAGCCAGCTGTGCGGGAGACCGGAGTTTTATTATTACTCAAATCAGTCTCCCCGAGCATTTGGGGAGCAGTTTTTAAGGATAGCTTGATAGGTGGGGGAAGCCAGTGAGCCAAGAGTGCTGATTGGTCAGAGATGAAATCATAGGGAGTCGGAGCTGTCTTCTTGGGTTCAGTCAGTTCCTGGGTGGGGGCCACAAGATCAGATGAGCCAGTTTATTGATTTGAGTGGGGCCAGCTGATCCATCAAGTGCAGGGTCTGCAAAATATCTCAAGCATTGATCTCAAGAGTTCAGAATCTTGAGCCTCCAGCTGCATGACTCCTAAACCATAATTTCTAATCTTGTGGCTAATATTAGTCCTACAAAGGCAATCTAGTCTCCAGGCAAGAAGGAAGTCTGCTTTGGGAAAGGGCTGGTACCGTCTTTGTTTAAACTATAAACCATAAACTAAGTTTCTCCCAAAGTTCGTTCGGCCTACACCCAGGAATGAACAAGGACAGCTTGGAGGTTCGAAGCAAGAGTCTGTTAAATTGGATCTCTTTCACTGTCTCAGTCATAATTTTGCAAAGGTGGTTTCAGGTTATTAAAAAGCTTTAGAGCAGGAATGAAAGGAAGTAAAGTACACTTGGAAGGGGGCCAAGCTGGCGACTTGAGAGAGTCAAGTGTGTGGTTTGACCTTTGACTTGGGGTCTTATACGTTGGCATGCTTCTGGAGTTGCGTTACTTCTCCCCTGATTCTTCCCTTGGGGTGGGCTGTCTGCATGCACAGGGGCCTGCCCACACTTGGGACGGGCCGCATGCGCAGTGTGTTTACTGCAGTTGTACACATGCTCACTTGAGGCATTCTTCCCTTACCATTCGAGTGTTCCTAGAAGGCCACATACCACTTAAACCCCACCATTTTGCCTCATAGTGCGCATTCTTGAGCCCACTCACCCAACTCCTGTGATCTTATCAGGAAGCTGCTGATCACCAGTTTCAGGTGTTTCAGTCTACCACCTTTTCTGACGCCAGCTGCAACCAATTATTATTTTAGAGAGACAGTTTTAACAACCACCTGACCATCACCTGATGGTCGCCTGAGAATCCTGGTGGGTGGGGAGGCAGGGGGAAGAGCTCTCCTGCCCTGACCATGTCTGACTAACTACCTACTGAACAATTTAACCCATCAGCAAGTCCTGACAGCCCTGCCTCCAAAGAAAGTCACAAACTAGCCTACTTTCCTGTATCACCACTGCCTTCATGCTTAACCAGGCTACCACCACCCAGACCTGCCTCCACCTCCCCACCACCTCCCCACTTCCTCTCTCGCTCTCCAATCCATTTACATCAGCTACAGTGATCTTTTAAAAATGGAAGTCGTGGCCAGGAACGGTGGCTCACGTCTGTAATCCCAGCACTTTGGGAGGCCGAGGTGGGTGGATCACCTGAGGTCAGGAGTTTGAGACCAGCCTGAATTCTGGCCAACATGGGGAAACCCCGTCTCTACTAAAAAAATACAAAAAATTAGCTGGGCATGGTGGCAGGCACCTATAATCCCAGCTATTCATGAGGTTGAGGCAGTAGAATCGCTTGAACCCGGGAGGTGGAGGTTGCAGTGAGCCGAGATTGCACCATTGCACTCCAGCCTGGGCAACGAGAGCGAGACTCAGTCTCAAAAAAAAAGCAAGTCAGATCAGATCACTTTCCTCTTTAAAACCTCCCACTGACCCTCCCATTTCTTTAGGATTTAGATGGACTGGAGAGCAAGAGAAGAAGTGGGAAGAGGTGATGGGGAGGTGGAGGCTGGTGTCTGGGTGGTGGTGGCTTGGTCAAGCATGGAGGCAGTGGTGATATAAGAAGATGGGCTAGGTTGTGACTTATTTTGGAGGCAGGGCTGTCAGGACTTGCTGATTGGTTAAATCAGTCAGCCTAAGCTGTGAACTAAGACAGTTCACACAGCTTTCAGTTTCTGGCACATGGTAAGAGCGTGATATATAGTTATTGCTTGTACTATTAATAGGTTGATGGAAGTTTAGTAAGATCAGGCAGTTCCCCATTTTACCATTAGGTGTCACCACAGACCTGGCTAAAATAGCATACTTGCTTCCCATCTGAGAAAGCCCTGAGAAGTGTGGAACAAAAGGGCCTTAGAGTTGGGAACATTTCCCAAGGTCAGGAAAGTAGGTCAGGGATTTAAACCCAGTTGTCCTGACACCTTAAAAGCCATGGTGGGGAGAGGCCCTCCCTGCCAGGGCTCCCACAGTGCCTCCAGTCCCCAGGATAATTTTACATATTTGTAACAATAGGTAATTAAGGGTACTAACTATGTAACCCGTGCTAGTCTTTTATTTTTTGAGATGGAGTTTTGTTCTTGTTGCCCAGGCTGGAATGCAATGGCGTGATCTCTGCTCACTGCAACCTCTGCCTCCTGGATTCAAGTGATTCTCCTGCCTCAGCCTCCCTAGTAGCTGGGATTACAGGCGTGCATCACCACACCCAGCTAATTTTTGTATTTTTAGTAGAGACGGGGTTTCACCATATTGGCCAGGCTGGTCTCGAACTCCTGACCTTAGGTAATCCACCTGCTCTGGCCTCCCAAAGTGCTGGGATTACAGGTGTGAGCCACTGCACCCGGCCAACCAGTGTTATTCTAAGCATTTTATAACACAAACTCATTGAATTCCCACAAATGATCACATGAGGTAGAGTCAAATGTGTCCCCATTTCACAGATGGAGAAACTGAGGGACAGAGAGGTTTATTAACTTGCTCAATGACATACAGCCAGTAAATGTAGAATGGAAATGAACCCTTGCATTCTGGCTGCAGTCTGCGCCATCCTGGAGCTTACTCCATTCTCTGGTCACCTTGGTAATAATGTTTTTTATCCCTTTTAAAATCTTTTGATATCACATAGCTTCTTTAGTGCTTTAACATTTAACTATTGTTCCATTACAGGTAGAATTTCCTGAATATATAAGTATTGGTAAGGAGATAATGTTGATTTTTTTTAAAGTAATTGTCAAGCAGACTGATGTATAGGAAAGTAAGTATTGTGATTTCACAAAACATTGTTCTATTCATAACATAACCATTTCCTGATTCTTTATCATTTAGCCCCAAATTTGCCATCCAGTCCCAACTGAATTCCATAGACCTGGTTACCAGCTGAATCAGAGACTTGGAGGATACATGACAAAGGGAGGAGCTCGGTCTAGCCTTTCAATCATTCACTTATTCATTCAACAGTTACTGCCTCTTCCTTCCTACCAGACCCAAAATGAACCCTGCCCTCCAAGAGCTCACGGTCTCATGGGGGTTAACAGACAGAAAATGCACATGCATTGGCATTGCATAATTGCCCATCTCTCCAGACTGTCTGTAGTGTCTTTTTAGAAAACATATATATATTCTTTTTTTTTTTTTTGAGATAGGGTCTCCCTCTGTCACCCAGGCATTGTCACCAGGCACTGCACCCAGAGTGCAGTGCCATGATCATGACTCACTTGCAGCCTCAACTTCCCGGACTCAAGCAATCCTCCCACTTCAGCCTCCCAAGTAGCTAGGACCACAGATGCGCACCACCACGCCCAGCTAATTTTTTTATTTTTATTTTTTGTAGAGACAAGGTTTCACCATGTCACCCAGGCTGGTCTCAAACTCCTGAGCTCAAGTGATTCACCTGCCTCGGCCTCCCAAAGTGTTGGGATTACAAGCACGAGCCACTGTGCCCAGCTCTTATTCTCTTTTCTATCTTCCATGCCTAGCACAGTGCCTGGCACATTTTAGGTAACCAAAAAATATTTGATGAATGAATGCAAAGGCTTCATGGAGGAGGTGGCATTTGATCTGGGCCTTTAAAGACTGGGGAAGATCTTGACAGATGAGGACAGGGGACAGGGGACACCACCTCAAGAAGAGTGACAAGGTCATTTTACAAAGATCATCCTGGGCCAGGCATGGTGGCTCATTCCTGTAATCCCAGCACTTTGGGAGGCCAGGCAGGCTGATCACCTGAGGTCAGGAGTTTGAGACCAGCCCGTCCAACATGGTGAAACCCACCTCTACTAAAAATACAAAAATTAGCTGGGCTTGGTGGTGTGCACCTGAACTCCCAGCTACTTGGGGAAGCTGAGGTGGGAGGATCGTTTGAACCTGGGAGGCAGAGGTCACAGTGAGCTGAGATCGCACCACTGCACTCCAGCCTGGGCTACAAAGTAAGACTCCGTCTCAAAAAAAAAAAAGAAAAAATCATCCTGGGTGGAAGATGAAGGTTCTGGGTGAGACAGGCAGCAGAGAGACCAGTGAGGAGGTTGCTGCAGGGTTCAGGGGAGAAGGGATGGTGGCCTGGACCAAACTTTGGCAGTGGGGACAGAAAAGGCCTAAAGGAAATTCAGGAGCAATGGGCAAGAGTTGAGGAGTATGGAGCAAGAGGGAGCAGGAGTCATGGGTGACTCCAGGTGTCTGGTGGGTGGGAGCAAGTTGGGGAAGCCTTGGTAGGAAGTTGAGTTTGGCTCAGCAAAATTTTAGGGCAGAATGACCTTCCAGGTCTCTCAAGTCAAAGCCGGTGTTGATGGTGTTTCCACAGCCTGGAACTGAGCTGGGAAGGTGGAGCAATCTTGAGGACAGAGGGGAAAGGGTCCAGCTGAGCAGGAGCGAGTTCCATGTGCATTAGAAGCCCTGCCTCAGCTTCCCCAGTTTTCTGGGCCCCAGGGAGAAAGGGCTGGCCACTGAGGCCTTGTACATGCTAACACTCAGCCTGAAGTTACTGGAAGGTGGTATCCCGCAAAACAGACCTGATCCTTGTTTAGCAGCATGTCACATTCCATGGGATGGCAGGACCCCTTCCTTTCTTCCATTTTTCTTGTTTCTGTTTTTGAGATGGAATCTCGCTCTGTCGCCCAGGCTGGAGTGCAGTGGTGCCATCTTGGCTCACTGCAACCTCCACCTCCCAGGTTCAAGTGATTCTCCTGCCTCAGCCTCCCGGGTAGCTGGGATTACAGGCGCGTGCCACCACACCCAGCTAATTTTTATATTTTTAGTAGAGACAGGGTTTCACCATGTTGGCCAGGCTGGTCTCAAATTCCCGATCTCATGATCCACCTGCCTTGGCCTCCCAAAGTGTTGGGATTACAGGCGTGAGCCACCACACCCAGCCCCTTTCTTCTATTTTTCTTGAGGTATAACATACGTAAAGTATATAAAGCCCCCAGTCTTTTTTCTTTCTTTCTTTCTTTTTCCCCCGAAACAGGGTCTCATTCTGTCGCCCAGACTGGAGAGCAGTGGCACGATCTTGGCTCACTGCAGCCTCTGCCTCCCGAAGTCCCCTAGTCTTATGGTGAATTTTTACTTGATGAATTTTCACTTACATAATCACCAGCCAGAAGAAGATATAATCCTTCCAGCATCCCAGAAAAGCTCCTCTTGCTCCTTTCCCATCCCTACTCCTGACCTGACCCAGGTAACTACCATTTTGATTTCTAACCCTATAGATTAGTTGAGCTTTATATGAATGGATTCATATGGTATGTACTGTTTTGTATCTGGCTTCTTTTAGTCCACATACTATATGTGAGATTAACTGGTGCTATTACATGTAACAGTAGTTTGTTCTTTTATATGTAAAACACAGTATTCCATTGCATGAACATGCCACAATTTATCCATTCTCCAGTGATGGACATTGAACTATTTCCAATTTGAGCTATGAATAAGTCTGCTATGAACATTCTTGCACAAGTCTCCATGTAAACATAGGCACTCATTTCTCTCGGGTACATACCTAGGAGTGGAAATTCTAGATCACAGCATAGGTGTATGTTTAGATTTTGTAGATGCTGGTTTTCCAAAGTGGCTGTACCAATTTGCTCTGCCGTCAGCACTGCAAGAATTTGTTGCTCCACAGCCTCTCAACATTCAGCTCTCTTTTTCTTTTTTTGTTAGTTTTTATTTCATAATCATAAACTCTGCAATCCACCTGGGCATGGAAGGGAACAAGGAAAACATGAAACCCAAAGGGAACTGCAGCGAGAGCACAAAGATTCTAGGATACTGGGAGCAAATGGGGTGGAAGGGTGCTCTCCTGAGCTACAGAAGGAATGGTCTGGTGGTGAAGATAAAACACAAGTCAAACTTATTGGAGTTGTCTACAGTCAGCAATGGTGATCTTCTTGCTGGTCTTGCCATTCCTGGACCCAAAGCGCTCCATGGCCTCCACGATCTTCATGCCTTCTTTCTTCTTTCACCTTGCCAAAGACTACATGCTTGCCATCCAACCACTCAGTCTTGGCAGTGCAGATGACAAACTGGGAACCGTTTGTGTTGGGTCCAGCATTTACCACGGACAAGATGCCAGGACCTGTATGCTTTAGGATGAAGTTCTCATCATCAGATTTCTCCCCACAGATGGACTTGCCACCAGTGCCATTATGGCATGTGAAGTCACCACCCTGACATATAAATCCTGGAATAATTCTGTGAAAGCAGGAAACCTTTTAACCAAATCCTTTCTCTCCAGTGCTCACAGCACGAAAGTTTTCTGCTGTCTTTGGAATCTTGTCTGCAAACAGCTCGAAGGAGTAGGGGCCTAAGGGCGCGTCATCGACAGTGATGTCAAAGAACAAGGTGGGGCTGACCATGGCTGATAGTATGGGGATCCCAGCGGCATCTGCAAAGCCAGCTCTCTCTTTTTCTAAACAAGAGCTTCCACTACAAGACTCCTCTTGTCATTCAGTGTTGGATACTGGGTGTGGCTGCCATGGATGCATTGATCCTTTAGCCTGTAAGCAGCAGGATGGTGGGAGGCCACATTCAGGCCTGTTTTGAGTCTCAGCTGGAGGAGAAATGGACATCTCCTTGCTTTGGATGTGACCTCAGGAACTGGATAGCCATCTTGTGGCCATGAGCATAAACCAGCACAAGGACAGAAGATAAAATGAACCTCAGTCCTTGATGACACTGCCTAGCCACTGAGTGGCAGGCTACTTATTTTTTTAAGCCACTTGATGTAGTTGTGTGTTTAACTTGCAACATAAAAGATACAGTCCACCAACCTTCTTTATTCCCAAACCCCAACGGCTCCATTTCTGTTCTCAACAGCATCAGCCCCACTGAGCACTCCCTCCTTCCTGAAACCTCCTCTCTAGGACCCACACTCACTTGGTCCTCTTTCTACCCCACTGGCCACTGCTTCTTAGTCTCCTTTCCCGGATCCTCCTCTTCTTTTCTCTCCACCTTCTTTCACTTGCGTTCTCACCCAGCACCATGACCTTTGTATTGATGGCCCCCAAATATGTATCTCCTGCCCCAGCCTCCGTTCGCAGCTTCTGTGTCACATAAACCTGCCTACTCACCCTCTCTGCCTGCATGTTGCCCCGACATTTCAAACTTAACTTCTCAAAGCCGAACTTGATCTTCCCCCTCAGTCCGTTCCTCTTTCAGGCTTTATTGTCTTGGTCAAGGAATCTTTTACCCTTTCATTTACTCAAGGCTAAAACCTAGCGAGGAGTTATTGCCAATGCCTCCACATCCACCCAAGTCCAATCTTCCACCCTTCCCTTCACCTCCCCAAGCTACCACCCTGTCTGAGTCAGCATTGGCTTTTGTCTGGAAAGCTGCAACCACCTCCTAACTGGTCTGCCTACACCCACTCCTGAGTGCTTTCCAAGCCATGCGGCCTGGGTGGCCTTTCAGAAATCCTAATTTGCTATCCTCTTCCTGATGAAAATGGCTTCCCTGACTCTCAAGAGAAAAGCCAAATTCAGTATGTAGCTGACCTGTTTTCTTCTGTGCTCACCTCACCCCAACTCTGCCGCTTCCCAGCTCCAGATCTGGGACAAATGTTCTTTCTGCCTAGAACATTTCCCCTCTCACTCTTACCCTAATCGTCCTTTGTTTCTCAACCTAAATGCCATCTTCCCAAGGAGGTTCCACCCTTTCCCTACATTAGTACTCCATTAATTTCTCCTAACACTCTCTACTTCTTCTCACAGCACTTCCCATGATGTGTAATTATGTATTGATTAAAGTCACTAATATACAGTGATTATATGACTGTCTCCCCGCCTACCCGCCATTAGACTGGCAGTGCCTTGAGGTCAGGGACAGACCCAGGTTACCGACTCTACCTGCCCTTAGCACTGCGCTTGGGTACAGTAAGCGCCCAAGGAATATGCTTAATTAGCTAATAAATGACTACACGGACTCATTCAAGCCTCATAAAAGCCCTAAGGTGGGCATTTCAACAGAAGCCGGGTCGGGGTGGGCGAGGGGCTCGCTGGCCCAAGGTACGGGGCAAGTGGGGGAGCCGAGGCCTGACCCAAGGCAGTCCCAAGTTCTGAGCCCGGACCTTTCAGCTCCTGAGCCTTGGCTGCATGATGAAACGCTAGGGAGGGGGTGGACTTTGAGCCACGAGAAGGTTTTCCCGGAGTCCACGGACCATCCACGCGGGCAAGAACGAAGCGGGTTCACCAACATGAACACAACCCGGCCCGCCCAGCGCTCACGGAGTAAGGATCACAATCTGCTGCATATGCATGAGGGGACCCGGCCGCGCTTCGGGGCTGTCCACACTGCGCCTGATAAAAATTATTCGGGCTTGAAGATCTCGGGGCTCCCAGAGTTTTGTAAAAGTGCATACAAAGTCCTCAAAGGTGGTCTGTGGCTGATATTTACGGGAAATGGGGCGAGGATGAGCCCCCACTTCGGACCTTGTGATCAGGCGTTTGCGGTAGACAGCCCGATCCCAGGATGGGTCCTCGGCCGGCTCGACTAGAAGACTAAGGGGGCGTCTCCCCGGCTTCCTGCGGCGTCGGTGGCGAGCTGAGGTGGAGGCAGGCTGCGGCAGACGGCGACAGTGGCGGCGGCGCCATGGCAGGGCTTGCAGGTACCGTGGCGTCAACCTGCTTGGGGCGGGATGAGAGGCCCTCCATGCGGCCGCGCCGCCATATTGTCCCTTCTGGGTCACCTTAGGCGTCGCCGGGTCCCCGTCACTGGGGTTTTCCTTCCGCATACCCCGGGAAGGCAGGGCGCCCCTGTCCGGCTTCAGGTGATTGCCGTGATTGGACCTAGCCTGGGCCTTGGGGGGTCCCTTCCCAGCCCGGAGGTGGGTCATAGTACTCCTGGGTGCTGGCTCTGGCCTTGTCCAAGGTCAGCGCCCTTGCAGGATGAGACAGGCAGAGCCGGGGGCACGGGGCTGGGAGCGCGACCACCATCTCTGCAGCCCCGGGTTCCACGGCAGGGTGCCCAGCTTGTGAGAGGCCTGTCATTCTGTCCCCATCAGTTTAGTTGCGTTGCTTTAGTTGCTTTTTTGGGGGGGAGGTGGGGGGACGTGGGGGTGAGGGGAGAGAGGGTCTCCTGAGGCTCCGCTTCGGTGTCTGGGGTGATAGGCTGACGCTCTGCTAAGAGTCGCGGGCGCTTCTTACTCCCTCCAACTTTACATCAAGGGTGGACATCCCTTCCCTTTCCTTCTATAGACGTGGGGAGTGGCCCTCAAGGGCAGCTGAAGGAACGGAATGCCTGGCGCACTAATGGCCTGGAAAGGAAGCATGGGGGATGGGGGACAGTTGTTTTTTCCTTCCCCTTTCCAAATCTCCTTTAGTTTCCTTCCAGGCCTCCGTGTCCCATTTCATCGCCGAATGTTGGGAGACTGGGGTCTGTCCTCGGAAAGAAACAGCCTTTCTGTTTATAGGTTTGGATCGTCTATCCCTTTCAGGGAACTGGTGTGTTGGGGACGGCTTCTCTGCCCTGCCTGACATGGTCCAGTCATCCCGTCAGCCTTCTGGACGGCAACACCAAAGCTGGGACCAAAAAAAAGTTCCAGCTTAAGTGCTAATGCC